>NC_000011.10:76813271-77116302 GCF_000001405.40 Homo sapiens
TTTCCCAGAAATATGGGACCAAACATTGGTTATAAACTATTTTAGCAATGTATAAGTCACCACACCAATATATTCAATTTGGATCATTTTATCTTTTCCATGATGAGTTGTGGAATGCAGAACTTTTAATAATAAAACCTTGAAGGACTCAAGAAGGACAAGGTGGTCATCCTGGTTCTCCATGAGTCCATGCTTAATTAACATTAGACTTATATCCTCTTGAATACCAGTTGTTTCTTCAAATTATTTGAATAGCACTGGTAACTGATGGGTTATCATAAGTAATTTGACTTAGACCATGGAGTTCATTCAAATTGTATATCTAAACAATTTCAGTATCAGCTGGTTTAACATGAAAATCTGACAAAATATTTTCTTAGTATTTAATTAATTTTTTGTTCTACTTGGATTAGTAGCTTTATACAAGGAAATTTAGTTATTTCTGTGGTTTACAATCAGTTAACATAATAACCATAATTATGATTGATAGCATATACTCAGACATATTAGAATTTTGGAAATCCCATACAATTTTGGAACATATATTAATATTTCACACACAGAATTTTTTATAAGATTTATTTTTTAAAAACCTTCCACAACTTGTTCAAACCTTTAGATTTATCTTAACTTAAAACAATTCTTTAACACTTGGCAAAAAAAAAAAATCCACATTCCCATGCCTTCTTATAATCTTTTACCAATAACACATTTTACTCTTCTTACACACCTTGCATGTAAAACAGTTTCTTCAGTAGTCTTGATTACATGTTACAATGTTAACTCTTTGCAACTTTACTTTTAGTGAAAACCTTGGTAAGTTTAGGATTTTTTTTTTTTTTTTGGGACAGTGTCTCGCTCTGTCACCCAGGTTGGAATGCAGTGGCATGATCTTGGCTCTGACTGCCAGGTTCACGCCATTCTCCTGCCTCAGCCTCCTGAGTAGCTGGGACTACAGGCACCCGCCATGACGCCCAGCTAATGTTTTGTATTTTTAGTAGAGACGAGGTTTCATCATGTTAGCCAGGATGGTCTCAATCTCCTGACCTCGTGATCCACCTGCCTCAGCCTCCCAAAGTGCTGGGATTACAGGCATCAGCCACTGCGCCCGGCCAAGTTTAGGATTTTAATTATGTACAAGGTGTGGAGCCTAGGACCCACACAGAAGTGCAAATAAAGTCTGACTTCTTCCAGTGTCTAACTCCACATGTCCCAGGTCTTACCTAGCTGTAAAGCAGGCAGGTTGTACAATTAAGAGTCATGGTGTCATTTTATGAAGCATTTAGGTGGCCTAATCACCTTTAAATAGTACATTTCTTGCATAAATTCTCTTTCATAAATTCTTTCATGACATACACAGACGATGTATGACATGCTTGGACTTTCTGATTTGTCCTAAACATTCCTCTTTTAAACAACCAATTATTTTACTTTAGGACAAAAATTTACCATATAAGATCCTTTCGTATGTAAAATATCTTTTCTTTATAACCTTCTTTGCATAGCTAGGGGGCATGGCTAATTTCACACATCCCCAGGCCTTATCTAGAATCTAATGCTCCAAAATAAATTGAACAATTTTTAAAAGTCAAAGAAGCAGTTTATGACCTAAAGTATTTAGCAAACCTAGTATCTGACCTGCATAATTTAAGCCAAATGTTTACAATTTTTGAAGATATTTTTATTTTACCAATAATCTTTAAAACTGTCTTTGTTCCCAAAGATTACTTAAGTCACATGAACTAAATAAAAGGCATTGGATGGCCGGGTGCTGTGGCTTATGCCTGTAATCCCAGCACTTTGGGAGGCTGAGGAGGGTGGATCACCTGAGGTCAGGAGTTCAAGACCAGCCTGACCAATATGGTGAAAGCTCATCTCTACTAAAAATACAAAATTAGCCAGGCGTGGTGGCTCATGCCTGTAGTCCCAGCTACTCAAGAGGCTGAGACAGGAGAATCACTTGAACCTGGGAGGCAGAGAGAGGTTGCAGTGACCGGGATCATGCCACTGCACTCCAGCCTGGCGACAGAGAGAGACTCCATCTCAAAAATAAAATAAAATTTTTAAAAAGGCATTACACTTTCTACTTTTCTGACAAAATATTTAAGCTCTTATATCAGGGGAACCCGCCCCCAGTATTTCAATGTAGGTTCTTTCTATTTTCCCTAAGTGTTGGCTGGTCTGAGAAATAAAGAGAAAGAGTACAAAGAGAGGAATTTTACAGCTGGGCCGCTGGGGGTGAATCACATATCTGTAGGACCATGATGCCCACCTGAGCCGCAAAACCAGCAAGTTTTTATTAGGGATTTCAAAAGGGGAGGGGGTGTAAGAACAGGGAGTAGGTCACAAAAATCACATGCTTCAAAGGGCACAAAGGAGAACAAAGATCACATGCTTCTGAGGAAACAGAGCAAGGACAAAATCAGGAACTCCTGATAAGGGTCTATGTTCGGCTGTGCACGTATTGTCTTGATAAACATCTTAAACAACAGAAAACAGAGTTTGACAGCAGAGAACTGGTCTGACCTCAAATTTACCAGGGTGGGGTTTTTTCCCAACCCTAATAAGCCTGAGGGTACTGCAGGAGACCAAGGCATATTTCAGTCCTTACTCAACCATATAAGACAGACACTCCCAGAGTGGCCGTTTATAGACCTCCCCCCAGGAATGTAATTCTCTTCCTGGAGTATTAGTATCAATCTTCCTTGCTAGGAAAAGAATTTAGCGATATCTCACCTACTTGCACGTCCATTTATAGGACTCTCTGCAAGAAGAAAAATATGGCTCTTTTTGCCCGACCCCGCAGGCAGTCAGACGTTATGGTTTTCTTCCCTTGTTTCCTAAAATCACTGTTATTCTGTTCGTTTTCAAGGTGCACTAATTTCATATTGTTCAAACACACATGTTTTACAATCAATTTGTACAGTTAATGCAATCATCACAGTGGACCTGAGGTGATGTACATCCTCAGCTTACGAAGATAACAGGATTAAGAGATTAAAGTAAGACAAGTGTAAGAAATTATAAGAGTATTATTAGGGAAGTGATACATGTCCATGAAATCTTCACAATTTATGTTCCTCTGCCACAGCTCCAGCTGGTCCCTCCGTTCAGGGTCCCTGACTTCCCACAACACTCTTATTATTATTAAACCAATCAATTAAAGCTCTTTTACATTACACACACAACACATATAAATACACAGACAGGCAGAAGATAAAGGACTCATTCCCTAAGCCAGGAATTGAAACCTAAACCTGGGCCGCCATTGTGAAAAGAGAAAGCATGGCCACATGGTTACAAGGTCAAGCTCCCAAGGACATGACTGACCAGTTTGCTGGGCAGCCTTGAATAGCGAGCCTATAGGTTCCCAGGCATGCATTTTATCCTAAGGTGCCCCTCTTTATAACAGAACAGTATAGAAAGTCACATAAAGCACTCCGGATTCACTACAGTTTAAGACCAGCCTCAGAATTCTTTTTCTGTATTAATCAAAACTTTGCAGAGGAGATAAACAGTGACTTTTACCATTTATTTAACCAGTTTGCAGAGAGAGACAGAGACCAGAGTCTGACTGGTAAGAAATTCTTACCTTTTTGCTGGCATGTCAGGCTTCTGAGTTCTTTCTCCCTGAGTGGCCCTAGTGGCCCTGCTTAACTGTATGCAGACAAACACATTGCTGTGAATTAAGAATATTCACAAATAGTTTACAAATTTTGGAAAAATTAGGCAGAGAGAGAAATATGACTCAAATTCTATTTATGAAAGTATGCTCAACACACTTAACATATCAGGAAGCTTAACTCCAAAAAGCTAGTTTAAGATTAAAAAGCCGGTGTGTTCCATTAATTCCTGAAAGCCTGACAAAGGTAGCCTAGGAATTTCAGCTAAATGGAACCAATGATGACTTGCTAGAAACACATAAGAAACAAAATAACTATCCACAGAATCAAATAAAACCCTTCCACTAGAAACTAAAAAAATTCATGGTGTTATATATACATGCATACACAAGCAAAGCCCAGAGGGGAATAAACAGCAAACAAATGAAAATTAGAAGCAAAAACAAATAAACAGGAAACCAACCCTTAATTTTTCCTATTCAATCTACCCTGGAGGCTATGGTGTTACCCAGGGCCCCCCAAAACCCACATGATGAATATTTTATTCCTGATACACAATTCAATATCCTTAAGTTCACCAATATCATCATACATCCTGTGCAATCAAGAAATTCACTGTAGGCACATGACCAATAAGTACTCCAGTGTCAGCACTATCCATGCAAAACAGTAAACATTGTGTGAAGCAATGCAAGCATGGATGTGAAATTTGGCTCCACGCTAAATCCAGCTTCATGCTTAACTATATTTAAAAAAGAATTGCCAAACTGCCAATGCATTTCTTTACAATATTCATTTTATTTTAATCAAGACTATGAGCTTTAACCATGAAAATGTTAATTAGCCAAATGTCTCCAATTCTGTATCAGGTTTTAAAGAACATTTTATTATCCAAACATTTCCATGTCTTTCTCCCCTACTTACTAGTTCTTTACTACATTGTTTCATAAATAACCTTTTCAAATCTGTAATTTGAACCAACTTTTAGATAACTTCTGAATTAGACAAAGTTATTCTTTTCTCACTAATAACATAACCCTTTCTGGCACATTTTGTATAGAGAATTATGTGTTAACTAGAATTCTTATTTTTAGTAACCTAAAACTTTAGTGAGACCCTAAAAAGCAAGAAATCCTGAACCATCAGCTATGGGCATTTATAGACAAGAACAATTCCACAATTTTAGAAATATATTTCCCTATATCATAACCCTTTCTCAATTGGAAATGACTCATATATTCAATGATCATCAAAAATAATCTTAAGATTTTAATTTATGCAAAAAGTTTACTTAAAACATTTATCCCATGTACATACACTCAATTCCTTCATTTTAAAACAGTTTATCTAGATTACTTCTGTAAACTGAGATATTGGACACTATCATTTGAAGTTAGTTATTTCCTTGTTAACCATGTTTTTAATCACCAGTGAACATCAGATGCTCAGCTAAACCTAAGTAAGAACCTCAAAGTTAAATACATAGGTATTTTTGCCAACAACTCAAAAGATTTAGCTAACATTAAATTACTCTTATATGTCAAAAAAAGGTACACAAACCAAGATCATTTTGTTTATAGTTTTATATGTACAAACTGGGTTTATATATACAGGCTGGGTTTATAGTTTTACAACCTTCTATGCTAAACCCTGACATCTCAAAATATCTAGCAGAGACAAATATAAAATCCAGACAAAAATGTATGCTGACAATTCTGAAGGCATTTCTATTTTTATTTTACCAATTATTTTAAAGCCAGCTTGTTTTGTAAAGTTATACTTAAGTCACGTGAACTTGAAAATTGCTTGGACTTATTTGCTTAATTTATTAGCGCTCTTTTACTTATAAGCCAATCTGGTAGACACAACATATAACAATAAATTATATACAAATAAACACATCTATACATGTATACACACACATGAATGAAGATCTAATAGCTTGGAATCCTAGTCATGAGATAGCAATACAAGCTCACTGGTTTTACTTTGCCCCAGTAGGTAATCCAACAAAGGCTGTGAACCAAAATTTCAGGTAAAGAAGTTTCCCTGGCAGTTTGATTTTTAAAGCCAAACCTCCCCAGACTCCAAAGAATATTGGGGCCAAACAGCACCAAAGGAGAGCATCACAGGTTAACCAGGCCCCCTGCTTAGAACAGCAGCACAAAAGCCTGGCCACATGCAACGCCACCCCACTTTCCCAATCAACAGCAAACTTCAGATTCCAAACAACATTGGGGCCAAATGGTATTGCAACTGTGAGAGAAAATTCATAGGAGGGCCTAGCACTGGGCCTCAGCACTTCTGCCAAGGGCATCCCCTTTGGAGAGGTTGAGGACCGGAGGATCTCCCGGAGCGTCCCCCTTTGGGGTCCAATCTTAGAGTGTCAGATGTCTCTGACCTTAGGTGGGCACTGGTGCCAGTTGCAAGTTTTCCCACCAGAGGCGATGGCCCACTGTGAGCTTTCCTTTTGTCCCAGGATGAAGGCCTCGACTTCTAGCATCCTTATAATTTGATAAGGCCAAGCTTTCCCATGTTTCCTGTTCCATGAGCTTTAAAGATAGGAACTGAAGGCTAGGCAGGTTTCTCTGCCCTTAGCTAGTGGAGTAGGGGAAGGGAAGAATTTCGCATAAGAAAAGAAGGTTTAAGTCACCTGAAACTCATGTGAGTTTGCCCGAGCTGCACCAAATGTAGGGATCAGGGACCACAACTGGAAAAGATAAAAAATTGTCCTTCAGAGTGGCCCTGGCCAGAAGCCTGCAGTTGCCTCTGTGTTTAGGCGCTGCCCACCAAGTGTCCCAAGTTGGAAAGGAAAAGAGAGAGAGAGAGAGAGAGAGAGAGAGAGAGAGAGAGAGAGAAAGAGAGAGACTCACTTGTATAGAGCAGAAAAGAAAGGGGAAAGGAGAAAAATAAATCCCAAACTTTGGGCTTACCTCCTGGCTGGTTCACTAAGATATGTTACCAGTTAAAGGTGTCCAGGTTCTTGGCGTCTTGAACAAAGAATTGGACAAAACACACAAACAAAGCAAGGAAAGAATGAAGCAACAAACACAGAGATTTATTGAAAATGAAAGTATACCCCATAGGGGCGTCGAGCATAGGGGCTCAAGAGCCCCATTACAGAGTATTCTGGGTTGAAATATACTCTAGAGGTTTCCATTGGTTACTTGGTGTATGCCCTATGTAAATGAAGAGGATATTTCCTGTCGTAGCTGAAGTGTTTCCATTTGATTTAGTTCTAGGAAGTCCAGCGTGGATCGGCCTTAGGTTCTCTGCCTCCTGCCTCAGAAGAACAGAGGAGCGTCAGGGACCCAAAATACCCCTGTGGCTGCCCTCATGCTGGCCCTTAGCAATCAAAGAAATACAGATTTAAATACTAAGGATTTTGTTTTGTTTTATATCTAGGAGGAGGTCCCTAGTTTGGAGAACAGGCTGTTTCATACCCAGCTTGAGACACAGCATTGGCACAAACCTTGCTGAGGAGCAATTTGGCAATATGTTCCCTATGCCCTAAAAATTGCCTCAGTAATTTCACTTCTGTAATACTCTTCTTAGGAAACAATTATAGGTAAGTAAAAGATTTAGCTACAATAATACTTATTTTGCTACTTATAATAGCAAAAATATTGAAGACATTCTAAAGATTCATCAATAGCATGGCTGTTTAAGTAACTTATGTCTCAGGACAGAATATTGGCAACCATTAAATTTCAGCTGCATGGCCAGGTGAGGTGGCTCACACCTGTAATCCCAGCACTTCAGGAGGTGGAGGCAGGAGGATTGCTTGAGCCTAGGAGTCAGAGACCAACCTGGGCAATACAGTGAGACTCATCTCAAAAAAAGAAGAAGAAAAAGAAAAAAAAAATTAAGCTGCACAGCTCTCCCTCTCCCTCTCCCTCTCCCTCTGCCTCTCCCTCTCCCTCTCCCTCTCCCTCCACGGTCTCCCTCTGATGCCGAGCCGAAGCTGGACTGTACTGCTGTACTGCTGCCATCTCGGCTCACTGCAACCTCCCTGCCTGATTCTCCTGCCTCAGCCTGCCGAGTGCCTGCGATTGCAGGCGCGCGCCGCCACACCTGACTGGTTTTCGTATTTTTTTGGTGGAGACGGGGTTTCGCTGTGTTGGCTGGGCTGGTCTCCAGCTCCTAACCGTGAGTGATCCGCCAGCCTCGGCCTCCCGAGGTGCCGGGATTGCAGATGGAGTCTGGTTCACTCAGTGCTCAATGGTGCCCAGGCTGGAGTGCAGTGGCGTGATCTCGGCTCACTACAACCTCCACCTCCCAGCCGCCTGCCTTGGCCTCCCAAAGTGCCTAGAGTGCAGCCTCTGCCCGGCCGCCACCCCGTCTGGGAAGTGAGGAGTGTCTCTGCCTGGCTGCCCATCGTCTAGGACGTGAGGAGCCCCTCTGCCTGGCTGCCCAGTCTGGAAAGTGAGGAGCGTCTCTGCCCGGCCGCCATCCCATCTAGGAAGTGAGGAGCGTCTCTGCCTGGCCGCCCATCGTCTGAGATGTGGGGAGCGCCTCTGCCCCACTGCCCCGTCTGGGATGTGAGGAGCGCCTCTGCCCGGCCGCGACCCCATCTGGGAGGTGAGGAGCGTCTCTGCCCAGCCGCCCCGTCTGAGAAGTGAGGAGTCCCTCCGCCTGGCAACCGCCCCGTCTGAGAAGTGAGGAGCTCCTCCGCCCGGCAGCTGCCCCATCTGAGAAGTGAGGAGCCCCTCTGCCCGGCAGCCACCCCATCTGGGAAGTGAGGAGCGTCTCCACCCGGCAGCCACCCCGTCCGGGAGGGAGGTGGGGGTCAGCCCCCGCCAGGCCAGCCGCCCGGTCCGGGAGGGAGGTGGGGGGGTCAGCCCCCCGCCCGGCCAGCCGCCCTGTCTGGGAGGTGAGGGGCGCCTCTGCCCGGCCGCCCCTACTGGGAAGTGAGGAGACCCTCTGCCCAGCCACCACCCCGTCTGGGAGGCGTACCCAACAGCTCGTTGAGAACGGGCCATGATGACAATGGCAGTTCTGTGGAGTGGAAAGGGGGGAAAGGTGGGGAAAAGATTGAGAAATCGGATGGTTGCCGTGTCTGTGTAGAAAGAAGTAGACATGGGAGACTTTTCATTTTGTTCTGTACTAAGAAAAATTCTTCTGCCTTGGAAAAAAAAAAAAAAAGAAACTGGTAAAAAAAAAAAAATTAAGCTGCACATAGGCAATTTTTTTTTTTAAATCTTTGATTCCTATCTCACATCTTATATAAAAATTAACTCAAAATGGATCACAGACCTAAATGTAAAACAAAATGTTGCAATTTTTAGGAAAAAACATAGGAGAAAATCTCTAAGATCAAGGACTAGGCAAAGGGATTTTTAGACTTCAGATCAAAAGCAGACTCCACAAATGAAAAAAATTGATAAACTGGACCTCATCAAAATTTAAAAGTTTGTTTTATAAAAGAACCTGTGAAAAAGATGAAAAATTAAAGTACAGGTTGAGCTAAAATAGTTGCAAACCACACATCCAACAAAGAACCTATATGTAGTATGTATAAAGAATTCTCAAAACTCAGCAGTAAAAAGAACAAAATCTCAATCAGAATATGGGCAAAAAAACATGAACAGATATTTCACCAAATAAAATATACAAAAGGCAAATAAGCACATTAAAAGATGTTCCACATAATTGGCCATCAGTGAAATGCAAATTAAAACCACAATGATGTAACACTACATACCTACCACAGCGGCTAAAATAAAAAATAGTGACAACACCAAATGCTGGCAAGAATGTGGAGAAAGTGGATCACTTGTGCAAAGCTGGTGGGAATGCAAAAGGACACAGCCATTCTGGAAAACAGTCTTATAATTTGTTATAAAACTAAACAATACACTCATCATACAACCCAGCAATCACACTCTTAGGCATTCATCCCAGAGAAATGAAGACATATTCACACGAAACCTGGACACAAACCTTCATAATAATCATCTGTAATAGTCAAAAAGGGGAAACAACTCTGATGCTCTCCAACAGGTGAAAGGTATAGAAACCATAGTATATCCATACTATAAAATCCTGCATAGCAATATAAAGGAACACATTATTGACACTTGTAAAGGTTTCAAAGGAATTATGAAATATATCCAATCCCAAAATGTTATATATTATATGATTCTAATAATATATAATATAATATAATATATGATTCTAATAATATATAATATAATATAATTATAATAATATACAATATATAATATATTAACATTAATATATATTAATATATATTATATATAAAATATATATTATAATATTATATAGTTATATATTAATAGTATATAATATTATTGATAATCAATATAATAATATTGAAATAATGTTAAGATTATGTAGAATATATAATATTCTTGGAATCATATAGCATGTAACAAAAAGTAGTATGTATGTAATCAAACGAATACACACTTTAGTGTATTTCTTGCATTACAATGTAATCATAGAAATACACTATACTATCTTTATACCCTATAAGAATGGTATGTAACATTCCAATCATACTTACTATATAATTTCAAGAATACATAATATTCTTTCTTTTTTTTTTAACTCAGGGTCTTGTTCTGTCACACAGGCTGGAGTACAGTGGCGCGATCTCCGCTCACTGCAGCCTCCACCCCTCCCCCGATATCTGCTGATATGACTAGTCCTGCCTGGACACTGCAGGGACACACGACATCCATCCCCCTTTCAGGAGAAGGAGGTGGGAGGGAGACATAGGAGGCATCTCAGTGCCAAGCCTCCCCAGCACGCACACACACACAGAGGAGCCTGCGTGTATTCATCCACACACCTCACTGCCCAGGAACGACTTCCAGGGTTCCCAAATCCCTCATATCCCACCAGGAATTTCAGCTCTGCTCTTGTAGCCCTAAGGGAAATGAGTCAGTGGGAGGAGCTGAGGAAAACAAAGAGAGGAAGGAAGGAGGCAGTTCCGGGTTTCCCACAGGAGTTCTGAGGTAACTTTATGAGAGTCACTTCTCCTCTTGGAACCTCAGCTTCCTCATTTGCCAATCAGGGTGTGGGTCCCTATCCTAAACCACACTGGGGCCACCATGAGGATCCAATAAGATCAGGAATAGAAAAGAGCTTAGAAAAATCAGGGACCTGGGTCAGATAGCAGAGGGTGGTACAGGGGCTATTGCTGTATAAAGTGGTCTGAGATCTTCCTTCCTTCCCTTCTCATTCATTCATTCATTCATTCATGCCTTCTCTCTTGGCCAAGCCCTGAACCAGGCAGTAGAGATGGAGAGATGAGTCAGCCAGGGTATTACCCTCAGGAGTACCCGTGGTGGTAGTGATGTGGGATGGGGAAGGGAGAAATGGAATCAACTCAGTCTGCGGAACACAAGGAAGGCTTCATGGAGGAAGTGACCTGGGGCTGGGATTTGAAGAAGTAATAAGAGTTTGCCCTGATGCACAAGATGGGGAAGGGCATAGCAGACTTACAAAGCAAAGGCATAGACATGAAAAAGCACCTCCCCCTCTCAGTGCATGACAGATTCCAGGAAGAGCTTTCTAAAGATACGTGCAAAGAGGGAGAAAGACTTCTAGGAAAGGAAGGGCGTGTGAAGGGGCCAGCTTTGTTTGGAATGCTCTGGCGAGTCAGCATTATGTGGTGAATGGAGGGGCTGGAATACAAGGCCTTTTGGGTTTTCTTAGGTCTAAGCTCTGAGTTAACCCTGATTAGAAAGAAAATATAAGGTTTCTATGCCTCTGCACCCAAGAAGCAGTGCCACATCTGAGGACTAAAGAAAAATCTCGAGCTAGGCACAGTGGCACACACCTGTAATCCCAGGACTTTGGCAAGCTGCAGTGGGAGCATTGCTTGAGCCCAGGAGTTCGAGACTAGCCTAGGCAACATAAGGAGACTCTGTCTCTAACAAAAAGAAAAAAAAATTCGCCTGGTGTGGTGGCACATGCCTGTAGTCCCAGCTACTTAGGAGGCTAAGGTGTAAGGATTGCTTGAGCCTGAGAGGTTGAGGCTGCGGTGAACCATGATGGCACCACTGCACTCCAGCCTGGGTGACAGAACGAGGCCCTGTCACAAAAAAAAAAAAAAAAAAAAGGAAACGAAAAGAAAAGAAAAATATTGAGCCAGGGTCACGCTATTACCAAACTCACAGGTGAGGTTTGCATGCTCTGGCAGGCAACCTCAAACACCCACAGCCTCTCTTGCCAGGGGCCTGAGGGCATTTGTCTTCCCATAATTAAGTCTTGGCATCCCATTCTGAGTTTTTCCAGGGAGGACCTGGGCCCCAGGCCTTCCGCCTGAGTAAAAACCTGTTAAAGCATGTGTGGGCTGGGTGTGGGCTATGTGGAAGGGCCAAGATGAAATGGCCAGCGCCTGCACTCCCAGCAGAAGAGGCAGCCCAGTCAGCATCCTGACCTCTGAGGACTCCCAACTAGCACCCAGTGATACACAGGACTTTTCTCCTTCTGATGCCTATAATCAATTTCTCCCTAATTCCCCTGAGATCTGCCCCCTGAAAACACAGGTCCAGTCATCCCCATTAAGCACTGGTCTCCTCCCCTGCCAAGACTGGGAGCTTTTGGCTTCTTTCTCTGCCCTCAAGGACAGTAGCTGAGTAAACTGAATATTATCCTGGTTCAAGCTGACTCAGAATGGAGAGGAAGAGGAATTTGTAGGGTAATCTCTAGGAGTCCAGGCCTTTGTGATGGTCTAGAGACAGTGGCTGAGGTCTGAGCTGGGCCGAGGACCTGGATAGGAAGAGAGACCACAAGACTCTGTGACTGACTGAATATGGGAGTGAGAGGGAGGGGTGCAGACCAAAAGTAAAATTCTAAGCCCCCCAACTGACTGAATGGACCCCCATCTTGGCCAAGGGGATCCCCCAAAAACCTGAAAAACTAGTACAGGCCATGACAGGAAGAGGAAGTCCAACATGTCTCCTTATAACCACTTCCTTTGGAGTTTAGGCACAGCTGACCAATGTCTATATTAAAACAGAGATCATAAGACTGACAAAACAGACTATTTGTAGCAATAAGATACCAAATTCCAACCTAGCTCTAGTATAGCATCACATGACGGATAGCAGGCCCTGAAAGAAATCTAAGTATTTTAGCCCAAAATATATCTCTTTGACATATCCTGAAATGACCCTGCAAAGCTGGTCTTTTGCTGGGGAAGTGTGCATTCTGTAGATAATCTCCTTCCCTTAAGTGGGTCTTTTCCAGGGAGTCTAATACCCTTTAAGTTTCCATAAGAGACATTTACCATCTACTGCTTACTTAGAGGCTTTGTCTATATAACAAGAACATAGCAAGAACCTTGGCTTCCAGTCCCCTTATCTCAATGCACATCTCTCTTTCTGCTGACTCAATTCTTTAGGAAAAGATCAACTCTTTCAACCAATTGCCAATCAGGAAATCTTTAAATCCACCTATGACCTGTAACCCCCCAGCTTAGAGATGTCCTACCTTTCTGGGCTGAATCAATGTATACCTTGAAAGTATCAATTTATGTCTTTTTTTTATTATTATACTTTAAGTTTTAGGGTACATGTGCACAATATGCAGGTTAGTTACATATGTATACGTGTGCCATGCTGGTGTGCTGCACCCATTAACTCGTCATTTAGCATTAGATATATCTCCTAATGCTATCCCTCCCCACTCCCCCAACCCCACAACAGTCCCCAGAGTGTGATGTTCCCCTTCCTGTGTCCATGTGATCTCATTGTTCTATTCCCACCTATGAGTGAGAACGTGTGGTGTTTGGTTTTTTGTCCTTGCGATAGTTTGCTGAGAGTGATGGTTTCCAATTTCATCCATGTCCCTACAAAGGACATGAACTCATCCTTTTTTATGGCTGCATAGTATTCCATGGTGTATATGTGCCACATTTTCTTAATCCAGTCTATCCTTGTTGGACATTTGGGTTGGTTCCAAGTCTTTGCTATTGTGAATAGTGCCACAATAAACATATGTGTGCATGTGTCTTTACAGCAGCATGATTTATAGTCCTTTGGGTATATACCCAGTAATGGGATGGCTGGGTCAAATGGTATTTCTAGTTCTAGATCCCTGAGGAATCGCCACACTGACTTCCACAATGGTTGAACTAGTTTACAGTCCCACCAACAGTGTAAAAGTGTTCCTATTTCTCCACATCCTCTCCAGCACCTGTTGTTTCCTGACTTTTTTATGATTGCCATTCTAACTGGTGTGAGATGGTATCTCATTGTGGTTTTGATTTACATTTCTCTGATGGCTAGTGATGGTGAGCATTTTTTCATGTGTTTTTTGGCTACATAAATGTCTTCTTTTGAGAAGTGTCTGTTCATGTCCTTTGCCCACTTTTTGATGGGGTTGTTTTTTTCTTGTAAATTTGTTTGAGTTCATTGTAGATTCTGGATATTAGCCCTTTGTCAGATGAGTAGATTGCAAAAATTTTCTCCCATTCTGTAGGTTGCCTGTTCACTCTGATGGTAGTTTCTTTTGCTGTGCAGAAGCTCTTTAATTTAATTAGATCCCATTTGTCGATTTTGGCTTTTGTTGCCATTGCTTTTGGTGTTTTAGACATGAAGTCCTTGCCCATGCCTATGTCCTGAATGGTAATGCCTAGGTTTTCTTCTAGGGTTTTTATGGTTTTAGGTCTAACGTTTAAGTCTTTAATCCATCTTGAATTAATTTTTGTGTAAGGTGTAAGGAAGGGATCCAGTTTCAGCTTTGTACATATGGCTAGCCAGTTTTCCCAGCACCATTTATTAAATAGGGAATCCGTTCCCCATTGCTTGTTTTTCTCGGGTTTATCAAAGATCAGATAGCTGTAGATATGTGGCATTATTTCTGAGGGCTCTGTTCTGTTCCATTGATCTATATCTCTGTTTTGGTACCAGTACCAGGCTGTTTTGGTTACTGTAGCCTTGTAGTATAGTTTGAAGTCAGGTAGCATGATGCCTCCAGCTTTGTTCTTTTGGCTTAGGATTGACTTAGTGATGCGGGCTCTTTTTTGGTTCCATATGAACTTTAAAGTAATTTTTTCCAATTCTGTGAAGAAAGTCGTTGGTAGCTTGATGGGGATGGCATTGAATCTATAAATTACCTTGGGCAGTATGGCCATTTTCATGATATTGATTCTTCCTCTCCATGAGCTTGGAATGTTCTTCCATTTGTTTGTGTCCTCTTTTATTTCATTGAGCAGTGGTTTGTAGTTCTCCTTGAAGAGGTCCTTCATATCCCTTGTAAGTTGGATTCCTAGGTATTTTATTATCTTTGAAGCAATTATGAATGGGAGTTCACTCATGATTTGGCTCTCTGTTTGTCTGTTATTGGTGTATAAGAATGCTTGTGATTTTTGCACATTGATTTTGTATCCTGAGACTTAGCTGAAGTTGCTTATCAGCTTAAGGAGATTTTGGGCTGAGACGATGGGGTTTTCTAGATATACAATCTGCAAACAGGGACAATTTGACTTCCTTGTTTCCTAATTGAATACCCTTTATTTCTTTCTCTTGCCTGATTGCCCTGGCCAGAACTTCCAACACTATGTTGAATAGGAGTGGTGAGAGAGGACATCCCTGTCTTGTGCCAGTTTTCAAAGGGAATGCTTCCAGTTTTTGCCCATTCAGTATGATATTGGCTGTGGGTTTGTCACAAATAGCTCTTATTATTTTGAGATATGTCCCATCAATACCTAATTTATTGAGAGTTTTTAGCATGAAGGGCTGTTGAATTTTGTCAAAGGCCTTTTCTGCATCTATTGAGATAGTCAGGTGGTTTTTGTCTTTGGTTCTGTTTATATGCTGGATTACGTTTATTGATTTGCGTATGTTGAACCAGCCTTGCATCCCAGGGATGAAGCCCACTTGATTATGGTGGATAAGCTTTTTGATGTGCTGCTGGATTCGGTTTGCCAGTATTTTATTCAGGATTTTTGCATCGATGTTCATCAGGGATATTGGTCTAAAATTCTCTTTTTTTGTTGTGTCTCTGCAAGGCTTTGATATCAGGATGATGCTGGCCTCATAAAATGAGTTAGGGAGGATTCCCTCTTTTTCTATTGATTGGAATAGTTTCAGAAGGAATGGTACCAGCTCCTCCTTGTACCTCTGGTAGAATTTGGCTGTGAATCCGTCTGGTCCTGGACTTTTTTTGGTTGGTAAGCTATTAATTATTGCCTCAATTTCAGAGCCTGTTATTGGTCTATTCAGAGATTCAACTTCTTCCTGGTTTAGTCTTGGGAGGGTGTCTGTGTCCCGGTACCTCAGTTGGAAATGCAGAAATCACCCGTCTTCTGTGTAGCTCACGCTGGAAGTTGTAAACTGGAGCTGTTCCTATTCCGCCATCTTGGAACCGCCCCCTAAATGTATTTCATTTTTGTGCAGACAGGGTCTCACTATGTTGCCGAGGCTGGTCTCCAACTCCTGGGCTCAAGTGATCCTCCCGCCTTGGCCTCCAAAAGTGCTGGGATTACAGGTATGAGCCATCGCACCCAGCTGACAATTCATTCTAGATGTTGGGTATTCACTATAAGAAAATTAACCATTTTGAATGATTGTCCTTCTGCATCAGAAGCAAGTAACTGAGTGTCCAAAGGTGTGTGGCAATGAGTTCCGCGGTCTCTAAGGGGTTCTGTTGGTAGGACTGGGCACCTCTGCCCCCATTCTCTAGCTGCTATTATCCCCTCACTACCACTTCCATCAAGTGCAGGTGGACAGGAGAGACAAGAAGCAGATAAGGTGTAATTTGACTGCTGCAGGAAGAGCTTGGCAATGGGGCCCTCTTCAAGATCGCTATGTGGTTATTGGCATTTGTCTTGCATGAAGGTCCCTGGGCCCCCACAGCCCTTCCCTGTCACTGGAGTTCTCCCACCTATGGTCCCTTGACTTGGCTTTGGCTTCTCTGGCTGGGTGCTCTGCCTCTTCCCTCAGTCCAGCTCTCATCTGTCCCTTCTGAGGGGTCATCTTCCCTTCTAGGAGTCCTCTTGAACTGTGTTGTGACCATTTTAATTCTGCTCCTTGCCATGGGGATCCATCTGGGCCATGGAAATCCCCAGGCATCCTTGCCCAGCCAGACACTAGGACATTCCCAAAGTACCCCATCTCGTGACCAGTCCTTATACCCGCTAAATGTCAAGGAACACAGGCTACTTTCTCTGGATGGTTCACTGGGAGCCCACCTCAGTTGGCCTGAGTAAAAAAGAAGCTCCCCTTCTCCCCTCCTCATGTGGGGGTCAGGACAAGGCACGGGCAGGCAGAGCAGTGAACAATACTGTCCACTTCCCCACGAAAAGCCTCACCACTCCCTTCTTAATCCACCCAATCCTCAGCCTTCTTTTTTTTTAGAGCGAGTCTCACTCTATAGCCCAGGCTGGAGTACAGTGGCGCCATCTTGGCTTGCTGCAAGCTCCACCTCCCAGGCTCAAGTGATTCTCGTGCCTCAGCCTCCCAAGTAGCTGGGATTACAGGCATGTTGGCCAGGTTGGTCTCGAACTCCTGACCTCAGGTGATCCACTGCCTTAGCCTCCCGAAGTGCTGGGATTACAGCCCAGCCCAAATTCTCAGACTTCTCCCTTTCCAGTGGGGCTCTAGTCTCCGAGGTTAACCTGTGGAGGTTGTCTTGCTTTTGGTCTCTGGTGCCAATGCGGACACTCTGAGCCAAACATAAAATTGTCTCAGCCCTGGACTACCCCTTAGATTCACATGGAGTCGGTCTGATGTGGCTTCAGACCCTGGCCCTTTGCTTAACAAGTCTCATGTCCTTCGGCAAGCTGCTGAACTTCTCTTGGGCTCAGATTCCTCACCTCCAAGTTGGGTTTCAAAATCCTGTTTCACGGAGTCCGGGAGAAGTTTGGAGAGAGAATATTGCAGAGCGTTTGGCATGGTGCCTGGCTTATATAAATGCTCACCAAATAGGAATCATTACTCATATGGTCCTGCTGAGATGTCAGCTTGCTGCTCTTGGCCAGGGAGATATTCAGGTTTTCAAGGGCTTTTCTGCAGTGGGATAACCTCATCCATTATGCTAGGAGTTGCTATTTGGCTCCCTGAGGTGTGGTGGGGAAAGACCACAGGTGTTATCTTCATTCAGGGCCAGGTTTCCATCCTGCCCTGTTGCTTCTCTCTGAGATCCGCGTTCCTCTCCTGAAACGAGAGGATAACATCAAACTGCCTCAGAAATAAGCACTCCTTGGCCTCATCAGGCTGTTGTGAGAAGGAAATTAGGGGACATATGGCATATGTCTGGCACAGCGCTTGCAGCCTGGGGGCCCTCAGCAGTTGTTAATCCCTTCCCCTTGTCCCATGAGACGGAGTGCTGGGAATGGCATCTGCCTTCTACATGTCTTAATCCACAAAACTGTTGTAACACTTGAAGGAATGAGTGTGCAGGTATGTGTGCTGTAAAGGGTGATGCACTGTGAAGGGAAAGTGGGCTCTGGTCATTGGCAGGAAAAAAGGAGAGGCCAGAGGTTCTGTGAAAACTTCCTGAAGAAGTAGCCCATCCCCAAGGAAGATTCCTAAGTCTGATCTCCCAAAATGTGTGTTTCTTTTGTGGGAATAGCTCCCACCCGATTGGTAAAGAGAGCCACGGTGTCCATATTATATGAAAGTCATGTTGGTTCACATGCAATATTTTCCAGCAAGTTCATGTTTTGAAGCAATCAGAAGCAAAATTTCTCTTAATAAAGGAGGAAGTATGAAGGCCTTATAAAAACATTGAAAATCCTGCAAAAGCACCTTTCACTGGTGGAAGTAGCTGCTGATTTAGTGTCTTTAAGAACCCAGTATCAGCTGGGCATGGTGGCTCACACCTGTAATCTCAGAACTTTGGGAGACCGAAGCGGGAGGATCGCTTGAGCCCTGGAGTTTGTGACCAGCCTGGGCAACATAGTGAGACCCCGTCTCTACAAAAAGTTTTTTTTAATTAAAAAAAAAAAAAAGAACACACTACCCTTTCCACTATGTTAGGCCCTTTGGGGAAGCAAAGAGTGCAGATGAAGAAGCTGTGGAGAGACTTCCTCTTGTATTTAAGAAAAAAAAAGTTTAGTTTTTTAAGAAATCTAAACCTTAGATCATATTTTTCACTTTGATGAATCCAATTTCCATTACAAATGTATGCCATAAAGGTCCCACATCTGGGAGAAAGTACAAAAACCAAAGGTTTAAAGCTGCCAGGATGAAGTGACTATGATGCTGGGTGCAAATGCTGGTGATTTAACCCTGAGGCTGTTTTACTAGGATTGGTGCTGTTTTTGTTAGAACTGTGCTTACAAAGACCATATGTTTTAAATGATCTGCTCCAAACTTTGTTGTTGTTGTTGTTGTTAAGCCCTATAATTTTTACATCATAGTATTTTGCAAAAGGATTTTGTTTTGCTTTGTTTTGTTTTGTTTTCAGGATGATATATATGGTGTTGAGACAAAAATGCATCCATCAGGAGCCCCTGGGCAAATCTGAATTTCCCAAATTTCTAAGATGCAAGACTAAAGTACTTTGGGGCTAGTTCATTTCTCCTCAACCACAAGTTTTCCATTGAAAGCCATGTTACCAGGAGAAGAAAATATACTCTTTACATAGAAAGTATGAAATTAACATGTCCCCTCCTCCAGAAAGTGCTCCCTGCAGGTTTCCACCAGACTGGGTTGGAGGATCCTTCTGCTTTCTGCATTTGTGTCTGTCTTGGCTCAGACCACTTTATATCATGTGGTCATTGCCCCATGTCCATGTCTGTTCCTACTCCCTTGGTATGGCTTGATATTTTGTCCCTTCCAAATCTCATGTTGAAACAAGACCTGCAATGTTCAAGGTGGTCCCAGTGGGAGATGTTTTGCTCATGGAGGTGGATCCCTCATGAATGGCTTGGTGCCATCCCCACAGTAATAAGTTCACATGAGATCTGGCTGCTAAAAAGAGTCTGGTGCCTTCCTCCTCTCTCTCTTTTTAATTTTTTTGAAACAGGGTGTCCCTCTGTTACCCAGATGACAGTGCAGTAGCATGAACATGGCTCACTGCAGCCTCGACCTCCCAGGCTTACCTCCTGAGTAACTGGAACCATTGGCACATGCCACCACACTCGGCTAATTTTTTTCTTTCTTTCTTTCTTTTTTGGGGTGGGTAGAGACGGAGTCTCACTGTGTTTCCCACGCTGGTCTTGAATGCTTAGGCTCAAGCAATCCACCTGCTTTGGCCTCCCAAAGTGCTAGGATTACAGGCATGAGCCACTGTGCCCAGCCCTCCTCTCTGTCTTGTCCCTCTCTTGCCATGGGGCACACAGGCTCCCCTTTGCCTTCTGCCATGATTGTAAGCTTCCTGAGGTCTCACCAGGAGCAAATGCTGCCATGCTTCCTGTACATCCCCCAGAACCATAGGCCAAATAAACCTCTTTTCTTTATAAATTACCCAGTCTCAGGTATTTCTTTATAGGAACACAAATGGACTAACACATCCTTGTCAACCTAAGGAAAGAGGCTAAGGCAAAATTTATGTAGAGAGTTTATTCAGGCCAAGGCTCAGGATAGTTGCCCAGGACACACTTCCAAGTTGCCTTGGGGAGTTCTCTGTTCCACCTTTGTTATAAGCAGGCTTTAAAGGCACAAGGGTACAAGAAACGGGCTGATACAAAGTTGCTTGACAAGGGCTAGTGCGGCTCATGCCTGTAATCCCAGCACTTTGGGAGGCCAGGCGGGCAGATCACTTGAGGTCAGAAGTTTGAGACCAGTCTGACCGACATGGCAAAACTCTGTCTCTACTAAAAATGCAAAATTAGCCGGGCAGGCATGGTAGTGTGCACTGGTAATCAAGCTACTCGGGAGGCTGAGGCAGGAGAATCACTAGATCCTGGGAGGCAAAGGTTGTAGTGAGCTGAGATCTCCAGCCTGGGTGACAGAACAAGACTCTTACTCAAAAAACAACAAAACAAAACAGAACAAAAAACAGCAAAATAAAGTTGCTTGACAGGGATTCTCACTGGTTTATAGAAATAACATTGATTAGTGATTGGCTATAACTGTTGAACTATAGGGTATGAGTTATGGTGTCCAGTGTATGGCATTTTATGGCTACTTGGCATCAGTGAGTCTAGAGCCCATGTAGCAAGTGGCTTCGAGAGCTAAGTATTTAGCTCAAGGGGGTGGTGAAATGTAACTGCTGTCATATGGTGCCACATTTCAGTGCCTCATTGGGCCTGATAATTAAAGGGGGCTCACATCCCTCTGATAAAAAGTTTGTTTGTTTTCTTTTTCCCCTCAGCCTAGGTTCACTGGTCTTTAGGAGTCCAGGGCCCAGCACAAGGCCAGGCACTGTGGTGGCTTCAGGAAGCCTTGTGGATTGAACAGAATGATCCCTCAGCAGGCTGGAGGCTGGTGGCTATAATGGTGTGCTTGCCTGCACTTCCAGCCCGTGAGAATTTATTTCAGAGACAGTTTACCATTGTAGGCCAGTTAGTAAGCCTGTGTATAAACACTTGTTATAAAGCTTGTGAAATATTTCAGCTTTGTTTACTAGCTCTGGCACAGGCTTCCTTACAGCCTAAAAATCCCCCTGAGCCTTGGGAGCTGTGTGGACGTATGTGAAACCTAGGACAGGACTCAGAATGCTGCATGTGAACAATGGAAAAAACCAAAGCAGCCGCATTCAGGGGGCATCAAAAAGCACTGGGCTACTTAAGTTCTGCTCTAAGCTGCACTCTGCCATTCACACGCTGTGTAGCCTAGAGAGTCATTTTGCCACTCTGGGCTATAACTTCCTCATCTACAGAATAAGGCCTGTTACGGACAAATGTCTGTGTCCCCCAAAATTAATATGTTGAAATTCTTTTTTTAATATATTTTTAAGATAAAACATTTTTACTTAAAAATTTATGTAGAGATGAGGTCTTGCCATATTGCCCACCCATATGTTGAATCTCTAACCTCCAAGGTGATAGCATTAGAAGATGGGAACTTTGGGAGGTGATTAGGCCATGAGAGTGGAGCGCCCCCCATGAATGGGGGATTAGTGCCCTTATGAAAGGGATGCCAGAGAGCTTTCTTGCCTTGTTTCCTCCATGTGAGGATGCAAGGAGGAGAAGGCAGTTTGTAATCCAGAATGGGGCCCTCACCAGATCCTGACCATCCTAGCAGCCTGATCGTGGACTTCCAACCTAAAAATTAGTGAGAAATAAATTTCTATGGCTTATAAGCCACCAGTCTATGGTATTTTTTCTAAAAAAAAAAAAAAAAAAAAAAAAAATAGCAGCCAGAACTAAAACAAGGGCCTTGGAGTAGATTTCACCATTTCTTCAACAAACGTATTTGTCTTCAGGTCCTTGTGACACACTGGCTCCCCTTGGCAGGGAAATGATGAAAGACAGAGCGGTCCTTGGGAGGTCACAGCCTGGAAAATGAAATAGGCTCACACCCACATAGTCCCTTGATGGAGAGAAGAGGAATTAACATTTAATAAGCACCAAGTGCATACCAGGCAATTTATACTCAGTATCTAATTAAATACCTCATGTAAGGTAGACATTATTATCTCCATTTTATAGCTGTAAAAACTGAGGCTTAAGAGGCTAAGTGACCTATTCGCACTCATGAAGCTAGCAAATAGCAGAGATGGCATTTAAGTCCAGGTTCGTCTGGTTCTAAAGACTGAAATGGTTCCTACCCAACCCGAACAGTTTGTAACTCCATGATTTAAAAAAAAATTAAAAAGATTAAGTCAGGAGAACACATGACCATTTCCTTCCTTAGATCTGAGCTTTTAATAATTTAAATTTTATTTATTTATTTAAAGACAGGGTCTTCCTCTGTTGCCCAGGCTGTAGTGCAGTGGCACAATCATGGCCCACAGAAGCCTTGACCTCCAGGGCCCAAGCGATCCTCCTACCTCAGCTTCCCCAGTAGCTGGGACCACAGGCGAATGCCACCACACCTGGCTAATCTTTTAACTTTATGTAGAGACAGTAAAGATATAAACAACTAAATATGATGATTTCAGTTTATTATAAGTTCTAGGAGAAATATAAGCTAGAAGTACTGTGGTGTGATTGAGGGGTCTATGTAAGTTAAGGTAGTCAGAAATGGCCTCCATGAGGAGGTGAAATTTGAGCAGAGATGAAAAGATTGAGAAGGACCTTGCCATGCAATGATGTAGGAAAAGTGCTTCCCAGGCTTCAGGAACAGCAGGTGCAAAGATCCTGAGGCAGGAATAAGCTTGACTATTTCAGGGACAGAAAGGAGACAGTGTGGCTAGAGCAGATTAAAGACATGGAAAGCGGCAGATAAGAGGGAGGTGGGATCACACGGGGGCATGGCATGGAATTTAGAGAGCAACAGAGAGTCACCGATGGGATGTAAGCAGGTGGCAATATCTACATATGCAGTGAGGGAGTGAATGCAAGAAAGACCTAGATGGCTCCCACAGAGACACCTGGTATAGGAGGCAAAACGCCATCTTTGGAGGGTTCCTGTAATTAGTCAGTATGACCTTGGACTAATCACTTTACCCTCCAGAGACTGTGGCTTTAAGATTAAATGAGATAATGCATGTCAAGCTGCTGGCATAGTACCCAGACCTAATCCTCAGGCAACAAATGTTACTTCCTTTTTCCCTTCTCCCCACTGGCCTGTGAGCTTGCCAAGCACAGGATCTTTGTTAATGGTGCCTGAATCTGCCCACACCCTCAGCACCAGGCACAGAGCCCAGTGAACAAACAATAAACATATGCGGACTCTTGAGGTTGCCTTTGCAATATTTCACATATCTGTTCCTTCAGTTTCATCCTTTCTGCCAGAAACCTCCCTCAGAGCATCATCTTCTCTCATGGAAGCTATGCCAACGGCCACCTACTGGTAGTCCCCTTCAGGGAAGGGCTTGTTCCCTTCCAGCTGTCCTGAGCATGGTATGAGATTTGTCTTTGTAAAACACAGCTCAGACCATGCCTCTGTCCTGCTCGGAAGGCTTTGTGACCCCTGCGACTGGCCCTCTTCACCGCTGCTCTTTAGGCTGGTGTTTGAGGCTCACTACAGTCCACCCCTGGCTGTCCTTGCTATGTTCTCTCTCTCTGTCCCCCTCTAACCCTCTGCCCCACACCCCCCAAGCCACAGTTCCTTAGGCTTTGACATCATTGTGCCTCTGCTCACAATGTTCCCCTGCCTGGAGCAGCCTCCCGTGAGTATCACACACCCCATATTCCAAGGTCCTTCCTGCACCTAAATTTTCACAGCACTTCACATTCCTGCTCCCTGTGCACTTGCTGCTTTGAACCTTGTGTTTACCTGCGCGCATGACGGAGCGGGCACTCAGTAAACGTGATAACGAATGCATGTCCTCACTGTAAGGGCAGGGACATGTCTACATGTCTCCTCCATCTCTGAACCTCTCATCTCTCTCACATACCTATGTTTTCTTGAACACAGCAGGAACATAACACATATTTGAGAGACGCATCAGTCACCTCGTCTTGTCTGTTCTAATTTGTAAAGGTGTTTTGAATGAGTCTCCTATTTCCCTTAAGCCAGGCCACATCAACTTTCACTTGGACTGTGACAACAGCCTCTTAACAGTCTCCCCTCTTTCCATCTAAGCCCCACACAGATGACCAGAGCCATTTTTCTAAAATGAAAATCGGGTCATGTCTTTCCTCTGCTGACAACCTGTCATGAGTTCCCCAGTGCCACAAGAAAAAGCCTCAGCCTCCCTCTACAGCCTGATATCTTTTGTTTCCCC
Organism: Homo sapiens; assembly: GCF_000001405.40. Taxonomy (NCBI): domain Eukaryota; kingdom Metazoa; phylum Chordata; class Mammalia; order Primates; family Hominidae; genus Homo; species Homo sapiens. The sequence goes on from NC_000011.10 coordinate 76,837,598, forward strand.
TCTTCCCCATCTCCCCCGAGGCACCTCCTTGCATTCCTCCTGAACTACCTATAATGCCACAGTAGCCCTACACTGTTTCAGACCTCTCTGTCTAGGAAACTACTGCTTCCTTTTCTTCAAATGAAACCCCCTCCTCCACTCCCTGCTCCCATCATCTGACAAGCAGGTGTCCATGCCTCCCAACCCAGTTCTGATGAAAACTTGCTCTGTGAAGGAGGAGATGGCTGACCCAGGAAGAGAAACCCGCACTAACCACACATTCACCCGATAAATGTTATTGGGCATTCTCTATGCTCCAGACACTCCCTTTAGGCAGTGCTTGTATGGTCAGGTTGCTATGGTTGCAGCCATCCCCCATATGGATATGAATGGGGTTCAAACCTGCCTCATTTCCAAGTCTGGGAGCCCTGAGGTCAGGGGCTACCATGACTCTCATCACTGAGTCCTCACACAGTGCCAGCCTGTGGGAGAACTGAAAATGAACCCCATTGTATACAGGGGAGAGGGAGGGAGGAGGTCAAGTGAGAACCAGAGTGGGACAGCTGCCAAGGTCCCACCCAGGCTGACAGGATCTCTCACATCTTATCTTACAGCCCAGGATCCTATTGATCACTAGCAAAAAGATAATTCAGCTTCTGCTGTTCTGAGGCTCCTGTGCCCTGGCTTCCATTCTCAGTGGCAAAATCCTCGGGAAATTCCCTACAACCCCCAAATTGTTGGATCAATGAACAGGTTATACAGGCTGCTGACAGCCCAGCACAGTGCAAAATGCATCTTTGTTACCATCAGGGTGGCAGGAAATAAGTTCTGGCCCTGGCTTCAAATGTGCAAACTCAATGTGTCTGTTCTTCTCTTTAAAAAAGCTTTGCCGGTGGCTGCTTTGTGCTTGGCACTGGGGACAAAGGGATAAACTAGACCGGAATCCTGCCCTGGAGAAGCGCCCCGTCTGGGGAAGCAGGCCAGTGTGTTCAAAGACACTGCCCTGAATGAGAAAGTCACTGCATGGCTAAGTCCCAAAGAGCAAGTCTCCAAATTTCCTTTTTTTAACTATTTAAAAGAAGTAAATGGAGATTTTCACTGGATGGGATAGCTTGAACAACTTTTTAAGATTTCTAGCTGCCTTTAGCTGACTGGTCTTTACTTTATCTTCAGGATAGTATTTTGAGGAATGCTCACTGGGCTCAGTTTGTGCTTGGTTCCCAGCTGCTGCAACTAGAGGGACCTGGAGTAGACAGAAGGGACCCTCTGCTAGGAGCGGGGAGTCAGTACCAGCAGACAATGGCTCCATCCAGCGGGCAGAGGGAGACTGGAGGTACAAGGGGACACACTGGGGTCAGAAGGGAGAAGACTGAGGGACAGAGAGAGAGGGGAGTTTGCTGGGGAGTGGCAGAGAGCAGGAAAGCCTTAGGGACAGAGGGGGAAATGCAGGGGCCGGAAAAGAATATGTCTAGAAGAATCCTTAATATTCCAGAACGTATTATTCTAATGTAGATATATTCTTGAAGAATACATTCTTACTCCTGAATAAGACTATATCAGTGATGTTTCCTTTTCTTAAACATATTCATGAATAACATGTTCATAAATACATTCTGGAATGTTTATATTCTAATGACTTCATTCTTCTCACATCCTTTGGTCTCGTCTTCTCTCTGCCCCTCACTCTTTCCTCCCTGCTGCTCACTCTCCCCCCTCCCACTCTCAGCCTCCCCTTCCCTTTGACCCTCAGTCTCCTCATTTTGCAGTCAGGCAGTGGCTGGGAATGGAGTGTCCTAAAGGCTTCCTCATTTGCATTTCTCATGCCTGCACTAAGACTCTAGTAGCCAGGGTTCCTCAAGCTTCTTCCTCTAGTTCTGTGTTCCTTCCCCTTGGTGTCTCCAGCATGCTAGCCCCGGGCTCCAAAGGTGTGTGTCCTAAGAATATATTGCCTTTGGTGACTTAGCCTCATTAGTCATAGAGTGTCACTTCCACAGGATCTCCCAGATCAAAGGGCAGTGAACACAGACTCCACTTCTCAAAGGAGGAGGATCAGTTTCACACTGGGACTGGCATAGGCTGGTGCAGCCATCTTTGGAAAATACCATCTTCCTCAAGTGAATATTTAAAACCAGGTATCTGCTGTTTGCTGAATATGAATCTAAAATAAAATAATACAAAAAAAAGGTGAAAGTAAGAGTAAAGAAAGAGTTATACCTGGCAAGTATCAAGCAAAAGAATGCTGGTATAGTAATTATTTTAATATTAGACAAAAGAGGTTTTAAGGATAGAGCATTACCAGGATTAAAGAGGGTCCCTAGGTATGATAAAATGTTCAAGTCAACGGAAGGATAAAACGATTCTGAATCAATACACACCCAATAGCATGTGTATATACTCACGTATATACATATACATGACAGAACACACACAGATACAGACCTGGTCGGTGCTTACTCATTCTTCCAGACTCAACACAGATCTCCAACAAACCTCCCCTCCTCTTCCAGGCGGAGTTACGATCCTTGCTCCAGGCATGTCCACTCTTTCTTCCTTCTAATAGCCCTGATCTTACTGAACACCAGACTCTAGGTCATTTTTTCTACAAGTAAATCACAGAAAGCCAGCTGGCCAAATGAAGAATTCCTCAAACCATCACTTTGCTGAATGGTTAATATCTTAGAAGCTAATTCACCAAAAGCCAAGTCATTCCAAGTTAATTCTCTAAATTTGCTTATGTCTTTTTCAACTATTATATAATTCACAGCAGTTGGTATTCGATGGGATAGGTTTTTCAAATTGTTGTAATAAAATTAAGTAGGTAAAAATACTTACAAAGTAGGTAAAAAGTATAAAGAATGATACAACAAAACGCATGCACCCAAAACCAGTTTTTTGAAGTGAACATTACTGTTACCTTTGGAACCTCCTCGGTGTTCCGCCCTGAGGAACACCCCACCCTATCACCTTCCTTCTCACCCCAGAGATAACCATTCTTCTGAATTTTCTGTGTTTTATTCCCTTGCTGTTCTTCATAGTTTTACCACATATTTTTATCCTCAAAGTGCTTTTTTTAGTTTTTCATGTTTCCTAACTTTAGGTTAAAGGAAGTGGAGAGTATGTATTTTTCTGTGACTCACTTTTTTCTTTTTTAAAAACATTATTTATATAAATTACTTTAATCGTGGCTCAAGTGATTCCAATGCCTCAGCCTCCCAAAGTGCTGGGATTACAGGAGTGAGCCTCACTTTTTTCATTCAACATTATGTTCCAGAGACTCATTCTTGTTGATGCCTAGACTTTTCATTCATTCATTTTCTTGTCTACATAGTATTGTGTTTTATGAATACATTACAATTTATCCATTGAGTGAAGGGACACTTAAATGGCTCCAGGGTTCCAGCATTGCACAGAGCATGGCTAGGAACATCCTTTTTTTTTTTTTTTTTTTTGAGACAGGGTCTTGCTCTGTTGCCCAGGCTGGAGTGCAGTGGCATGATCATGGCTCACTGTAGCCTATATCTCCTGGGCTCAAACAATCTTCCCACCACAGCCTCCTGAATAGCTGGGACCACAGGTGCATGCCGCCACGCATAGCTAATTTTTAAAAAATATTCTGTAGAGACGGGGATCTCCCTGTGTTGCCCAGGCTGGTCTCAAGTAATCCTCCCAGCTCAGCCTCCAAAGTGCTGAGATTATAGCCATGAGCCACTGTGCCCAGCCAGGAACATTCTTATATGTATGTCTTAGGGCACTCATGCTATGACATTGATTCAATTCATTCCTTACAACAACCATATGAAGTATGTATAATCAACCTCATTTTAGAGATGAAGTAATTGAAATTAAGAAAAATTAAATGACTAAAGACATGAGTCTAATAAGAGGGGCAAGACTTTGATACATTAAACCTCCCCATGTCATGAAGTTGTCTTTCAGAAGGGAAGCCTACCCATGGACCCATTCTCTAAGCAAACAGCTCCTCTCTGGGCAATTCCTGTCCCCCCTTTCCCCATCCCCTTTCTCACAGCATCCCACCAGTCTCTCCCTTCCAGCCTCATCCTTCCCTGTCCCCTTCCTCTCAATCCCTGAAACCCACCATGATTCCATTTCAAATTGACGCTGCCCATTCAGAGTTAGAACAAAGAGCCTTAATCTCCCACCCAATGTTTTCCACCTTCCCTATCACTCAGTCTTTTGTCCCCAAGCTCTGACCACTCACAAATAAAAGAGCCTTAATCTCCCACCCAATGTTTTCCACCTTCCCTATCACTCAGTCTCTTGTCCCCAAGCTCTGACCACCCACAGCTCTGCTCTACCTCTGTGATGATTCTGATAACTCTACCCAGCTTGCAGTGTATCCCTCCGCCAGGTGGAAGCTCTTTGAGCAAGGGTCTGTGCCTTTCATCTCCATTTCCCCTGCAGTTCCAGAGAACCTCTCTAGTGGTATTTAGCATGCTCTGTCTCACGTTAAAGGACCTGTTTCATTTTTCCAGATCTCTCCAGGGCCCTGCTCAGAGTCCTGCACAGACTGAGTTAACAAATATTTAATGAAAGGATCAATTCTTACCCAAACCACTTTTTGTGTGGTGCCTGGATTAATTTCAGTTAATGTTTACTAATCTGCTTTAAAGTACCAAATACAGGGCAAAGCCCTCCTGCGCCAGGTGCGTCAAACCACTCCCTCCATCTCATGTCTCCAGGCTCAAGCAGAGAGCCAACCCTGATCTGGTACCTTCCTGGGCACAGTCCTTTTCAGAGACATCCTAAAATTCTACCATTTCCTAACAACCACCATGGACATTTACATAGCTTTTATGAAGTTTAAGCAAGTGTAAGCACTTTCAGACATATCTGATCTGCCTAAGCTTCCAGTGCTACAGGTATCATGGTCCCCATTTTACAGTTAAGAAAAGCAAGACCTAGAGACAAGGGATTCCCCCTAGTCCACACAGAAAGAATTAAATTCAACTTTTCTTATTTCAGAGCCCTTGACTTTGTACTCCATTAAGCCACTGCTTCCATGAAGCCTTACTCAAGGCAATGGAGTTTGGCAGGCAACACATTGTAGTGGGGAAGGGTGCCAGCTTGGGGTAAATCAGCCTTTGAGTTTGAGTTCTAGCTCCATCACTCAGTAATTGTGTGACCTTCATCAAGTCACTAATTTCCCTGGTCCTGAGTGCTTCATCTGCAAATGGGGTAGTAATACCTACCTCAAAAATTATGAAGATTGAATGAAAAAAGAAGTGTGTAAATTGTCTCACATATAGTCAAGGCTCATTAAGTGTTAGCCCCTAATCTGGCCCCACTTTGCTTTCACCCGCCTCCAATCCCTGTGATGATAATCCAAGAGATCGAAACGCTGTGCTCTAAACCAAAGTATTAGCTCAGTCTGTGCATGCGGGGGATTGCCCCCACCTAAGTGAGAACGTGACCAAAAAGTGGGAATTTTTTTTCGTTTTTTTTTTTTTTTTTTTTTTTTTTTTTGAGACGGAGTATCCCACTGTCGCCCAGGCTGGAGTGCAGTGGCGTGATCTCGACTTACTGCAAGCTCTGCCTCGCCGGTTCACTCCATTCTCCTGCCTCAGCCTCCCGTGTAGCTGGGACTACAGGCGCCCGCCACCACGCCCGGCTAATTTTTTTGTATTTTTAGTAGAGACGGGGTTTCACCGTGTTAGCCAGGATGGTCTCGGTCTCCTGACCTCGTGATCCGCCCGCCTCAGCCTCCCAAAGTGCTGGGATTACAGGCGTGAGCCACCGCGCCCAGACAAAAGCGGGAATTATTTTAAAACAAAATTATGGGAGGCCATTGTGAGCTCATGCACTAGGCCCCAACAGACCAAACCAAACCAAAATGGAGTTGCTTGTGCTAAGACTTTAAGGAAACACATAGATCCTAGAACAGACCAGTTTTTTTTTCCTCTCTCTTGCAAATCTCTGTAACAAACATTCCTGACAGCATAGGTATCCACCCATTGAAGTTCCCATTAAATCTTTTAACCAAATTAATTTCCTGTCTCCTAGAGACCATCAAACCAGATGATCATGTGGCAAGTGTTCCAGCCAGTTCCAGATGAAGACACCACCCCCTGAAGAAGCTACCCTATTTCCACTAGACAGAGGAGGGCGAGAATTCCATGATTCCATGATTCCCAATATGTAAGGACTACACCTCAATCAGCATGAGGCAATTACAGAAGAAAGACCATTGGTCCCTCTGCCTCCCATAAAGATTTATGGGGATCACATCTCTCAGGGAAAAATGAGGCAGGAGAATAGGGTCTGGAGGCAGGGATCATAAGGCTGATTCACACTGACTTCCTAGAACTAAATCAAAAGGAAAACCCCAACTTTCCACACCTAAGTAACAAAAGGACTGGAGGCTACTCCCTTTGCAAACCACCCCCTGCCGCCCTTTTTCTACATGGTAGATGGAAAATTTAAAGTATCTCTAATTGGTTGCAGGTTGCAGAAAGCAACCAATCAGAGGCTTGCATAGGAGTGTAACTTTGTAACTTCAGCCTCTGATTGGTTGCTTTTCACAACCAATCAGACACTTGCATAAGTGTAACCTTTGTAACTTCAGCCTCTGACTGGTTGCTTTCCTAAACCAAACAGACTAATTGCGGGCCATACTTCACTTACATAGCGTGTACACCAAGTAGTAACCAATGGGAAACCTCTAGATGGTATTTAAATCCCAGAAAATTCTGTAATGGGGGTCTTGAGCTCCTATGCTCCGGCCGCTCCCACCCTGTGGAGTGTACTTTGATTTTCAATAAATCTCTGCTTTTGTTGCTTCATTCTTTCCTTGTTTTGTTTGTGTGTTTTCTTCAATTCTTTGTTCAAAACACCAAGAACCTGTACACCCTACACCAGTAACACATGCTATGGTCAATATCTACAATTTCTGTCTCCAAGTATGCAAGCACTACTTTGAACCGCATACACTAACAACTTGGTGTTCTGGGTCATTAGTTGCAAATCGACAGGTTCTGTTTTAGTCACAAAATCAAGTTTCATCACCGCGATGCTCTGGAGAGGAAAATGTGGGTTTGGGATATTGTAGATACTACCTATCAACCAGCTATGCGTTATTTGGAAATTCTTGGCCACGTTTGGCCCAAACTCTGCTGCCTGTTTTGCAATGTGTGGTTTGGCCTGGTACTACCATTCACTTCAATTCGTAAGCTTCGTGTAATAATATTCAGCACCTCCTTGGTTTCCAACATACTCAGGTTACCTACAATGATCCCAACTTGTGTTTGTGTCACCTGTTGGTGTGCATACACAAAACGTCGAGTTCTATTGGAACAAATTGTAAAGCAAAGTGCAAGATCATAAGAGTTTGTCTTTATATGTTAGACTCATATGTAGCCAAATTTATGTGGCACAATCAATTTGGAAATAATGCTTTCAATTCCCTTTTGCTGTATATATCAGAAGAACAATTTACAATTTCCTGTTAACTAGTATCATGTTTTGACTTAGGGTTTTAGCATGTTTTATTACAAACATCCAGAGACAAGTTTTTCAGTTGAGTCCCATTGGACAGACAAATTGTTCAGTTGACCCAGTTTTCTTATCTATAAAATGAGGATGGTGATATTTATCTTGGTAAGTGACTGGGATAATTAAATAAAGTAATGCATATAAAAATGCTTACTCCCGGGTGTGGTGGATCACGCCTGTAATCCCAGCCCTTGGGGAGGCCCAGGCAGGCAGATTGCCTGAGCCTAGGAGATTGACACCAGCCTGGGCAACATGGCAAAACTCCATATCTATAAAAAATACAAAAATTAGCCAGGTGTGGTGGTGTGTGCCTGTAGTCCCAGCTACTTGAGAGGCTGAGGTGGGAGGATCGCTTGAGCCTAGGAAAGGGAGGTTACAGTGAGCTGTGATCACACCACTGCATTTCAGCCTGGGCAACAGAGCCAGACTCTGTCTCAAAAAAAAAAAAAAAAAAAAACGCCGGGCGTGGTGGCTCACATCTGTAATCCTAGCACTTTGGGAGGCCAAGGTAGATGAATAACCAGAGGTCAGGAGTTCAAGACCAGCCTGGCCAACATGGTGAAAAGCCTTCTCTACTAAAAATACGAAAACTAGCCAGGTGTGGTCGTGGGTGCCTGTAGTCCCAGCTACTCGGGAGGCTGAGGTAGGAGAATCGCTTGAACCCAGGAGGCAGAGGTTGCAGTGAGCCAAGATTGCGTCATTGCACTCCAAATTGGGCAACAAGAGAGAAACTCCATCTAAAAAAAATATACATATATATATATGTATATATATATATATACATATATATATATATACACATATATATATATATATATATATATATATTTACTTAAATGCCTGGCTAGCAGGTGCAGTGGTGCACACCTGTAGCCTCAGTCAACTTGGGGCTGAGGAGAGAGGATTGCTTGAGCCCAGGAGTTCAGTTTCCATCTTGGCAACATAGAGAGGCTCTGTCTCTGAAAAAAAGTAAAATAAAAATTGTAAATTCCTGGCTGGAATTAAACAGGCACTTCATAAATAGTAGTAGTGGTGGTGGTGGTGGTGGTGGTGGTGGTGGTAGTAAATGGTCAATTTGTATTGAGTTTTTGCTATGTTCCAAGGCATTGCCCTAAGTGCCTTAAACTCAGTATCTCATTTACTTCTAATAGCACCGTTGTGAGATTGATGTAGGTATTAGCCTAGTTTTTCAGGTGAAGGAGCCAAGGCATATACAGTATAAGAAAATAACACAAATTTACAGAAATAATAAGAGGCATTGCTGGCTTCAAATCTGAGATCTGTCAGCGTGTTTGGACTTGATCCCATGGGCAATAGAGAATCACCAAAGATTGATTGATTGATTGATTGATTGCTTCACCTATCTGACATCAAAGTCTGTGTACCCTATAACTAGTAATCATTCTTTTAAGTGGATGACACCATTCTACCTCATTCACATATGCAGCAACAGGGCCTGAGAGGTGGGCAGGAACCGGGTCACAAAGAGCCTTATCCGTCATGTAAAGGAGTTTGAACTTTATCCTACAGGTAGTGGAAAGAGAAAGGATTTGGAGTTACACAGATGGCTCACTCTGCACCTTGCCCTGTGCTAGGCACTAGGGACACACTGAGAGCCAAGACACTTTCCTTGCCCTGAGGCTGCCTGGAGTCTGCCTCAGTTTCTCAAGATGTGGTTCCTGCCTCACAACGACCCAAGCTTGCAGATCCAGGGCCCCAGAGATTCTGATTCTTTTTTTTTTTTTTTTTTTTTTTGAGATGGAGTTTTTGCTCTTGTTGCCCAGGCTGGAGTGCAATGATGCAATCTCAGCTCACTGCAACCTCCACCTCCTGGGTTCAAGCGATTCTTCTGCCTCAGCCTCCTAAGTAGCTGGGATTACAGGTGCACACCACCACACTCAGCTAATTTTTTGTATTTAATAGAGACAGGTTTTCACCATGTTGATATCAGGCTGGTCTCGAACTCCTGACCTCAAGTTATCCACCCACCTCGGCCTCCCGAAGTGCTGGGATTACAGGTGTGAACCACTGTGCCTAGCCAAGATTCTGATTCTTTAGGTCTCAGCTGAAACATAACAAGCAGCGATTGTGATATTCTCTTAAGTTTGAGAGCCATGGATCTTGCTGGTGGGGAAGACAAGTAGACAGATGATTACAATACAGAGAGATGTTATGATCAAGAAGAATTTCTGGAGGAAGTCCGGTTTGAGCTGAGACTTGAATGATTAAACAACAGTTAGCCAAAGTGGCAGAAAGGGAAGGGGAGATTCAAGCTGAAGGGAATATGTTCACAAATGTCCAGGACTGAGAGAAGGGGTTCTTTTAGGGAAGAGAAAGTATTTTAGGAATGCAACAACAAGATTTGAGAGATGGACAGGAACTAGGTCACCAAGAGCCTTGCTGGTCATATCAGGGAGTCTGGACTTTATCCCATAGGCTGTGGAAAATCACTGAAAGTTATTTTGTTGTTTGGAAGAAGACATTGATAGAGCCCTCTGGCAGCCACAGTGTAAAGAATAAATAGGTTGTGGGATTGGAGCACGGCTAAGACTTTCTTCAGGGCTATCAGGGCACAGGCAATGATGACTTGGACAGAGATAATGGTAGTAAGGGAGAGAGGAAAATGGACAGAGAGAAGAATTCATAGGGTATGATCACTGGATAAAGCTGCATGGAGATAGGGAGGTGTCAAGACTTCTTTCTTTTTTTTTTGAGACAGGGACTTGCCTGTCGCCCACAGCTCACTGCAGCCTCAACCTCTTGGGCTCAAATGATCCTCCCACATCAGCCTCTTGAGTAGCTAGGACTACAGGCGCATGACACCACACCTGGCTAATTTTTGTATTTTTAGTAGAGACAGGGTTTCGCCATGTTGCCCAGGCTGGTCTTGAATTCCTGGGCTCAAGTGATCTGCTCTCCTCAGCCTCCCAGAGTGCTGGGGTTACAGGCATAAGCCACCGCACCCAGTCAAGGCTTCATTCTTTAACAAACTGGGTCAATGGTTGTGAATTTCACTATGAAAAACAAAACAAAACAAAACAAAAACAGTGGAAGAGAAGCCAGTGTGGAGGGAAAATGAGATAACTTTAGAACATAACTAATCTGAGATCCTTATGAAATATCCGACCAGGCGCCCTGGCTCATGCCTGTAATCCCAGCACTTGGGGAGGCCGAGGCGGGCAGATCACCTGAGGTCAGAAGTTCAAGACCAGCCTGGCCAACATGGTAAAACCCTGTCTCTACTAAAAATACAAAAAAATTAGCTGGGCGTGGTGGTGGGTGCCTGTAATCCCAGCTACTTGGGAAGCTGAGGCAGGAGAATTGCTTGAACCCGCGAGGCGGAGGTTGCAGTGAGCCGAGATCATGCCATTGCACTCCAGCCTGGGCGAGAGAGCAAGACTCTGTCAAAAAACAAACAAAAAAAAGAAAAAAAGAAAAGAAGCCCTATCTCTGCAAAAATATAAAAATTAGCCGGGCATGATGGCAGGTGCCTATAATCCCAGCTACTCAGGAGGCTGAGGCAGGAGAATCACTTGAACCTGGGAGGCGGAGGTTGCAGTGAGCCAAGCTCACGCCATTGCACTCCAGCCTGGGCGACAGAATGAGACTCCATCTCAAAAAAAAAAAAGAAAAGAAAAGAAAAGAAAAGGAAAAGAAATATCCAAGGAGAGCTGTTCAGAAGATAGTTGGAAATGCTGGTCTGTGGGAGATCCTGTCAGTTGGTCACTGAATATCCTGTCCCCCTACTTTTTTCCTAACAGAAGCCAATTTTGTTTGGACAGTGTGGTGCCCAGCTAAAACATCCACTCTCCTAGACTCTTTTGCCAGTCTTCCCAGACTATTTATGGTTGGTCATGAGACCCCTGTTCCAACCAAAGAGTTCTAAGTGGATATCAATGGGTGTAGGTTCTGAAGAGGCTGTTTCCTTCACTTCCCTCCTTCCCTCTCTCCCTCTCTCCCTCCCCGCTTGCTTGCTTGCTTTCCTTCCTTCCTTCCTTCCTTCCTTCCTTCCTTCCTTCTTTCTCTCTTTCTCTCTTTCTCTCTTTCTCTCTTTCTTTCTTTCTTTCTTTCTTTCTTTCTTCTTTCTTTCTTTCTTTCTCTCTTCAGAGACAGGGTCTCACTGTGTTACCCAGGCTGGTCTTGAACTCCTGTGCTCAAGTGATCCTCCTGCCTCAGCCTCCCAAAGTACTGGGATTACAGGTATGAGCCACCGTGCCTGGCCTGGCTATTGTTTTCATGATAGCAATGGACAGCCCTGGCTGGCATTTGCTTTTTACCCTTGCCCTTCTTCCTTTGTCTTACCCAAACAGAGTTGGGTTTCTTAGACAAGAAGCAGCCATCTTGTGACCATGAGGCTGAAGACCATACCCTAAGGGGGCAGAGCAAGAAGAAGGATTCTGGCACTGTGGAGCTGTGGCAGGGCCCTGGACTGTCTACTGCCTGAGAAAAACAAACCCTTCTTTGGTTAAGGCACTGGAACTAATTTTCTGTCGCCTGCAGCAAAACATGATCCTAACTGATTGAAGAGCCGAAGCTGTGGAAACTGATCTGGGTTAGAGATAGAGATTTGGGTCAGCCTCTAGACTGTAACAGTGCTAGGGTAGATACAAGAAAACCAGACATCCACCTATGCACAGATAGAAATTATGAGTTAAAGAAAAGAGAGGGCTTGGCTTATAGGCAATGCGGAAAGGAAGGAATTCCTGTTCACAGGGCAAGCATCTTTAGGGTACTTTAAAAATTGTTGATGTTTCCATAACCTCATTCAAAACAAAACAATCAAATTAGAGCTATTCAATTAATACTCAACTTCATCAAATTTATTTTGTAACAGCTTTCCAGGTGGAAACAGGCTGTTGACTCTGTTCGTGTGTGTGGTGACTTACCTCCCAGGGTGTGGCGTATTTTGGGCTCAGGAGCTCACTTGGTAAACTTCAGCTCTTCTCTATCTTCCACCAAGCAAGGAACTCTGAAGTTCTCTCCTGGAAATTTGGGACAAGGACTGTCCAGGACCTATGTTGCAGTTTAATCTGACTGTCCTATCCTTTGCCAAGATTATTTGCCACAGCCTTCTAACTGATTTTCCTGATCCCTCGCCTCCTCCTTACCCTGCCCTACTACAAAAAATCCCCACATCAAAAACTTATTTCTTCTAACACGTGGATTTAAACATGTTATTCCCTTTCTTGAACACTAAGATAAACCCTAAATGCGTTATCACAGCATATTGGGCCCCACCCTTTGCATCTCTAGTCTCTGATATTTGTCCTCACTCCTCCCTCATGTCTGCACACAAGTTCAGCCACTCCGAATGTCTCATTCTGCCTGTTTTTCTCTTGCCCTTTCAAGCCCTTACAGTCTGTTTCTTGCCCAGAAATGCTTTCTCTGCCTTCTGCTCTGACCAACCACCCACAACAATCTACTACAGCCAGATTAATTTTCTGGTTTTCCTAGCAGCTAGGAATGGCTGGAAACCTACCACTTTCTTCTCCTTCAACCCTTCCCCACAGGTCTGTCTCCAATTCCTGTTGATTCTACCCTCTAAACATCGGTGAATTTGTCCTCTCCTCTCCATCACTATTGCTACTCACCCTATCACTGCAATAGTCTCTTCTGCAGGCTCCATGTCTTCAGTCTTTCCCAATTCAGTCAATCTGTCCTCCCTTCTGCATACATACCCATATCAAGATCTTACTTAAAACCCTGTAGGCCCTTGATGGCATTGTCCCTGCAGACCTCATAAGCCTCATTGCCTACACTTCAGCTAAAAAGTAAAACCAAACACAGTGCTGGCCTCTAAGGAGACCTCTAGTTCTCTCTGTCCAGCACAGCCCTTTCTTCCAAGCTCACACAGCCAGCTTGGCACAGCAGAGAAGAACATGGCCTCTGGCACCAGACTGCCTGGATTCCAGCCTAGGCTCAGCTGCTTATGATCTGGCTGCCATTGGGTGAAATACCTAACCTCACTGTGTCAGTTTCATCATCTGTAAACAAGGGCTAAAAGTAGTACTTAATTCACAGGATTGTTAGAAAGATTTTAAAAGGTAATCCCGGGCCGGGCGCAGTGTCTCACGCCTATAATCCCAGCATTTTGGGAGGTCGAGGCGAGTGGATCACCTGAGTTCAGGAGTTCCAGACCAAACTGTCCAATATGGCAAAACCTCATCTCTACTAAAAATACAAAACTTAGCCGGGCATGGTGGTGCACGCCTATAATCCCAGCTATTTGGGAGGCTGAGGCAGAAGAATTGCTTGAACCCGGAGACAGAGGTTGCAGTGAGCCAAGATCACACCATTGCACTCCAGCCTGGGCAACAGAGTGAGACTCAGTCTCAAGAAAACCCCATTTTGACCTTGGAGATTTGTCTGTTTTTCCTCTTCTAGTGCCCAGAATAGTGCCTGACACACAGCTGGGATTCCTTAAATATTTATTAGAAAGTGAATTTACTAACTTGCTTTGTGTGTTTTGTCATATTTCATTTATTACCAGGTCAAAATTGGGAATACTCTGTATTCCCAACACTAAGCTTGCTTGATAATAGATGTTCAATTCATTTTGCAGATTCCCATGTAAACTGGCTTTTACTTATTCAAGTTTTGCAAAGATGTAATGTAACTAGAGGAGACTCCAATCAGGAGAAAATGGGAGAGAACATAGGGGCACTGGCAGGAGACATGGCAGGTGGCCTGCGGCCGAGGTATAGAAGGTAATAGAAGAGGTCTGCAAGGGGAAATCCTGGGAGACAAGGGGCCCAGGAAGTCTAGCTTGCTCAAGGAGCTTGAAATTGACTTTTGTTCTGTGTAATCCAAGTTTCTTCTGAGTTTAGAAAATAAGTCTTATGAGAGAATCAGGCCTTATGAGAAAATCAGGCCCTAGCACTAACACTGCCTGGAGAGTGGGGCTTGGGGTCCAGCTGCTGGGGTCTAATGCCTTCCTGAGATCATCAGGATGGCATCAGAGTAGAGCCTCAAAGTCTGGAATTGGGAGTGATGGTTAGTCTAATAATGTTTCTGGAAGCATAAGCATCAGCAGGTACATACAACATTTATTTTTCAATACTTATCACGCATTTTAAGTAAAAACAGAAAGCTCCAAAATGATTTGTATTTTATAACTATTTTAATAAAACATGTATATGTATGAAAAATATCTGGCTAGTTATACACCAAAATATTATCAGTGTTTACTAAATGATGAAATTCCAGGTGATTCTTGATTCCTTTTTCTTTCTTTCTTTTTTCTTTTTGAGATGGAGTCTTGCTCTGTTGCCCAGGCTGGAGTGCAGTGGTGCGATCTCGGTTCACTGAAACCTCCACCTCCCGGGTTCAAGTGATCCTCTGCCTCAGCCTCCCGAGTAGCTGGGATTACAGGAGCCCACCACCACGCCTGGCTAATTTTTGTATTTTTAGTAGAGATGGGGTTTCACCATGTTTGCCAGGCTGGTCTTGAACTCCTGACCTCAGATGGTCCACCCGCCTCGGCCTCCCGAAGTGCTGAGATTACAAGCATGAGCCACTGCTCTTTGAAAGAGCTGCTTCCTCTTTCTCTCTTTCTTTCTTTCTTTCTCTTTTTCTCTCTCTCTCTCTTTTTCTTTCTCTCTTTCTTTCTTTTTGACAGGATCTTGCTCTTGCTCTGTTGCCCAGGCTGGAGTGCAGTCGTGTGATTATAGCTCATTGCAGCCTCGAACACCCAGTCTCAAGATGTCCTCCCACCTCATTCTCTCAAGTAGCTAGAAGTATAAGCCTGTGCCACCACACCTGACTGATTTTTAATTGTTTTGTAGAGGTGGGGTTTTACTATGTTGCCCAGGCTGATTTTGAACTCCTGGCCTCAAGCAATTGTCTCACCTTTGCCTCCCAAAGCACAGAGATTACAGGAATCAGCCACTGTGCCCAGCCTCAGGTGATTCTTTATATATTTTTTCATTGTGGATTTTTTTTTGAATAAATATATTTTCAGTGTGAAATATAATTTAATTGTGAAAATGTAAATTGGTACAACCTTTGCATTATCTACTAATTTGAAAATGTGCAAACGTTCATTCATAGGTAACATGCTAAAGGTAATATGCTTGTACGTGTGTCAGAAGGTATGTAAAAATAAACATCAGGATAGCAGTGGTTATAATAGCAAAGGTGAAAAACAACTTCATATTCATCTTAGGAGAATTGATAAATACATTGTGGTATTGTGATACGAAAGAAGGCCATAAAAGAGTAAAACTTGACCAAGCGTAGTGGTTCACACCTGTAATCCCAACACTCTGGAGGCTGAGGTGGATCACTTGAGGCCAGAAGTTTGAGACCACCCTGGGCAACATAGCCAGACCCTGTCTCTACAAAAAAATTAAAAAATAAAAACTAGTGAGGCATGATGATGCGCCTGTAGTCCTAGCTACTCAGGAGACTGAGGCGAGAGGATCCCTTGCGCCAGGAGTTCAAGGTTACAGTGAGTTATAATGTGCCACTGCACTCTAGCCTGGGGGACAGAGCGAGACCCCATCTCTAAAAGAATAAAAATAAGAGTAAAAATAAATAAACTAAAGCCTTATGCAACAACGTGGATGAATCTTAAAAGTATAGTATTTTGATAAAAAAAGAGCAAGTCTCCAAATAATACATTCCATGCGAGTCTACTTATATCAAGCTCAAAAACATGCAAAATATATGTTCAGGGATACATTTATATAATAAAATATACAGAAAAGTAAAGGAATGATAAAAACAAAATTCAGGAGGGTGGTTGCTTATGGAGAAAGGAAAGTGATGAGACTGAAGAAGGATACACAGGGGTTCAAGTAATTGGCTACGGTCCATCTCTTAAACTGGTTGATGGCTATGTCAAGATTCATTTCATTATTTTTCTGAATAACTTACATAAGTTATAGATATTATTTTAGTATATTATATATTCATAATAAAATTATTTTTTCCATCTGTATTTTTAAATTTTCCATAAAGAACATATATTACTGGTTATATTAAACAGAGAAAGTAAATAATAAATGTAATAACATTTTAAAAATTCGTATTCTCTTGTGCCTTTTCTTATCCTTGCCTTTTTATATATATGTATATAAATATATACACATTCACTGTGTATTTATTGACAATGTAATCTGCAGCAAGTTGTGTGTTAGGCATACAGTGGTGACATATGATTTCTATCCTAATGGCACTTACCCTCATGAGTGCTCTCTAGATCCCTGTAAAATCCTCTGAGTAGGCTTCATTATCAAGATTTCACAAATCCATTAGCAATTTTTCTTAATGTAGCTATTAAGCACCTGTGCTCTAACGCCAGCCTGCTAGATTCAAATCCTTGCTCTGCTATGAACTAGTTGTATATATTTGGGCAAGTAACTTAACCTGTTTGTACTTTAATGTCCCTAACTGTGAAATGAGAAAAGGAACAGTGTCTACCTCATAGGATTGCTGTAAGATTTTACTGAGTTTATATATTTATACATAAAACTCAGAACAGGGTCTAGCCCATGGTAAATGTTCGATAAACACTATTGTTATATTGTTCTATAAGTATCTCCTGAGAGCCAGTCCTGTGTCAGGTCCAGATGAAGATACAGAGATAGAGTGGGACAGGGTCTGGAAGGCCAACTCCCAAACAGCCTATTACCAAAAGCGAGAGGAGTATGGCAGAGGGAAACCAAGGATCTGCAGGAGAACACAGGAGGCTCTTCAACCCTGTCTGGGGGTCAGGGGAGCCTTCCCAGAAAGGCTAGGGTTCTGTCCCCAGGTTGAGGTCTGTTGTCTTTTGGTGACACTCCATGTCTCCCACAGAGAGATAGCTAGGCAGTGTTAAGGGGCTGCCATGAATGCACTGAGCTGTAAAAGAGGACAAGAGGTAACTTGTAGATCTTAAGATCACTTATTCTGTGGTGAGCCTACACATTTGGTTTTTGTGGTTTCAAATTTTCCTTTGCAGTTGTGAAATGGTACAACATATCTCATATGGAAAAATTAATTATAGCTTGGATTTCTTTTGTCATATTGAAAACTGATAAAAAGAATTTTCAGTAGGAATCTAGTTGAAAGCTTTCAAAATTTGGGTTGTTAGTCGAAAATAAATATTGGCATTGGAAATAACCTAAATACCCAGTAGTAAGGGAATAGTAATATATCATAATTAAGTAAATTGTGATTTATTTATAAAATTGGATATGATGTAACTTCTTTTTTTTTTTTTTTTAGAAACAGGGACTCACTGTTGCCCAGGCTGGAGTGGAGTGGTGCATAATATGTCACTGTAACTTCAAACTCCTGGGCTCAGGCACCCTCTCGTCCCAGCCTTCTGAGTAGCTGGGACTACAGGCACACACCAACACACCCAGCTAATTTTTAAAATTTTTTGTAGAGGCAGGGTTTGGCTATGTTGCCCAGGCTGGTGTTGAACTCTTGAGCTCAAGAGATCCTCCCAGTTTGGCCTCCCAAAGTGCTGGGATTATAGGCATGATCCACTG
This sequence comes from Homo sapiens, assembly GCF_000001405.40. NCBI lineage: Eukaryota > Metazoa > Chordata > Mammalia > Primates > Hominidae > Homo > Homo sapiens. The sequence continues at coordinate 76,855,564 of NC_000011.10, forward strand.
CACCCTCCCTAATGTAACTATTAAAGTGATATTTATGAGTATTTTTAATAGCATGAGAAATGCTTATGAAAGAATATGAAATATAAAGATAAAAATAGCTCCATCATGTAAACAAATCATTAGATAAAATAACGGAAGAAAATGTACTTAAGTGTTGACAATGGACATTGCTAGTTGGTGGGATTGTAAGTGATTTCTTTTTTTATACTTTTTTTTTTTTGGTATTTTCTAAATTTTTCAACTTAAGAATGTATTGCTTTAAACAAAAGTTTTGGCCGGGTGCAATGGCTTATGCCTGCAATCTCAGCACTTTGGGAGGCCGAAGTGGGCAGATCACCTGAGGTCAGGAGTTCAAGACCAGCCTGGCCTACATGGTGAAACCTGGTCTCTGCTAAAAATACAAAATTAGCCAGGCGTGGTGGTGCACACCTGTAATCTCAGCTACTCAGGAGGCTGAAGCAGAGAATCACTTAAACCCAGGAAGCAGAGGTTGCAGTGAGCCGAGATCATACCATTGCACTCCAGCCTCAGCAAAAAGAATAAAACTCCATCTCAAAATAAAATAAAATAAAATAAAATAAAATAAAATAAAATAAAAAGTTTTAAGATGTAATTTACACACCATACATATTGGCCATTTAAAGTATACACTTCAGTGGGTTTTTTTTTTGGGCATGTCCACAGAGTTGTGTAACTATCACCACAATCTAATTTTAGAACACTTTCATCATCCCCCAAACTTACCCTATTCCCATTAACAGTCACCTCCTGTTCCTGCTCCCTTTCTCAGCCTTAGACAACCACTGATTTACTTTCTATCTCTTCAGATTTGCCTATTCTAGATGTTCCATATATTATAAATGGAATCACAATATGTGCCCCTTGGTGTCTGGCTTCTTTGATATGGCATAAAATTTTCAAGGTTCATCCATGTTGTAGCATGCACCAGTATTTCATTTCATTTCTTTTTATTGCAGAATAATATTTCATTGAATGTGTATATCACACTTATTAATCTATTCATCAGTTGATGGACATTTGGTGTGTTTCCACTTTTTGGCTACTGTGAATAATACTGCTATGATCATTCTTGTACAAGTTTTTGGTGGATATATGTTTTTAATTCTCTTGGTGTATACCTAGGAGTAAAACTGCTTAGGTCATATGATAACTCCATTTAGCATTCTGAGGAACTGAAAAAGTTCTCAAAGCTGCTGCACCATTTTACATACCAGCGATGTTTGAGGGTTCCACTTTCTCCACATGCTTGCCAACATTTGTTGTTATTTGTCTTTTTGATTATAGCCATCCTAGGTTGTCTGAAGCGGCATCTCACTGTGGTTTTGATTTGCATTTTTCTAATGGCTAATTATGTTGAACATCTTTTCTTTTTCCTTTTCTTTTGTTTTTTTTTTTGTGACGTAGTCTTGCTCTGTCGCCCAGGCTGGAGTGCAGCAGTGCAATCTCGGCTCACTGCAAGCTCCGCCTCCTGGGTTCACGCCATTCTCCTGCCTCAGCCTCCCGAGTAGCTGGGACTACAGGTGCCCACCACCACGCCCGGCGAATTTTTTGTGTTTTTAGTAGAGACGGGGTTTCACTGTGTTAGCCAGGATGGTCTCGATCTCCTGACCTCATGATCCGCCTGCCTCGGCCTCCCAAAGTGCTGGGATTACAGGCTTGAGCCACAGCGCCCGGCTATGTTGAACATCTTTTCATGTTTTTATTGATCATTTGTATATCTTCCTTGGAGAAATGTCTATTCAGATCCTTTACTCATTCTTTAATAGGGTTATTGGGAGTTACTTGTCTTCTAATTATTGAATTACAAGTTCTTTATATATTCTGGACACAAGTCTCATATAAGATATATGATTTGCAAATAATTTCTTTCATTCTGTGGGTTGTCTTTTCACTTTCTTGATGGTATCATTTTCAGCAAAGGAGTTTTTAATTTTGATGAAGTCCAATTTATCTATTTTTCCCTTTGTCGCTTGTGTTTTTGGTGTTTTATATAAGAAACCATTGCCTACCCAAGGTTACAAATATTTATTTTTATGTAAACTTCTAAGAATTGTATAGTTTTGGCTCTTACATTTAGGTCTATGATCTATTTTGAGTTGAATTTTGTTTATTGTAACAGGAAGCATTCTAATTTCATTCTTTTGCATGTGGATATCCAGTTGTCCCAGCACCATTTGTTGAAAGACTATTCAATCCCTATTGAATTGTCTTGGCATCCTTGTTAAAAATCAATTGACCATAAATGTAAGGGTTTATTGCTGGACTCTCAATTCGATTCCTTTGATCTACATGTCTATCTTCATGCCAGTACTGCACTGTCTTCATTACTATAGTTTTACAGTAAGTGTTGAAATCAGGAAGTATAAGTCCTCCAGCTTTGTTCTTCTTTTTTGAGATAGTTTTGACTTGTCTGGGTCCCTTACATTTCCAGGCATTGCTTTTATGCTCAAGGGGGGAAATTTTTTAGAAAAAAAGAAAAAGGAAGGTAGATATTGCTGAAGGAACTGTGAAATTCATTTTGTGTTTTCTGAGTGAAACTTCTGCAATGCACCTTTTCTCTCGGATGGGGGAATTTCTCTCTCCTAAAATCCGTCCTGGTCACGGTAGATTTCCTTTTTCACTATTGAGGAACATTGTGCAGAGTATTGACTCAGCCAAGGCCTCATCCTGCCTTGAGTCACTTGGCTGGGTCAGGGGTTATTTTCACATAGGGGGTTCCACAACACCCTAATTTTTTTTTTACTCCTAGCTAAGAATGATCATACTCTATTGTTGTGGTCTCTGCACTGTTCTGATTGCACACCTCATCGGCAAATCACTTTTGCGTATGAGTTTTTGCATATTCATTTTGAGCATATAAATATATAAATATTTCATTCATTTATAAATTATATATGCTCATGATTATTACATAAACACATAAACAAAACGGAAGTTTTAGAATATGAGATAAAGTGACTAGAAATAGATGTTTCCCCACACCTCAATGGCTTTTATCTCTCTGGAGACGGCCTTCTTGGATCTTTCATGTTTACCTCTGTGTGGTCCTAGCACCCAGGCAGCCAAACAGGGCCTGGTATATAGTAGAAGCTCAATGACATTCAAAATAAAAATTTCAGGCCAGGCAGGGTGTAACTCAGGCCTGTAATCCCAGGACTTTCGGAGGCCAAGGAGGGTGGATCACTCAAGGTCAGGAGTTCAAGACTGGCCTGGCCAACATGGTGAAATCTCGTCTCTATTAAAAATACAAAAATTAGCCAGGTGTGGTGGCAGCCTCCTGTAATCCCAGCTATGGGGATGAGGGGGTACTGAGGCACGATTCCCGGAAGGCAGAAGTTGCAGCGAGCCAAGATGGCACCACTGCACTCCAGCCTGGGCGACAGATCGAGATTCTGTCTCAAAAAAGAAAAATTTCAGAGAGGCTACTATTCGTATTAAAATACACTGCTTCCGGCCGGGTGCGATGGCTCACGCCTGTAATCCCAGCACTTTGGGAGGCCGAGGCGGGTGAATCACGAGGTCAAGAGATCGAGGCCAGCCTGGCCAACAAGGTGAAACCCTGTCTCTACTAAAAATACAAAAATTAGCTGGGCGTGGTGGTGCACACCTGTAGTCCCAGCTACTCTGGAGGCTGAGACAGGAGAATCGCTTAAACCCAGGGGGCGGAAGTTGCGGTGAGCTGAGATCATGCCAGTGCATTCCAGCCTGGCCGACAGAGCAAGACTGTCTCAAAAAAAAAAAAAAAAAAAAAAAAAGATACACTGCTTCCCTAGGTTTTGCACCTAGCAAATAAAAGTTCTGCATCTATTTCCTGCTAATTGGCTATGGTTATTTTGTAGAAAGGCTGTGGGCTCTTCATCTCTCCTTGTCCTCTCTTTTACCTTTGACTTGCACCACATCTGACTTATTTATTTAGAAAATAGCAGTTGTATCATCCTTCATTTTTACTCTTCATTTCTTACTGTGTATTCAGGCAGAGTCCTAATACTAAGACCATAAAGAAGGGAAAGCAAGGTCTCTGATCAGGATGTAGCACAGTAGGATGTGAACAAAGGGCAAGGAAGCTCTAGGGTGTAAACATCTGGGATGGCTTCAGAGAGCTGGATTTTAAAAGAAGAGTGGGGAGTTGGTCAAACGGAGAAGAGAGTTAGGCTGTCCCAGTTGAACTGTGGGAGCAAAGGCAGGTGACCCAGCGCATTCTAGGAGAGGGGAAAGTTTGAGTTTGGTGTAGCTGAACACTAGGGGCAAGGGTGGTTGCATCTGTTTTAGGAAGAGCTCTCTGGCAGACCTGTGGAGTACTAGACTTTTTATTTATTTATTTATTTATTTATTTATTTATTTATTTAGAGACAGGGTCTCGCTCTGTTCTCCCAGGCTGGATTGGCACAGTCTCAGCTCACTGCATGCAATCTCCACCGCGGGGGCTCAAGTGATCCTCCCACCTCAGCTTCTCAAGTAGCTGGGACCACACGTCTGAGCCACCGCGCCCAGCTAATTTTTGTATTTTTCGTAGACACGGGGTTTTGCCGTCTACGATACTCCCAGACGGGGGCTGGGAGTATTAGACTTGAAGTTGGAAGTAGGGGTAGGCTGTTGGTTGCCTGAAGAGCAGGGCACAATTATAGTTAGAACGTGGAAACCTCTGTGCTTGGAGGCCCAAACGAAGCAGGGAAACTTTGCTTTAGTGCTCTAGCTAGCAGCATTCTTTTTTTTTAGGATCTCAGAACCTACTTTTTTTTTTTCGGTCCTGGGTTGTTCACCCTTTCCCTTTGTACCGAAGAGACACTTACACCTTTATCAGAAAATCACGGTTTATTTCCTGAGAATCACGGGGATTGGTTGGGGGTACTCTGTTTTGGGGCTCCATTTGAGGCCTGTGGCTCAATGGAAGACATAGAGGCGCTTCGCCGCACAGGTTTAATCAAGCAAGGGCTTGATAGAAGTATTCATCCCACCCCCGCCCCGATTAAATCAAACCACACGCACACAAATAGAGGCTCTGGCACATCCTGACAGAATATAGCCTCTGGGATGTCAGGAACCCCCAACCTACGGCCATTGGCGTGTCTGCACCGGCCAGGAAGCCCAGGCCCCCGGCTCCTTCCTGGATCACGCCCCTGCCCCGCCCAAGGGTGAAGAGGGGCGGGGCCAGCCGGCGCCCTCCGAGTGGGCCTTACACCAGGTCGGGCCTGGCCCGGCCCCGCGGCCCAGCGGCGCCGGTGGGCGGGGCCTCCGTCAGGGCAGTGTCAGTAACGGCGCCAGGCCCCGCCCCTCGGGGAGGCAGGGCCGGGCGGGGCGCGAGCGAGCGCGCGGGCTGGGCCGGAGCCGGCCTGGTCGCCAGCCTAACCCGGCACAGTGAGCGGAGCGCCTGGGCGGCGGCGGCGGCGGCGTGATGGCTCCGGCCGCGGACCGAGAGGGCTACTGGGGCCCCACGACCTCCACGCTGGACTGGTGCGAGGAGAACTACTCCGTGACCTGGTACATCGCCGAGTTCTGTGAGTGTGGCCTGAGGAGGGGAGTGGGGGCGAGAGGGCACCGGGCTGAGGAGACGCCGTGTGAGGAAGGCAAAGAGCGAACCTGGCCGCGAAGGGAGGTGCCAGGCCTGGCCCCGGGAGCTGGAATGCGGCGCCCTGGGCCAGCGGGAGGCTGAGAGGAGCGGGCCGGGAGTCCAGTGTGTAGAGGGAGGAGTACCGGGGTCTGGGAGGGAGGAAGGGGGCCTGAGGATTGGGGGGGCAGAAGAGCAGTGGGAAGTGGGGAGCCCCTGCTGGACCTAAGGGGGAAAGCCTGAAGAGCCGGGTTGGGAATGGGAATTCCTGCCCGAGAGCGGAGTGGGGCCAGGCTGGGAGAGTGGAGGACCCTGCCCCTTGGAATGAGGGCCCAGGACACCTGCTCTGCTGTTGCCACCACCAGAAGGGTACAGTTCCTAGCTTCGTCTTTCCCCCAATCCGTGAGAATTCTACCGTCTTTCCCTTCCCTTTTCACTGGAATATTAGACCTCCTTGCTCACCTCCAGGGAACAGTTTCACTAGTCTGAGATCTGAACCATCCCACCCCTATCCCCCAGGATGTCTTCAAGTACCAGAGGTCATCTGCTCTCTGAGTATGATTATTCAACTGTCATCTTGCACCAGGAGTCGAAGGCATCTTGCACCTAGCCTGTACCTTCTGCCCCTGCCAGGCTCCCAAGAGCACAGAGGACCAAGTCCCTGCTCCATTCTGTCCTATCCAACTATCTAGGAGTTAGGGGTCATCTGAGGACACTACTTCCACCGACTGCACCTTCTGAGGATTTAAGCATTCTTCTTTAGCGGCTGCTCTGTCAGGCACTGCTGGTCAGGTTGGGCTTGTTCTGTGTGCCTATGTGGGTGTCTGTCTGTTTTCCTAGACGATTTTTCCTGCCAGGCTAGGAGAAATCTGCCACTTCTTTTTCTATCATTTAATCAGGTTTTGAGAGCACAATATTTGATCCTTCTTTTAGGTACCTGCTTCTGGCAAAGTGCAAAGACTATCCTTTGGCTAATGATTACTGCCTTCTTTTAGTTGGATCTACTTCTCAGGACGTGAAGTGAAACTCTTCTTAGCTAACCTTCTCATTGTTGAGTCCTGTTCTCAGGCATCTGTGCATGGCTTTGTAGGAAAGAGGCAAGCATATCATGACAAATGGTCCCACTTTATTCTGTTCTGGTAATTGGCTAAGTTTCAAAAAAAAAAAAAAAGAACACTTTTTGCAGTTTTCAGGACTTTAGTACTATTCTCTTATGACCATGATTTAGGCTAAGAGTCACTTTTCTTCAACTATTAAATTAATAATTTTTACATAATCATGGAGAAATATTGGCAAAGGGATCATTTGTAATACAATTACTTGGGAACCCACATGTTGGCAAAGGAAGCGCTTTACCAGTTTGTTGTTAGATCACTTTGGCAAGCCCATGCCTGGTCCAGAGAACCATGACCACGAGGAAAGAGATGTAAAACCATGCACTCTGCGCTGGAAATGTGTAACATGGAAAAGAGGAATTCAAGAGTCTTCAAATATTGGATGGGCTATCATATAGAATAATTTTTTTTTAATTTATTTGGAATCTGGAATTAGGGCATATGGGCAGAAACTAACTGTAATGGGGAAAAGTTTGCTTCAATATAAGGAAAAACCTTCTCACCAATGATATGGGAAAGGTTGACTTGGGGGACAGAGGACTTTCTGTCACTGAAAGTGTTAAATCAGACATTGTTCAATGAACTCAATATTTTCGAAGGAAAAAATTATTTAATAGAGAAAAGGGGCTGGCCTTAGTTGCAGCTTTATGGGTCTATGTAGGTAATAATGACTCTTAGTTTAGAACCAAGAAAAAACTGGGCTGGGCATCGTGGCCCATGCCTGTAATCCCAGCACTTTGGGAGGCCAAGGCAGGAGGACTGCTTGAGGCCAGGAGTTTGAGTCCAGCCTGGGCAACATAGTGAGACCCTGTCTCCATAAAAAATAAAAAAAATTAGATATGCATGGTGGTTTGTGCCTGTAGTCCCAGCTACTTAGGAGACTGAGGTGGGAAGATCACTTGAGCCCAGGAGTTCAAGGTTGCTGTGAGCTGTAATTATGCCACTGCACTCCAGCCTGGGCAAGAGTTAGACCCTATTTCTACAAAAAAAATATAAAAAATGCAAAGAGAGAAAACTGGCGGTAAGTCATGTGGACTCTGAGAGAGCAAGATACTGTGTTCTGGCAGATAGCTCTGAGAAATGGGAAATGACATTTGTTCTCAATGTGCTCAGAAGAGGAAACTCTGAGCAGACTGCAGGGAGGGTTTTGACATAGGAATCAGAGGGGTTGCAAGAAGAGGATGAGTGAATGTTTGCAGCCCTTTGCGCATGCACCTTGGGAGAAAATCATCTGGAGGAAGTTGAGGTCAAGTCATCTTACCATAGCAAGTCATGAGTATCTACAGTAATATATCTTGGACTAAGATAATTTGATCTTTGAAAAATATGCTGATTAATAATAATATGTTTAAAATATGTGTTTAAAGCAAGTGCAATATTAACATCACGATAGTATTTACATTAACAATAGTATTGATGGTAATATTAAGGATAATGTAATAATAGCTATTATCTAAGTGGTCACTTGTACTACACTTTGCTAAGCACTTCATATATCTTATCTCTTTTGATCTTTACAGTAATTTCAAAAAGAAGGTATTATTATCCCCATTTCAAAGATAAGGAGATTGAAGTTCTAAGAAATAATTTACCTAAGATTACAGTAAGTGATGTAGAGATAGTGTTCACATTGAAGTCTGACTCTAAAGCTACTATCCATGTTACCTCTCCATCATTACTTCTATCACACATTCATTGTTTTGCCCCTATATTCAAGAAAGGAAGACAGATATGAAATACTATGCTATCACACAGGACAAATTGAACAACTATTCAGTTTACTCAACCATCTTTCAACTATCTTTCAGCATTAGAATATATGTATTTTAGGGAATAATGAAGTGTTTGGGGAATTGCATATTCAGATATGGCAGTAGTTCTCAGTCACTTTCAGCACCCGAAAACTGTCTTCCTAGCATCAGCCAAGATCAGTTTAAATTCCTTTTGTTTGAGCATATTGTAAAGACCAGAGGAAAAGGTCTCTCATTGTGAAATAATAAGCCCCTTGACCTGCCAGAAGTTAGAGGTACAGGCAGTCCTTGCTTTGCATCATAGTGTGGGACCACACAAATGACTGTGCAAGTTAAAACCAGGTAACACTATGTTAATAATCAATGGGAAAAGTTATGATTGTTCTGTGATCTTTAAAACTTTTTGTCAAACATTGTAAACTCTCTTACTGTTGGTTATGAATATGTAGGGAAATGAAAAAAGTAAGCATATTTATTTAGTATACTTTAAAACATTAAAAACATTGAGAAATAAACTATTTTGTTTATAAAAATCACTTATCAAGAGTAATTAAAACAGTGCTTGCCTTTTTGTCACATAACTCATAATATGGAATGGGTATTTTTTTTTTTTTTTTTTTTTGAGGTAGAGTCTCGCTCTGTTGCCTAGGCTGGAATGCAGTGTCGCGATCTCGGCTCACTGCAACCTCCACCCCCTGGGTTCAAGCAGTTCTCCTGCCTCAGCCTCCCAAGTAGCTGGGATTACAGGCGCATGCCACCACGCCTGGCTAATTTTTGTATTTTTAGTGGAGACGGGGTTTCACCATTTTGGCCAGGCTGGTCTCGAACTCCTGACCTCAAGTGATCCACCTGTTCAGCCTCCCAAAGTGCTGGGATTACAGGCGTGAACTTCCATGCCCAGTTGTCTTTTTTCTTTTAAATTAATTTTTTTTTTTTTTTTTTTTTAGCCAGCTACAGCTACACTAATGAGGGCCAACAGGTTTTTGGATTTTTCTTGAGACAAGGTCTCCCTCTGTTGCTTAGGCTGGAGTGCAGTGGCACAATCACAGCTCACTGCAGCCTCGACCTCCCAGGCTCAAGTGATCCTGCCACCTCAGTACCCCATAGCTGGGACTACAGGCGTGTGCCACCATGCCCAGCTAATTTTTTTTTTTTTTTTTTGGATTTTTAGTAGAGACAGGGTTTTGCCATGTTGCCCAAGCTGGTCTCAAACTCCTGAGCTCAAGCAGTCCTCCCACCTCAGCCTCCCAAAGTGTTGAGAATATAGGCATGAGCCACCATGCCCAGCCGGGATGAGTACTATCCCTTCATGAATTCTTTTCTAATTTGTATCAGCTTCCAAAATTTATCCTTTGCACTTTTAAGATTGTGAAATCTCTCCAAGAGTTCCTTTAATGCAAAGTTTTTTTTGTTAGCATAATTTCTCCTGGGACATCTTTATCCTTTTCACCACAACTACTTTATGCATTTACGTTGATAAGTTTGCCTTCTCTTTCTCTGAATTCCTCAGATTGCATTTTTTTTTTTTTTCCAGACGGAATCTCGCTCTGTCACCCAGGCTGGAGTGCAGTGGCGCAATCTTGGCTCACTGCAACCTCCAGCTCCTGGGTTCAAGCAATTCTCGTGCCTCAGCCACCCACATAACTGGGATTACAGGAGTGCACCACCATGCCCAGCTAATTTTTGTATTTGTAGTAGAGACGGGGTTTCACCATGTTGGCCAGGCTGGTCTCAAATGCCTGACCTGCAGTGATTCACCTGCCTTGGCCTCCCAAAGTGCTGGGATTACAGGTGTGAGCCACCTTGCCCAGCATCTTTTTTTTTTTTTTTTTCTTTTTTGAGACGAAGTCTCATTCTGTCGCCCAGGCTGGAGTGCAGCGGCGTGATCTTGGCTCACTGCAACCTGTGCCTCCTGGGCTCAAGCAATCCTCCCAGCTCAGGCTCCCAAGTAGCTGGGAGGCACGCACCACCATACCTGGCTAATTTTTGTTTTTTGTTTTTTTTTTTTTTGGTAGAGATGGGGTTTCACCATGTTGGCCAGGATGGTCTTGAACTCCTGGCCTCAAGTGATCTGCCCACCTCAGCCTCCCAAAGTGCTGGAATTATAGGTGTGAGCCACTGCACCCAGCCCCTCAGACTACATATTTAGAGTCCCTTGAATGGCAGTAGCGTCAGCATTCTTATGGTTAGCTATTTCTTCTATAATTCTGTTTATGTTTGATTGGAATTTCACTTCCAACATTATACATTTTTGTTTCTCTGCTACCCTTACATCATTCTTGGCCAATTCTCTCCTTCTGTTACTCAATTTTGTAACATGGCACATAAGTTTATCACCAGGAGACAAGGAGGCAACTCAACTACATGCTTTGCTTTCTGTACATGAACTGAATAACTGGTACCAGGTTCACTGTGACTGATCATCAACAGACAGTGAAAGAAGTGACCTGGTTGGTCACTGATGGTGATGTACTTCTGTTATTTGTATACTGATTTGTGGACTTAAGATGTAGCAGTGAAGTTTGTACTATATTCAGCTACTCACAATTAGTATACAGTGGTAACTGAAATTTGAATTGTGTCATTGGGTAATTGGTGTTATTTAACTAAACTATGATAACTGAAATTTGAGGATATTGGAACCCTGCAAAGTGAAGACTGTATTTCTAATCCTCAGAACATTCCTATCAAGGAACGTTAGATGTTGTTACCCCATTGTAAAGAGAAGGACACTGAGTCTTGGAGAAGTTAGTTAAATAAGCAGCTCAGCATCATACAGCTATTAAGAGGCAGAAATGGTATTCAAATTTAGGTCTCACAACTCTTTCTACCAAGACATACTATCTATACGAAGTGGAGTTTCAGGTGCTGTTGGTTTAATGGAAGAAATACTACATAAAGGGAAATGGAGGGGAATAAGATTTACCTACAGCTTCATGATGTGAGCCATCATGCCCAGGCCATATTTTCTTTATTCATTTTTCTGACAGCGTAAACTTGGGTTACTTCTACCTCTTGGCTATTGTGAATAATGCTGCTGTGAATATGGGTGTTCAGAAAAGAATTACCCGGTTAAAAGTCATTCAAAATGTTTTATTTATTCAGCAGATATTTACTGAGTACCTATTTTGTCACTGACTAAGGCTATAAAACCATTTGAAGACAGCTTCTCTGTTCAAAGTAGCTGAGAGGGCCAGGCATGGTGGCTCATGCCTGTAATCCCAGCACTTTGGGAGGCCAAAGCAGACAGATCACTTGAGGTCACGAGTTGGAGACCAGCCTGGCCAACATGATGAGACACCGTCTCTACTAAAAATACAAAAATTTGCCAGGTGTGGTGGTATGTGCCTGTAGTCCCAGCTGCTTGGGAGGCTGAGGCAGGAGAATCACTTGAACGCTGGAGGCGGAGGTTGCAGAGAGCTGACATTGTGCCACTGCACTCCAGCCTTGGTGACAGAGTGAGACTCTGTCTCAAAAAAAAAAAAAAAAAAAAAAAAAAAAAGAAAGAAAAGTAGCTGAGAGGGCAGCAGGAGTATGAACAGACAAGTATAAACAGGCACATTTGTTTCTTTCAGGTGAAATGCATTCCCAAAAACATATTTGATCATGGAATGTCCAAGAATTGACATATTATGATGAAGGGTTTATTTATCAGAAAGCTAAAAAATAAAAATAAATAAATAAAAGAAAGCTAAAAAATACATGAAAATTCCCAATTATGGTTTTTATAGGGCTTACCTCAGTCTGAGGAGGTAACCTGGTTGGTATGACTTTCATGGATGGGAAGAATGGCTGTTGTGATGTTGTATGATCATCTTGCCATATCCTTTTGTCCATGAGTGAGAATGGTTCAAGCTAGGTATTGTTCCTTCTCATAGGTTTGCTGCCTCTCTCCCCATCCTATTCATAGGAAGTGGGCAGAAGGAAAGTAGGGCAGCCCTCAGTCTCTATACCTTTACTATGGGATTCACTTAGATGGGGGAACAAGGTCTTTTTTTTCCTTGCTGCTGCAGCACAAGACAAAAGGGGCTTTAATCAGCTATCTCTGCCATACAGGTATGCCATGAAAGGCATTTGACTGCTTGTAGCCCTTTGCTATATTTCTTTTCTTTTCCTTTTCTCAGGTTCCTTCCTACCATCCTCCCTGAAGAGCAACCTCAAGTTAGTGAGCACACATCAGGCTTCTTTTTTGGTCTTGGGACTCTGGGCTGGCAGAGGTGACATCCCTGTCATATGAAGGAAGATGCTCCTTTCTCTGAAGGTTATTGACAGGCAAGCAGCACTGCCTCCAAATTATAACTCAAAAGTTCATAAGTCAACTGAAGAATGAAGGCCAAATGAAAGGACAAATTGAGTGTACAAAAGAGTTTAGTTTTAATATCTCTCTCTCTCTCTCTGTGTGTGTGTGTGTGTGTGTGTGTGTGTGTGTGTGTGTGTATAGCCCATGGTTCCTGGCTCATAACTCTCATATCCCTTTTTAGAGTCTTTTATTATAATGTTGGGGCACTGTAGGCCTCAAAACAGGCCTTAGGAAACAGAATCTCCATCTCTCTGGTCTTCCCCTGCCCTTCTTTCACCTACCCAAGGCAGGACTCTAATCTGACTGTGGGTCACAAGACCCTCATTACAGAGAGAGTCCTGCCTCATACCCTGGAGGAAGGAATGCTGCAGAGAGAAGCCAAGAGGAATCTGAACAGACAGGCTTTGCTGGGTTTCCCCATTCAGTCTATTAATATTAGACTATACCTTTTTTGTCCAATCATATTTCAACATGGTTGTTCATGCTTCAATCATGCCTATCCAGTGAAGTCTCCATAAAAGGTTCAAGAGGACAGGGTTTGGAGAACTTCTGGATAGCTGAACACGTGGAGACTGACAGGAAGGTGAACAAGAACTCATCCACATAGTAGGATGGTGCTGCGCTCCAAATCTATGGGGACAGAACCTCCTGTGCTCAGGACCCTTCCAAACCTGCCCCTGGGTATCTCTTCTTCTGGCTGTTTATTTGTAAACTTTGAAATATCCTTTGTAATAAACTAATAAACCTGTTTACCTGGGTTCTGTAAGCTGCACTAGCCCTAGCCCCGGACTTGGGACAGATGTCTGAAGGAAGGGGGCAGTTCTGGGGACTGAGCCCTCAACCTGTAGGAGCTGACACTATCTCGAGGTGGATAATGTTGGAATTGAATTGGAGGACACCCAGCTGGTGTCTGCTGTAGAACTGATTGCTATAGAACTGATTGGGTTTCCCCACACACACTTGGTCACAGAAGTCTTCTGTGATGATTGTTGGGTTGTGAGAACAGAGGAAAAACACAGTTTGAGTTGATATATGCAGACAGCATCCAAGTCAGACTGCCAGTTAATTGTTTTAGGTGCTATGATCGCTTATTACAAACTTAAAACATAGATAGGTTCATAAAGGTTTTATAGCGTTAGTGCTGCAAGAGCTGCCATACCAGCTATTTATTTATTTTTAATTATGGAAAAATACATGTAACATAAAATTTATCTTCTTAACCATTTTAAATGTACATACAGTTCAGTAGTCAATAGTGTTAAGTACATTCACACTGTTGGGCAATCAATTTCCAGAACTCTTCATCTTACAAAACTAAAACTCTGTATCCATTAAACAACTCCCCGTTTTCTCCTCCTTCTAGTCACTGGCAACCACCTTTTCTACTTTTCTGTCTCTATAAATTTGACTACTCTAAGTACCTCATATAAGTAGAACCATACAGTACTTGTCTTTTTGTGAGTGTTTTATTTCACTTAGTGTAATGTCCTCAAGGTTCATCCATGTTATAGCAATCAGAATTTCCTTCCTTTTCAAGGCTGTATAATATTTTATTATATGTATTTGCCACATTTTCTGTTTTTTGAGAAAGGGTCTCATTCTGTTGCTTAGGCTGGAGTGCAGTGGCGTGATCGTGGCTGACTGTAGCCTTGACCTCCTAGGCTTAAGTGATCCTCCCACCTCAGCCTTCCAAGTAGATGGGACCACAGATGCGGGACACCACACCTGGCTACTTTTTTTATTTTCCGTAGAGATGAGATCTTACTATGTTGCCCAGGCTGGTCTCAACCTCCTGGGCTCAAGTGATCCTTCCAACTCAGCCTTCCAAGTAGGTGGGACCACAGATGTGTGCCACCACACCTGACTAATTTTTTTATTTTCTGTAGATACGAGGTCTCACTATGTTGCCCAGGCTGGTCTCGACCTCCTGGGCTCAAGTGATCCTCCCACCGTCTCAACCTTCCAAGTAGATGGGACCACAGATGCATGCCACCACACCTGTCTATTTTTTTTATTTTTGTAGAGATGAGGTCTCACTATGTTGCCCAGGCTGGTCTCAAACTCCTGGGCTCAAGTGATCCTCCCACCTCAGCCTGCCAAGGTGCTGGGATTACAGGTGTGAGCCACCATGCTCGGGTCACATTTTTTATTCATTCTTCTGTCAGTGTACACTTGGGTTGCTTCTACTTGGCTATTGTGAATAATGCTCCTGTGAACATGGGTGTACAAATATCTCTTCAAGACCCTAAAGGTGGAACTGCTGGACGATGTGGTAGCAGAGTAGCTATTTTAACCTTTTCATTATAAAGAAACCTTTTAAAAAATTTCTTTCATGGGTGCCATGAATTTATTGTCACTCTTACATAAATTTTAATTTATTATTACTCCTACATAAGTTACAATTGTTAATGTACTTTATCCCTGTTTTAATTAATCAAAGGTACATGTAACCCAATCAGATAAGTTCTAGATACTATTACCATGCTGTAATGATTATATGAGATACAGCCACTAATTAGTTTAATGCATTGATATAAAACAAAACAGCATAATATTTTCATTACAGTCTTCTTGTGGATAAATGTGATTTTTGAAATATTAAAAATAGCCAGTAGAAATAATAATAGCTAACATTTATGGGGTTTAATGTACAAAGTTCTATGAGTGTATTTCCTGATAATAACTCTTATTACAATCCTTACAACGACTCTTAACTTAGGTTCTGTAGTCCTGTTTTAAAGATCTGGAAATTTTAGGGCAGAGAGGGATTAAATAATTTGTCTAAAGTTTTCCACTTTGCAAGTGGCAAAGCGAAGATTTAAACTCATGCTCTCTGACTTCCAGAGTGCATTCTTACTCTCTCTCTTCCTGTTTTACTTTTGCAATTAGCTTTTTGAGGTATAATTTACTTACAATAAAATGCATCTGTTTTAAGTATATAGTGTAAAGCAAAAAGTATCTGAGAAAGGTTTCAGTCAATTTACAAGTTTATTTTGCCAAGGTTAAGGATCACAACCTGTGACAGAGCCTAAGGAAGTCCTGAGAACATGTGCCTAAGGTGGTTGGGTTACAGCTTGGTTTTATGTTTTAGGGAGACATTAGATGTCAATCAGTACATGTAAGGTATACATTGGTTCAGTCTAGAAAGGTGGGACAACTTGAAGTGGTGAGTAGGGGGCTACAGCTTACAGGTCATAGGTGGATTTAAAGATTTTCTGATTGGCAATTGGTTGAAAGAGTTAAGTTATTATTTAAATCCCTGGAATCAATAGCAATCAGTATCTGGGTTAAGATAAGGGTTTTTAGAGACCAAGGTTCTTATTATGTAGATGAAGTCTCATTGATGGCTGCCCTTAGAGGCAATAGATGGCAAATGTTTCCTATTCAGACCTCTAAAAGATGCTAGACTCTCAGCTACTCTCTTCAGGATCAGAAAACGAGCTGGAAAGGGAAGGGAATTCTCTATAGAATGTAAATTTCCTCTACAAGAGACAGCTTTGCAGGGCCATTTCAAATTATGTCAAAAAATATATTTTGGGTAAAGTACTTTGATTTGTTTCAGGGCCTTGCTATTTATCATGTGATGGTATGTTAGAGTCACGTTGGAATTTGGTATCTTGTTGCTACAAAAAGTCTGTTCTGTCAGTCTTAGGATCTCTATTTTTTAATGCTGGTCAATTGTGTGCCTGAACTCCAAAGAGTGTAATGAAGCATATCTGACCCCTCTCCCCACCCACCACCCCCATTCATCCCCCAACTTTACCCCCCAAACCCTGGCATAGGCTGAACTTTTTTTTTTGAGACTGAGTCTTGCTCTGTCGCGGAGGCTGGAGTGCAGTGGCACCACCTTGGCTCACTGCAACCTCTGCCTCCTGGGTTCAGATTATTCTCCTGCCTCAGCCTCCCAAGTAGCTGAGATTACGGGCATGTGCCACCACCCCCGCTAATTTTTATATTTTTAGTAGAGACAGTGTTTCACCATGTTGGCCAGGCTTGTCTCGAACTCCGGACCTCAGGTGATCTGCCTGCCTTGGGCTCTCAAAGTGCTGGGATTACAGGCGTGAGCCACCACACCCAGTCTTGAAGCAGCCATTTAATCC
Organism: Homo sapiens; assembly: GCF_000001405.40. Lineage (NCBI taxonomy): Eukaryota > Metazoa > Chordata > Mammalia > Primates > Hominidae > Homo > Homo sapiens. The sequence continues at coordinate 76,872,396 of NC_000011.10, forward strand.
CAAAACTATGCACTTAACTACCACACTACCCTGCCTTCCTCCCTTACCACTTTTTTAGACCCCAGTGAGTCCAGGGACTTTATGTTGGGAACTGGTGATCTAATGTTCTCATTTTACAAATAAGGAAAAAGACCTTAAGAAGTGGTCTGCCTAAGATTACATTGAAAATTAGTGGTGAAGCCTAGATCAGAATCCATGTTTAGTAGTTTCTCAGTCTGGAAAATGATGGAGCTGAGGAGGAGGATGTCATTATTGTTGATGTCATATTGTTAATGGGTTACCATATCACAGGACTTCTCCAAACAAAAAGTTTCTAATGAACTGTTTTATTATGGTGAAGATACCTAACATCTATGAAGTGCTTTACAACAATGGGCCTCAGACTTTAATGTGTATGTGGATTACCTGAGAATCTTGTAAAAACATATTCTGGTTTAGTAGATATGGAATGTGGCCTTAGAGTCTGCATTCCTTTTTTTCTTTTTCTTTTCTTTCTTTCTTTCTTTTTTCTTTTTCTTTTTTTTTTTTTTTTTTGAGACAGGGTCTCATGCTGTTGCCCAGGCTGAAGTTCAGTGGCATGATCATAGCTTACTGTAACCTCAAACTCCTGGGTTCAAGGGATCCTCCTGCCTCAGACTCCCGAATAGCTAGCACTACAAGTGTCTGCCACCATACCTGGTGATTTTTTTATTTTATTTTTTGTAGAGATGCAGGGAATCTCGCTATGTTGCCCAGGCTGGTCTCGAACTCCTGGCCTCAAGCGATCCTCCCAAAGTGTTGGGATTACGGGCATAAGCCACCACGCCTGGCTGAGTCTGCATTTCTTAAAAGCTATCAGGTGATTCCAGTGCTGCTGGTCTGGAGACTACACTTGGAGAAACAAGGCTTTAACATCCACAAAGTATTTTTATATCTTTTCTCAGTGTTATCTCTGTTTGTATGTAAGGAAAGTAAGTTCAAAAGGATAAGCAGTTTGTTAAGGATCACAGGGCTGGTACTGGAACCTGGGTTTCTAACTTTGCAAACCAAGTTAGGTGTTGATTACCCTGCACAGTAACAGTAGGCTGATAACCTGTATATGAAGGAAAGCTTGAAAAGGATCATTCTGGGTAATGAGTTAAGTTGAACTTTTTTATTTCAGAAACAATTTTCATCCTTATTTTCTCTTAGTACCTTTCCCAAGCTTAAATGAAATCACCTTTTAGTCTCAAGTCTGTAGTTAGCAGCTAGAGCTTAGTAGGTACTTGAAGGCTAAGTACATTTGGAAGTCTAATCTTAGTATTTGCTCAAGTATTCAAAGGTATTAACTGGGAAGAATTGTCATTTGGTAGCACATTTTGGAAGAAATGATTGATTTTTTTTTTTAAGTGGAACAGTAATTGTGGTGTGTGTATGTGTAAATAAGGACAGTACAATTCCTCAAACAGTAATTTGGGGAACATCACTGAGATAGAATACATAGTATAGTAAACATTTAAATGAAAGTCTTGTCCACTCCATTCTTGTTTCAGGTTAAGATTTTAAGTTGTTTTTTCAGTTTTTAGAATCTACCTTTGTTCCTTTGCCAGCTATTTCCAATAATGGGAAAAAACTCACCTGGAGAGTTTTAGGTAGTGCAGAATATTCAAAAGAAGTAAAGGCATGAAGAAACATTTTAAGACCCAGCAAAATGATAGATCCAAAAGGGACAGTAAAAGCATTTTATGGTTGCATGAAAGTCCTAGATATTTTATTTTGGGGAAAGTACATGGTATAATGGAACAGCTGGCCATTGGACTTGGAATCAGAATCAAGATTCCTATCTGGACTTCACTCTGTTGAGCCTGTGACTTTGGGCAAATCACTTAGCCTTATCAAATATCATTTTTCTCATTTTACAAAAACTGATAAAAAGAATGGTTATGAGATTTAAATGGCAGGATGCATGTGAAAACACACTGTGAAGTACCTGGCAAATATTAGGTACTTAATAAAGATGAGTTGAATTGGAATCTAATAAAAATAAGTTAAAAAAAAAAAACAAAACTAACCCATGCTGTATAACAGTTGTGGCTTCCTTACCTGTGGTGATTAGTTTTATTTGTGAACTCGGCTAGGCTATAATATCCACTTATTTAGTCAAACACTTATCTTGGTGTTGCTATGATGGTATTTAGTAAATGTGGTTAATATCTGTAATCAGTTGACTTTAGGTAAAGGAGATTACTCTCAATAACATGAATGGCCTCATCCAATCATTTAAAAGGCATTAAGTGCAAAAGCTAAGGTTTCCAGGATAAGAAATTCTGCCTTAAGTTTGCAGCATCAGCTCCTGCCTGAGTTTCTAGGGTGTGGGAGGTGGGGACGGGGGCAGTTAAAGCTTTATTTTGGGAGGTCTACTTGATTCCTTACTTTGGTGGACTTTCCATTTCTCCTTTTCTCCCTCCCTTCTTTCTTCTTTGATTTGTTTTTAAATTCAGGATTTTTAGATGTTTTCTGTGGGAGGTTCAATTAGATTATCTATATGTCACATATCCTTAAGCTGATGCTTTTGCACATGCTGTTGGCTTGTCGTTTGTCATTTGTAACTGCATTCTCTGAGTCAGTGGATATCTCTTTAAATCTTGACTGATTACTTCTTAGAGAATTAGGTGCTTTTTCTGTTTCCCTTTGAGGACTTTCTATTGACTAAAGCATAAAGACCAAATTCTAACATGGCATGAAAAGCACTTCTTTTTTTTTTTTTTTTTTTTTTTTTTAGATGGAATCTCACTCTGTTGCCAGGCTGGAGTGCAGTGGTGAGATCTTGGCTCAGTGCAACCTCCACCTCCTGGGTTCAAGTGATTCTTGTGCCTCAGCCTCCCTAGTAGCTGGGATTACAGGCGCAGGCCACTACACCGGGCTAATTTTCGTATTTTTAGTAGAGATGGGGTTTCACTATGTTGGCCAGACTGGTCTCGATCTCCTTACCTCGTGATCCATCCACCTCAGCCTCCCAAAGTGCTGGGATTACATAAAGGCGTGAGCCACCGCGCCCGGCCAACATTTCATTTTTTTAAGATGAAATTTTTATGCATACAACAAAGTTGGAAGAATTCTTCAGTGAATATCCATTCACCCACTATCTCAATTCTACCATTAACATTTTATTACACTTGTTTTTATCACATACCGATTCATTTTTCCATTCCTTTCTCCATCCATCAGTTCATTTTATTTTTTGATACATTTCGAAGTAAACTGCAGACATCTGTTTGCTTTCCTCTAAATACTAAAGCATATCATTAAAGTTTAATTCCTTGTTTTTTTTTTCTTTTGATGTAAAATTTACATTCAATGTAATACACAGTTTTTGTTGTTTTTTTTTTTTTTTTTTTTTTTTGTGGAGTCTCACTGTGTTGCCGAGGCTGGAGTGCAGTGGCATGATCTCAGCTCACTGCAACCTCCCCGTCCCAGGTTCAAACGATTCTCCTGCCTCAGCTTCCCAAGTAGCTGGGATTATAGGAGAGCACCACCACACCCGGCTAATTTTTGTATTATTAGTAGAGACAGGGGATTACAGGCACGTGCCACCACACCCAGTTAATTTTTTCATTTTTTTGTAGAGACATGGTTTCACCATATTGGCCAGGATGGTCTTGAACTCCTGACCTCAGGTGATCCACCCACCTCAGCCTCCCAAAGTGCTGGGATTACAGGCATGAGCCACCACGCCCAGCCTGTAATACACAAATCTTAAGTTATTTTTGCTGGATTTTGAGAAATGCATACACCTATGTAACAACCTCTATCAAGATGTGGAACTTTACCATCAGCCAGGAAAGTTCCCTCATGCCCCTTCTCTGTTAATCCCCACCTCCATCTTACCCCTTCTTTCCAGCACAACCACTGTTCTGATTTTTTTTTTTTCCCTACCATAGATTAGGTTTGCCTGTTCTAGAACTGCATAGAAATGGACTTGTCTAGTATTTACTATTTCGGGTAAGGCTTCTTTTGTTCAGCATGTTTTTGAGATTCATCCATATTGCTATGTGGTAGGATTCCACTGTATGAATATACCAGTTTATTAACCCATTTTCCTGTTGATGGACACATGGCTGTTTTTAGGTGTGGACAATTATAAGTAAAGCTGCTATAAACATTCTTGGGCAGATCATTTTGTGGATATATATTTTCGTTTCTCATAGGTAAATGCTTAGGATTGGAATAATTGGGTCATAGAGTATGTGTATGTTTAGTTTTATTAGATACTGCTAGACCTTTTCCCAAAGTGGTTGTACCATTTTACACACAGAGCATTTGATCCACATCCTTGTCAACATTTAGTGTCAATTTTTCAAATTTTAGTCATTCTGGTGGATGTGTGGTTGTATCTCATTGTGCTATCCAGTTTATTTTTAACTCTTGTCTTCTTTCGTTTCCTTGCCCTACTTACATTTCAGTCTTGCCAAAACAAGCTATTTACATATACATTAATACCCTGTGCACTTTTTATTGTTCATATTGTTCCCATGAGAGGTAATAATAAATTTGTTTTAAAATCATGAAGTTTGTGATGGTTATTCAGCAATAAATAACTGAAAACTGTGTCTGAAGTTGAGTTTTGAGAAATTTTGATTTTCTGTTGTGAAAACTCAGAGTATGTCATATTATACCATGCCTTTTATTCTTAGAAGATGAGACTAAAGAATAAAGATTAGTACTTTTATAAGCCCATCTGAAGATTTCAAAAAATTTTATAAGCATCATTTTATTTATACCTGCAATGTACTCAAGACTCCAAAGAGTTATTTTACCCAATGAAAGCAAGTAAGTACCTCAGGGTTGAAATAATTCAGTTTTGAAGCTGGAAAAAAAATCTTTGACTCATCATAGGTGTAGACTCTCGCTCTAACATATGTTCTTTAACTTTTCAGAGCATGCAGCTTTTAACAGCAAGTAGAAGGACTGGCTAGAGTCAGAACTCCAAAACTATGCATGTTAAAATCTTGATGCTGCTATAAAAGCTGTGTTTTTATGATCTTCACTCACTTATTCATTTATACAAAATGATAAGGAGAGATTCTAGATAAGATACTTTTCCTGAAATGAAACATTATGGTTTCTAAGCTATTTCACCTTCTGAGTAGCAATTTTTCCTTTTTTTCCCCCCCATTTCTTTTTTTAAGCAGATATGAGGGCAATCTGTCTTTGTCTCCTGAAATCCCATTGATCACTAGAGTTGATCTAATTAATCTTGTCAATCAGATGGCTGTTTTGTGTTCAGAAAGTCCAACCTAAAGGTTGACAAATGAAGAGAATTATGACCTTGATAAAGGAGGACAGTCCTTTGGTTAAGAGCAGTCATCATTGAAGAAACATTTAGCACCCTCTGTGTCCTTCCCTGATCCCATCTTCTTCCTTTTCCTCTGGAGATAACCAGTATACTTAATTTAGTGTTTATCATTTCCTAGCTTTTACCACTTTGCATTCCTAAAAATAAACTGTTCAGGTTTGCTTGTTTTATATTTTATATAAGTGGAATTGTACTATATGTACATTCTTCCACAGCTTGCTTTTTTTTTTTAAACACAAATTGTGCTTATTAGTATCATTCATGCTCCTGAGAATTGACTGTGTTGATGGATGTAGATATAATTCATTTATTTTTGCTGTTGTTTAGAATTCCACTGTATGAATACATTCATTTATCCATTCTTTAATCATTGGACATTTTGTTGTTTCCAGGTTTTTGCTGTTACAGATAAGGCTGCTGTGAACATTCTTGTGCATCTTCTGGTACACAGAAATGTAAGGGTTTCTGTGTATACTTAGGAGTGTAATTGTTAGAATATAGGTCATGCTCATATTCAACTTTAACTATTAGGTTGGTGCAAAAGTAATTGCGGTTTTTGCCATTACTTTCAATGGCAAAACCCTCAATTACTTTTGCAATGACCTAATAGAAATTCTCGAATTTTTTGGTCTCATGACCCCTTTACACATTTAAAAATTATTGAAGACCCCAAAGAGCTCTGTGAGTTAAATCTATTGGTATTTACTGTATTAGAAGTTAAAACTGAAAAAAGTTAAATCTTTATTAATCCATTTAAGATTCGTATTTTTGAGAAATGAGATTTTTCTATGTGTTGTATCAGTAGTATGTTTCTTTTGATTGCTGAGTGGTATCCCACTGTATGAATGTAATAGTTTATCTGTTTTCCTATTGACAGATACCTGGGCTGTTCCCAGTTTTTGGCTATTATGCATGAAGTTGAACATTCTTATACAAGTCTTTTTGTGAATGTATATTTTCATTTTTCTTGAATAAATATCTAGGATTGGAATTGCCAGGTTAGGGTTGGTTTATGTTTAGTTTTCTAAGAGCCTGTAAGACTTTTTCTCCACAGTGATGTATCATTTTTCATTCTCATCATGGAAGTTTTAGGTGCTCCACATCCCCAACAATGTTTGGTGTTATCATGCTTCTTAATTTTATCCATTCTGGAGTGTGTGTAGTGGTATCTCATTGTAATTTTAATTAGCATTTACCTGATGTCTGAGGATGTTGAGCATATTTTCTTGTGCTTCTTGGTCATCTGTATATCTTCTTTTGTGAAGTATCTTTTCAAATCTTTTGCCCATTTAAAAAAATTGGATTGTCTTTTTATCATTGAGTAATAGGGGCTCCTTTCATATCCAGAATATAAGTCCATTTGCCAAATGGATGTTTTGTGACTGTTTTCTCCCTGTCTCCCTACTTCATTTTTTAAAGGTGTTTTTTTGATGAGAAGTAGTACATTTTGATGAAGTCTAATTGATCAGCTTTTTCTCTTATGGTTATTGCTTTTCATAGCTTGTCTATTACCATATTTTCTTCTGGAAGCTTTATAGTTAATTGCTTTATATTCAGGTCTATATCCATCTCAGATTTATTGTCACATATGGTGTAAGGTAGGGATTGAAGTTTATTTTTTCCTAATAGGCATATCCAGTTATTTTAGCATCATTTAATCATGTAATCTTCAAATAGAAGTTTCACTTCTTTCTTTCCAATCTTTATGCATTTTATTTCTTTTGCTTGTGCTATTGCACTGGCTAGGACCTCCAGGGCAATGTTGAGTAGAAATGACATCATGAGTGAACATCCTTGCCTTTTCTTGACCTAAAAAGCAAAGAATTCAATATTTCATTATTAGGTATAATGTTAGCTATAGGTCTTTTGCAGATATCCTGTATTTGATTGAGGAAGTTCTTTACTTGTTGAGTTTTATCATGAATAGGTGTTGGGTTTGTCAAATATTATTCTATATCAAAGTGATCATGTGATTTTATCCTTTCTGTTAATATGACTGATTAATTGATTGCTTTTTGAATGTTGGATAAACTTTGTTTCGCTGGCCCACTTGAACATGGTATATTATCCTTTTTATGTGTTGCTGGATTTGATTTGCTTGTATTTTTGGCAGGATTGATTTTTGCCAGGATTTTTGCATCTTTGTTCATAAGAGATTTTTTTTGACGTTTGTTTTTTGTTAGGTTTCTTGCTTCAGGTTTTTAAGTTGTGTTTTTCAAGGAAATTTGTTCATTTCCTCTAAATTGTAGAATATATTGGCATAAAATTATTTCTAATATTTCCTTATTGCTTTTTTAATGTCTGTGGAATCTGGGGGTAACTCTGTTCTTTCATTCCTGAAATCAGTAATTTGTATATTCTCTCTTTTTTGATGATTAATCATCCTAATGGTTTATTCGATTTTATTATGTCAGAGGAACAACTTTTGGCTTTGTTAATTTTCTCTATTCTTATTCTATTGTTTATTTTTTCCTTCTACTTATTTTTATTTAACGTATTCCTTTTTTAGTTTCATGAGACGGAAGCTTAAAACACTGATTTTAGATCTTTCTTTGTTAATAGAAGCATTTAAAGTTGTAAATTTTCCTCTTGGCACACAAACTGTTTTTCCTCTGTGCTCACAACACAATCAACACAGAAGATTTCTGTGACCAGATGTGTGGGGATTTCTCCCCACCAACAGACAAGCAATCAGTTTTGCAGTGGACACTAGCTGGGTATCTTTCAATTCAATTCTGACACTGTCTACTTGGTAGCATCAGATCCCACAGGTTGAGGGCTCAGTCCCACAAGACCGTCCTCCACTTCCCATGCCAGTCGGAAGCCCCATGTTGTTTTACTTGTGTTTCTGACTAACCTGCTATAAATAGGATCAGATTCAGATTCTTCTTGGCTTCTCTGTGCAGCATTCCTTCCTCCAGGGCATGGGATGGGGCCCCTTCTGAAATGGGGGTCTTGTGATCTACAATCAGATATAGTAGCAGAGAATTTCTTTATGTCCAGCTTTGAGACAGAAAGGTGAGGGAAGATTAGAGTATATTTTTTAGTTTATATGGCCTGCCATGGGGAGAAATAGCAAGGACTGTGGGAGTTATAAACCAGGAACTGTGGATGAAAACATATATATATATTATGTATGTATACTATCACAGCACTCCCTAAGCTTATTGTGCTGGTATTTGGAGGTGGGGGCTTTGAGACATAATTAGTTCATGAGGGTCTACCCTTATGACTGGGATTAGTGCCCTTGTAAGAAGATGCCAGGGTGGGGTATGGTGGCTCACACCTATAATACCAGCAGTTTGGGAGAGTGAGGTAGGCGGATTGTTTGAGCCCAGGAGTGCGAGACCAGCCTGGGCAATATGGTGAAACTCATCTCTACAAAAATAAAAGAAATTAGCCCCGCATGGTGGTGCACACCTGTAGTCCCAGCTGCTTGGGAGGCTGAGATGGAAGGATTGCTTGAACCTGGGAGGTCAATGCTGCAGTGAGGTATGATTGCACCACTGCACTCCGGCCTGGATGACAGAGTAAGATAATGTCTCAAAAAAAAAAAAAAAAAGTAGAATTCCCAAGCAGATAACAATTTAAATGTTATTAACAGGGCAACAAATTATCAGGTTTATCTTTGGTTTATATGGTTTGGTTTGGGTCTATCATTTTATTATTGTAATTATACTAGCTTTTTTTTTGTTCTTCTGCATTTTAACAAATTATTTGAATATTATTTTAGAATTAAAATATTTTACTATTGCCTTTTTAGCCATTCTTCTTTGCATTATTTATTTAGTGGTTACTCTAGGGATTACAATACATGTCTTTAACTTTTCACAGCCCACTTCATGGACCACTTCATGAAAAATGTAGAAGCTTGCACAATAAGGCAACTATATAGGCTCATATCCTACCTACCTTGTTCTTTATGCTATAGTTATTATATGTATTACATTTATGTTATAAACCTCCAAATATCAGCATATTAAAAGTAAACAAGTTATAAATAAGTTAAAAGAAAAAGGAAACATACTGTCTTTTGTAGCTTACCATTTCTGATGCTCTTCACCGTTGTCTGAGGATATACATTTCCCTCTGGTATCATTTTCCTTCAGCAAGTTGAGCTTCTCATATCTATAAATTTCTATATTTCATTACATTTTGAAAACTTTGATCGTTATGTATTCAAATTTTTTTCTGCTTCATTCTCTCTCTCTTCTATCCTTTGGCTCCAATTACAGATATATTGCATAGTTTATAGGTTCATTAGGATCTGTTTAGGATTATTTTGTAAAAAATCTTTTTTTTTTTTTTTTTTTGAGATGGAGTCTCGCTCTGTTGTTCAGGCTGGAGTGCAGTGGCGCGATCTTGGCTCACTGCAAGCTCCACCTCCCGAGTTCATGCCATTCTCCTGCCTCAGCCTCCCGAGTAGCTGGGACTACAGGCGCCCGCCACCACGCCCGGCTAATTTTTTTGTATTTTTAGTAGAGATGGGGTTTCACCGTGTTAGCCAGGATGGTCTCGATCTCCTGACCTCGTAATCTGCCCGCGTCAACTGCCAAAGTGTTGGGATTACAGGCTTGAGCCATTGTGCCCGGCCCAAAATCTTTTTTTCTCTCTCTGTGCATATACATGTTGGGTAGTTTTGATTGACCTATCTTTATGTTGACTTAGTTTTTTCTCTGTCATCTATTTGTCTGTTAGGTCCATCTGGTGAATAATTTATTTCAGATATTGTATTTTCAGTTGTAGAGTGTCCACTTAGTTCTTCTTTATTATTTCTGTCTTTCTCCAGAGATTTCCTATCTTTTTTCATTATTGTTAGCATATTTTATCTTAATTCCTTGAGGCTAGTTATAGCGATTTATTTAACATCCTTGTCTGCTTTCTCTAACATCTAGATGATCTTGGGATCAGTCTCAATTGATATTCTTTTCTCGTTAGAATAAGAACCATTTTCCTGGTTCTTCATATGTTAGGTAATTTTAGACTTTATTCTGAACATAAAGAATGTTAAATTGTGGAGATTCAGGTATCTTTGTTTCTTATGAGTGTTGTTTCTGTTGTTTTAACTGGCATTTAGTTATCTTGACTGACTTGACTTGAACTGTATGTACACTCTTGTTTCTTGACCAGCATCTCATTTGTCTTTAGCTGAACTTCTTTCAACCTGTTATATGCACGTGTGGTTCATGGTTCAATCAGAGACATGGGCAGACAGAATTTAGGGATCCCTTCTTTGTTTTCCCTTTCGAGATTCCTCAGTTCTCTTCAGTGCCATATTTTTTTTTTCTGGCTTCAGTGTTCTGGTTCCCCAGACCAGCAAGCCTGTGGTGTTACCTTTCACTGTTTCTTATGTACTGTGTCAGCTGCACTTATCCCAAGGCTAAAAGCTGTGAAAATGGGAATTTACTTTGTACAGCTCCCCTTCTTGAAATGTGTACCCTGCATTAGAATTTGTCTGCTTCTTACACTCCGGTGCTTCCAGATAATCTCTTTTTGTATTATCCTGGATTTTACCGTATTTTTCTGAGGGGGAATTAGCTATTAGGGCCTTATTTTGTCATTGCTAGAAGCAGAAGTTTATATGGACCTTTTTACTATGTTCCATTTCTCTCCCCATTATGTCCATGTTTTCTTTAGATTCTTGAACATACTTGTAATAGGTGATCTAAAATCTTTGTCAGTTTCATCACTGTCATTTTGGCGTTGCTTCTTTTGAATGATTTTCTTGCTTTTTTTTTTTTTTTTTTTTGAGACAGAGTCTCACTCTGTCGCCCAGGCTGGAATGCAGTAGCACGATCTCAGCTCACTGCAACCTCCGCCCTCTGGGTTCAAGTAATTCTCCTGCCTCACTCAGCCTCCCTAATAGCTGGGATTACAGGTGTGTGCTACCACGCTTGGCTAATTTTCATATTTTTAGTAGAGACGGAGTTTCGCCATGTTGGCCAGGCTGATCTCGAATTCCTGACCTCAAGTGATCCACCCACCTCGGCCCCAAAGTGCTGGGATTACAGGTGTGAGCCACTGTGCCCAGCCGATTTTCTTGCTTTTTAACTTGTTTAGCAATTTCTGTTTGGATGCCAGACATGGTAATGGGATATTGTTGAGTGAATAGATTTTGTTGTCTTCTCTTAAAGTGTATTGGATTTTGTTCTGGCCAGCAGTTAGATTCTGATCAGTTGATCCCTTTCAAGGTTTGTTTTAAAGCATATTTTGGGAGTAGTTCTAGAGTTGTTGTCTTTATTCTTTTGCTAGTTTTGCTTCATTACCAAAATGTTCTAGGATCTCTACTGGATACTCTAAGTGTTCAGCATGATCACTGTTCTCTCTAGTCACAATGTGAAGGTCTCAAACCCTGTGTGTTATGGTAGTTGTTTGGTTTACAGCTCTATAGTAGTTATTTCTTCCCCTATTAGTTCTTTTCTCAGCCTAAGAGACTGTGAGCATGTGCAGTTTTTTATTCGGCGGTAGACTCAAAGATTCCTTGCAAATTTTGGGAGCTCTTTCTCTGCAAGACTGCTGTGCTATGCTTGGATTTTTTTTTTCCTTGCACCAAAGTCTAGAAATACTTCCTCCAGAAAGCTGAGTTTACCTCATTTATTTCCCTTTTCTCAGAGATCACATTGCTCTGCTACCTAGTTGTTCAATGCCTGAAAAGAATTTTTTCATAGCATTTGCCCTCTTTTATGCTTGTTAACTGCAAGGGAAAATCCAGTCCCAAGTTACTCCATTATGGCTAACAGTAAAAGTCCCCCAAATCATTGTAGTGTTCTTATGTTCATTAGTTTTAATATCTATTGGATCAAGCCCATTGTGATGTTAAAGTCTTCTGTAACTCTGCTGATTTGTACAGGGGGAGCATGTGAAGGTTGCTTCATCTATTAAACATTAAGATAGGTGTATTAAAATCTTCTACCATGTTGGTGGATTTGTTTATTTTCTTCATTATTATTCTGTTAGTTTTTGCTTTAAGTATTTTGAGGCTATGTAATTTAGTGCAAATATGTTTAGGATTATGATGTCTTCCAGGTGAATTGGATTCTTATTTTTCATTTTTCTTTTTTAATTTTTTTTTGAGACAGGGTCTCACTCTGTTGTCCAGGCTGGAGGGCAATGGCACAATCATAGTTCACTGCAGCCTTGACTTCCTGGGCTCAGCTGATCCTCCCACCTCAGCCTCTGGGATAGCTAGGACTACAGGCATGTGCCACCATGCCCAGCTAATTTTTTTGTATTTTTAGTACAGATGGGGTTTTGCCATGTTGCCCAGGCTGTCTCAAACTCCTGGGCTCAAGTAATCAATCCACCTGCCTTGGCCTCCCAAAGTGCTAGGATTATAGGTGTGAGCCACAAAGCCCAGCCAGATCCTTCTTTTTCTAATGCTTTTTGTTTTAAAGTTCTTTTGGTTTGAAGTATTTATTATCGTTTTTTATTCTTTACTTACAACCTTTCTGCATTCTTATATGTTATTTGCATGTACTATATGCTAGGCACTTAATTTAAAGGTGCCTGGGATTTGTTTTAATCAGGTTTGTTTAGACACAGAGACACAGAAATGACTGTCATGAAGGAAGAAGTTTTTTTTTTAAATTTTACTGTAAGTTCTGGGATACATGTGCAGAACATGCAGGTTTATTACATAGATGTGCATATGCCATGCTGGTTTGCTGCACCCATCAACCCATCATCTAGGTTTTAAGCCCCGCATGCCTTAGGTATTTGTCCTAATGCTCTCCCTCCCCTTGCCCAGGAAGAAGTTTTTATACTCAGTTTCCTAGAAACAGGATGAATAACACCATGTAGGGCCACTTGGGAAAGCACCAGGGTCAGTCGGGGGGCAGAGGAAGTGGGGAGAAACATGGGCATACAGCTTTATTCCTTCCTGCAGGAAGGAACAGGCAAGGCATTATGAGTCAGCTTAGGCTTGGCTAGTTTTGAGTAATTTCAGTGGGCGCTGGGATGTAGGGGCTGCCACTAGTTGTATGGTACGTGACCCTGGGGTAATTTGGGTAGGGGAATAGTAGCCTAGCATGTAAGAGTCTGATAAATGAGGTAGTTGGGACTATGGGCTCCGGATTGTTTGGTTTGCATATGGAAGGTGCACTCCTTTGCTATCTGGCTAGCTCTGGGAGGAGCAATTCCACCAGGGTAAGCAAGGCCCCAGATGCCAAAGCGTAAAATACAGAAGCCAGAAAACGTGGTTATCATAGCACTGTTCTAGGTACTTGTTCATAATGGCAGTGAGGAAAGCAGATAAGAAAGCCGTTGTCGTGAGCATGCATTCTAATGAGAGAAGATGACAAATAAACAATTAACCAAGTATATAAGTGTTTTCTAATTGTGATAAATGCTGTAAATAAAACTAGGTAATATAATAGAGAATGGCTGGAGGACTTCTTTAGATAGGGTAGTTAAGGAAGGCTTCTCTGAGTTGGTGGCATCTGGCATAAGCCCTGAAGAATGAGATGGCGCATGTGGTAATCTGGGGTAATGATGTTCCAGGCAGTACTGCAAATGGCCCTGTGGCTGGAATAGACTTGGTTTGGTCTAGGAACTTTGGGAAGATTAGTGTTTTGGAATGATGGGCAAGAAGGCAAGTAATTAGAAGAGATAGGCAGGGGTTGATTGTGTTAGCCTTGTAGACCATGGTAAAGAGATTGGCTTTTATTTTATTTGCAGTTGAAAGCCTTTGGAGTGTTTTCAGCCAGGAGAGTAAACTTTTTATACTCAGTTCAGAACAAGTCAGGTAGAAATACCATTGACAGTATAACACTTAGGAGATACGTTAGCATGTTACAATTATATGATTGAAAAGGAAGATGTTGTTAAATTGGAAACGTTTTCATGAAACAAATGGCTGCAAAGGAGGATTTTGATCATAGTGGGAGACTAGGATTGATGAAGAATGAGAATGGAATTTCAAAGGAGAGAAATCATACAAAGCATGCCTAGGTACTCAAGGTACTATGGGGGTTTTGCTGTTATTGTTTTTGAGACAGAGCCTGACTCTGTGGCCCAGGCTGGAGTGCAGTGGTGCCATCTTGGCTCACTGCAACCTCTGCCTCCTTGGTTCAAGCGATTCTTTTGCCTCAGCCTCCCAAGTAGCTGGAATTACAAGTGTGCGCTACACCTGGCTAATTTTTGTATTTTTTGTAGAGACGGGGTTTTGGCATGTTGCCCAGGCTGGTTTTGAACTCCTGAACTCAAGCAATCCTCCCGCCTTGGCCTCCCAAAGTGCTGGGATTACAGGCGTGAGCCATACCACCATGGGTTTAAGAACTTACTGTCGAGAACAATATATAAAGTTTAAGAATGACCAAAATAAATGATGAGAAAAAATAGATATAGAATAGCTATAAATCCTGCCTGGGCAACATAGTGAAACCCTGTCTCTACAAAAAAAATACAAAAATTAGCTGGGTGCATGCCTGTAGTCCTAGCTACTTGGGAGGCTGAGGTAGGAAGGTCGCTTGGGAGGTTGAGGCTGCAGTGAGCCATGATCATAGTCACTGCATTCCAGCTTGGGTAACAGAGCAAGACCCTGTCTCCAAATATATGTGTATGTCAGATAAGGCTTTTTGTCTTTAACTTTCTAGAAAATATTTTCAGTCAGAGATTGGGAGACTAAAGATAGATTGGTTTTAAGGGAGGTAAAGTTATAAGAGTAGGTGATGAGAAAGCAAAGGAGAACTCAAAGAGAGACTGCTTGAAGTAAATTTATATGCCTTGCATTAGATGGATCAAGAAAATGATCTTCATAAAGAAAATCATAATTGGTAGCTATCATTTTTAAAAGTATATAGTTTTTCAAATATATATATTTAAAACATTAAGAAAAGACATTGTTATAAAATATTTGTATAAAATATTTGTCCTGCTAATGTAATAGGATTGTTGTGAAGGTCAAATGAGGAAATTAATACAAATTGATTTTGTATTTCAAACCTTACTTAGAAAAGTGCTACCATTCAGAAGGGTACATATGAGTTTTTATGATGCCCACACATGTGCATAAATTGCATAAAACTTCTCTTACATATCTAGACATTACCATAACTAATTGAAGCTGTTTTGGAGTCTGTGGATGTTAATTACTATAGGTAACTTTTTTTTTTTTTTTTTTTTTTTTGGAGATAGGGCCTCACTCTGTTGTCCAGGCTGGAGTGCAGTTGCACGATCACAGTTCACTGCAGCCTCGACCTCCCAGACTCAAGCCATCTTCCTGCCTCAGCCTCCAAGTAGCTGGGACTACAGGTGCATGCCACCACACCTGGCTAGTTTTTGTATCTTCTGTAGAGATGGGGTTTTGCCATGTTGCCCAGGCCGGTCTTGGCAGCTCCTGGACTCAAGTGATCCACCCACCTCAGCCTCCCAAAGTGCTGGAATTATAGCCTGACTTGCTTATTATTGCCCTCTGTTAGGAGAGCCTTTTTAGGTTATATGTATGGTAAGCATGCTGTATAGCTATATTCATGAATTGCTCTACCAGCTGTGAAACTGGTATAAAGCTGTTGTGTATAATCAATAAATAAATGATTTGTTTTTTAAGATGCTAGACAAAACATGGCATTAATTTAAAAAAGATCTGAAATTTAAGCTATATATTGAATGTATTCCTTAAAATCTATTCTGTTTCTTTTGCCTGGCATATTTTTTCCCCAGTCTCTTACTTTCAGTAATTATATTACCAGATATTTATATATGGGAATACACACATTTATAATCTCACAGTTTCTGTGGGTTAGGAGTCTGAATCCAGTTTGGCTGAGTCCTTTGTTTATGATCTCACAGGGCTGCAATCAAGGTGTTAGCTGGGTCTCATCTGAAGCTGAACTGTGGAAGAATCTATTAGCAGAATTCAGTTTTCTGTGGTTATAGGACTGAGAGGCTTCAGTTTCTTGTTGGCTTTTGGATGGAAGCTGCCCTTGGCTCCTGGAGGCTGCCCTTCACATATGGGACTACCAAAATAGGCAGACCACAACATAGTAGCTTGCTTCTTCAAAGCCAGCAAGGGAATGAGAGACTTCAGCAAGATGGGTGCTACAGTCTTAGGTAATGTCATCACATACACATGATCATGTATCTCTTGTCACCTTGCCTTATTCTCTTGGTTAGCAGCAAGTCACAGTTTCTGCTTATACACTAAAGGAGGGAGTTACACAAGGCTATGGATACCAGGAGATAGGGATCTGGGGGCCACTTTAGATATCTGTGTTTCACATACCTTATTTTTATATTTCCAAGTGAAGTAATTATTGTTTTCTTTTTACTTTTTACCCTGTAACCAGGTCAATAAAGGCCAGTGGTCTTCTTGTTCCTTCGTGCTAGTGGGTGTTTACTTTTCTATTTCATCTAGCTATTAAGTAGCCCCACAAGCATCTCAGCTCTATATAGATGATCTCAGATCCATTTCCTATCCTTGTGTGGTCCAAGGCCTCATCTCTCATTCCTGTGTGAGCACTGAAACCCAACCTCCTATGGTACTGAGATAAGCAACTCACTGCCTTATCTCTTACCCTCTGAAGGGCAGTCATAACTGAGGTATTACTGTATTAGTTTTCAGTTGCCTCTTGGTTTTTTTTTTCCTTTTAAGAAGTACTTTGAGTTTTTTTTGGAGCCCAGCAGTGCATTTAAAAATATTATGTGTTAAATTTTTACAACTCATCTAGGTATTTGTAATGAGAGAATTTTAGGGTTTTCTGTCACATTGCTTAATAGCTATTTCTTTGTTTTCTTTTAGCCAAGGGTTTATTTCAGTACTGGAAATACTAAATGCTATATACACATATGTGTACTTACAAACATATAAGTGCATCAGATGATCAGTATTAGCACACATGGAAATATAGAGTTGAGAAGTATAGCATATGAAGACTTTCACAATCTGCCCTTTGACTCCCTCTCTAATGGCCTTTCTAAACACTTGCACTTTTGTATGGTACTGCTTTTGTATTCCTGAACACAGAATGCAGCTCATAGTTTCATGTATTTGCATACATTATTGTCTTTGTCTGGAATGTTCTGCTTTATGCCTCCCATCTCTCTTTATTTTGTTAATTCAGCCTTATTTCTTTTTCCTTCTAAATTTACTTTTTTGTATGTTTAATTATTCTATTTTTCATTTCTAGGGGTATTGTTTCTTTTTTTCAAATCTGCCTGGCCATTTTTGTTATTTTTTCTTTCTTGGTTATTTTTTCTTGCTATCTTATATTTCTTTAAATATTTTAAAAACACTTAACAATATTTCGTATTCAATAATTTCAGTATATTTCATTTTTGCTTGTCTAATTCTGTTGCTTATTGTTTTGCTGATTTTCTTTTATGGCTGCATGTTTCCTCATGTATTCTTGTGATTTTTTACCATTAATTCATTGTTTTGGAGATTTGAGAAATCTTTGAGACCATCTTGGATTGTAAAGTCTATGAGGGGAGGGCCCCTGTGGTTTTGTTCATTGCTGTATCCCAGGGCTTATTACAGTGTCTAGTACATGAGACTCTCAATAAATATTTATTGGATGAATAAATTACATGCCCACACCTTACAGACATAACTATAATTATTTATATATATGTTCATTTTCTCTACTGTATTGATAATACCTCAAGTTAGAGAACTTTTTGGCTTTAACGCTGTATCCCCAGCATTTAGCGCAGAGTCTAATATAGATTAAGTTCTCAGTAAATATTTGTTGAATGAATGAGGAATTGCTTGGCATATTCTGCCCAATGAAATCTTCAGAATAAGTAAGACTTATTTTGCCTGTTTTTCATTATAAAGTCATTTTAATGAAATGGAGGATACTAGAGAAATGATGAATCAGCTCACATAACTAGTGCGCATATTGTTCATGATAGATTAAAGCAGAACCATTTTCCAGACTGAACTCCAAAATCTTCAGTGTCACTGAAGGCTAATCACATTAACTATTCCTGTACTTACAGATTTCAAGGCATAGTGAGTATACAAAATGTTAATCCAGTAAATATGTACCAAACATCTACTATATGTATATTAGTTTGCAAGTTATGTGATATATTTTTTTCCCAGTATGTTATATGCTAACTAAGGTATAAGCTTAAAAATGTGAAAAGGATAAATAGAACACAAGATAAATGATCTATTATAGTAATCACCGGGTGCGGTGGCTCACTCCTGTAATCCTAGCACTTTGGGAGGCTGAGGCAGGCGGATCACCTGAGGTCAGGAGTTCGAGACCCGTGGCCAATATGACAAAACCCTGTCTCTACCAAAAAATACAAAAATTAGCCAGGCATGGTGGCACGTGCCTGTAGTTTCAGCTACTCTGGAGGCTGAGGCACGAGAATCGCTTGAACCCAGGAGGTGGAGGTTACAGTGAGCTGAGACTGCACCACTGCACTCCAGCCTGGGTGATAGAGCAAGACTGTCTAAAAAAAAAAAATTATTACATAATAAAAGAATTGTCTTAAAACAGTATCATTTCTTTAATCATATAGAATACAAATGAATGAATTTTATAGAGGTTCAGAGGAATCCAGTATTGTGATATTTTATATATATAATATATATATAATATATATATATATGTTTTCATCCACGGTTCCTGGCTCATAATTTTCATAACCCTTATTATAGTCTTTTGTTGTAATGTTGGGACACTGTAGGCCTCAGAATCAGGCCTCAGGAAACAGAATCTCTCTCTCTCATCTTCTGCTGCCCTCCTTTCACCTGACCAAGGCAGGACTCTAATCTGATTGTGAGTCATCTGGCTGTTTATTTGAATCCTTTAAAATATCCTTTGTAATAAACTGATAAACACAAATAAGTGTTTCTCTGAGTTATGTGAGCCATTATAGCAAATTAATTGAACCCAAAGAGGGGGTTGGAGGAACCCCAACTTGAAGCCAGTTGGTCAGACAGTCTAAAGGTCTAGACTTGTTACTGATGAAAAGAGGAGGCTCCCTTGTGGGACCAAGCCCTCAACCTGTGGTTTCTGAGGCTATCTCCAATTAGATAGCTTCAGAATTAAATTGATTTGGAGAACACCCAGCTGGTGTCTGCTGTAGAATTGATTGCTTGCCTGGTTTGTGGGAGAAACCCCCACATATTTGGTCACAGAAGTCTTCTGTGCTAATGATAGTTGTGGAGTGATTAAAATAGGAAAAAGCACATCGAGTGTTGTTTTGTTCACACTTACAAGTTATAGTTGCCAGAATTATATAGTTGGATTGCCTCTTAACAATTAGTATAGACTAACACTCATGATTGTATTTCTTCTGTTTTCTTTCTTTTCCTTTGCTTTTTCAGCATGAAGGTTGTATTTCTTGTTTTCTTTTTTGTCCTTTGCTTTTTCAGCATAAACAATACAGCTTCTTGTTAAAGGGATATAACACAAGATTGAATCCAGATATTCCCATTTAGGAGCTATAATATACTGGAAAAATTTCTTAACCTCGTTGGGCCTCAAGTGTTCTAATATGTAGAATGAGAATGATATCACCCATTTTATAAGGTGATATTTTATATCAAAAGATGTTATGTAAATAAAGTCACTAGTATGGTTATAGGAATATAAACTCAATAGGTCTTGGTTCCCTTCTGCTTTATTCTTTCTTTCATTATCTACCCTGTGTTTTTTCCACTTTCATTCTCTTTATTTTTAAAAAATAAAAACCAGGTTTTAAAATAATAAATTTAGTATTTAGATTGAAGCTTAATAGGAAAGACCATGCAAATATTCCAGTTATATGTGTGTGGGGGTTTAACAACACTGCTATTTTAGTTGGATCACAGAGAAACCTCTGTTTGCTGCTGTGGCACACTTGTCTTGGCTGACTGACCCCATTTTCTCTGGTTTTCTTTAAAGCAGTTTTTTTCAGACCTTTAAAAGCTGACACTCGCTCAGTGAGTACCCTAGAAAATAATATCTTGTTCCAGTAGAACTTGGCCCAAAGGATTCTGGTAGAACTAGCATAATTCATTTGAGAGATTTGGGAATTTTTTTTAAATTTTAAAACTTTTATTTTCTAGTCTAATTTTTGTCTTACTGCTGAGGAACTTGATATAAGAAACACTGTTTAAGAAATTAAGTTAAATTAAATAAATTCAGAAAGTCTTAGCCAGAGCAATTTGTCACGAGAAAGAAAGGAATTAAAAGCATCCAAATTGACAAGGAGGAGGTCAAATTGTCCCTGTTTGTGGATGACGTGACCTTTATATAGAAAAACCTGAAGACTCTACCGAAAGCCTTTTAGAACTGATCAATAAATTCAGTAAAGTTGCAGGATATAAAATTAATATACAAAAATTAGCATCTCTATACACAAACAGTGAACTAGCTTGAAAATAAATCAAGAATGCAACCTCGTTTATATTAGCTACAAAAAATTACATAGGAATAAATTTAAGGAGGTAGAAGACCTCTGTGAGGAATACTACAGAATGCTGATGAAAGAAATTGATGAGGATACAAACAAATGGAAAGACATCCCACGCTCATGAATCAGAAGAATTAATATTGCTAAAATGACAGTACTAGCTGGGCATAGTGACACGTGCCTGTAGTCCCAGCCAGTTGGAAGGCTGAAGCAGGAGGATCACTTGAGCCCAGGAGTTCAAGGCTGCAGGGAGCTATGATCACGCCACTCTACTCCAGCCTGGGTGACCAAGCAAGACCCCATCTCTAAAAAAATAAATAAGTAAAAGAAAATAAATTTTATAATCAATATCCTTATATTTGAATCATGACTTTGCCATTTACAGGCTGTGTGATCTTATATATATTTATACAAACTACTTAATTTTGATTTTCACCTTCCTTAGCTGTCAAATTGGATTGAAAATACCTCATAGGGTGGATGTAGTAGCTCGTGCTTGTAATCCCAGCTACCAGGAAGGCTGAGGCAAAGGAATGCTTGAGCCCAGAAGTTTGAGACCAGCCTGGGCAACATAGCGAGATCCTATCTCAAAAAACAGAGAGAGAGAGAAAATACTTCATAGATTTGTTTTGAGGATCAAATTAGACAATGTAATGATTTCATACACTCTAAACTACCATATACATTTTGGTTAATGGCTTTCTTAAGAATTTGTAACATCAGATAATGCAATTAAATTCAAACTACCTTTTTTTAATCCATGAACTGAAAAGTTATTTGTTTTTCTGCTTTAAAATGTCTGTTATTTTAACTAAAACTGTGAGCTTTACCTAATGCAGTGCCTAAGCCCCACCATAGGTGTTCATTCATTTGTGGAGTGAAGGAATGAATATGTTCAACTTCTTGGCATCAGCATTATATATTGCTGTTAAAAACTAAATTACCAGCCAGGCACGGTGGCTCATGCCTATAATTCCAGCACTTTGGGAGGCTGAGGTGGAAGGATCGCTTGAGCCCAAGAGTTCAAGACCAGTTCAAGACCCTGTCTCTACAAAAAATTACAAAATTAGCTGGGCGTGGTGGTACACTCCTTTAGTCCCAGCTACTCAGGAGGCTGAGGTAGGAGGATCACTTGAGCCCAGGAGATCGAGGCTGTAGTGAGCCGTGGTTATGCCACTGCACTCAAGCCTTGGAGACAGAGCTAGACCCTGTCTCAAAAACAAACAAATACAAAACTAAGTTACCTCTTTAATAATTAGATAAATGCAGATACCATTGTGTCTTTCTTTCAATAAGCCTCGTCAGGATTCAATGGTATTACCTTAAACTCTCAAATTTACTGTAGGTATATCATAGACATGTAATTGTCACAAAAATTGGAGGCCACATAGTATAATTAATATGCTTAGACTTAGGTTTTAATCCATTTCTGCCTCTTACTGGTTGAGCAGCTGTTGGTAAGTCATTTAATCTTTGGAGCCTCAGTTTCTCTAGTAAATAGTGAGACTACTCCCTTACAAGGTTACTTTGGGAATTAAATGTTAATGGATATATTTATAAACCATAAAGTGGCATAAAATGTAGAAGTTTTTGACAAGAATATGAGCTGGGCCATATGACTGATTTTTTACATTCATGAAAGTGTATGGAAAATATTGCAAAGATGTCACAAGTTTGGATATTTGAAAGGACTGAAAGTCTCCTTAGAGAATATTTCATTTAAAGGCAAAGGAAACAGTATAACAAAAGAAGGAAGAGGACAGGCAAGCATTGAGGGTATGCAAGATAATCAAGGAGCAAACTCCCTTAGGATCTTAATCTGCATGGAGGCCTGCTTCATCTCTGGATTGAATCACCAAGATC
The DNA here is from genome assembly GCF_000001405.40 of Homo sapiens. Lineage (NCBI taxonomy): Eukaryota > Metazoa > Chordata > Mammalia > Primates > Hominidae > Homo > Homo sapiens. The sequence continues at coordinate 76,894,927 of NC_000011.10, forward strand.
TGTCTGATAAATTTTGGCTTCAGGATAGCTCAAGGCAGAAATTCCCAATGAGGTATTTTATGTTGCAGTGGTCATGGAGTGTTTTTTCCCCCAGTAGTTTTAATACTTTATTATTATATATTTTAAAATATATTTGGAATATAGCCTAGTGTATAATGTGGAGAAAGGATTCAATTTAATTGATCTCAAGATAATTTTTACCCAGTTGCCTCAATACCATTTACTGAATACTTCCTTTCTACTATTAATGATTTGAAATGTCAACATTATTATATACTAAATCCCATATGTTTTTGGGCAGATATTTGAACTTTCTAGCCTGTTTTATTGATATCTCTTCTATATCTCAATATCATATTGTTTTAATGATTTTATGTAACTTCATATTTGCCTCAATTATGGTTCCACTTTCTTCATTCCCCTTGTACCCAGGTTCTCTATGTCACTAGCAGGAAACACTGCACAACATATAAAGACTTTGTATTTTTGTTTAGGGCCACGAGCAGAAGGAAATAATTTTTAAATGTATTCTCTGGTACCAGGAAGAGAAAAAGTAGAAAGAGAGATATAATAGGGCTGAGGAAGGAAGTATTTAACCTACAATCAGGACACTCTGGTTTGAGTCTGCTTCTGATGCTTACTGTATACATGTAGACAAGCTAGTTGACTTTTTAGCTTCTCTATTTCCCTCATTTGCAAAATGAGGAAAATTGATTAGGTCACTGCTTCTTAAATTTTTCCACCGAAGCACCCTTAAGGGCAGAGAAAAGAAAACAAGTACCTATGTGTGAAGATGAAACTGCAAGCAGCCTGCCATAAGTAAAAAATGTTTTTTTAATATTCACGAAAGATTTTTTTGTACATTGTTTATTATAGCATTGGCTGACAGTAAAAATTGGAAATAAGCTAAATGTTGCTTAATAGACAATTTTGTAAATGAAATATGATGTGGCCTTATAATAGAATACTATATAGCCAACAAAAGGATTGAAATTATATATACTGAAAACATAATTCAGGGCTCTGGGTCCATTTCTCTTAGTCCCCCTGTTCTTTCCTCTTTATATTTCCAGTTTGTTGTTTTACTGGACAACCATAATCACCAACTAAGACCTGGGAAAACCCTGGAGTTATGCAATAAAAAGGTTCCCATATCTGGAACCATTTTGGAACACCTAATTTTAAACTAATTTTTAATTATTGCCCCTTTAAATTTTTGCTTGTTAGAATAGGAAAACTTCTTTGCTGTTTGGATATGAAAGGGATTCTGAAAAGGGATTATTTCAACTGTTCAAATTCTTGAAACATCTTTACACAGGTACTATTCATTGGATCCTTACTGTTGTACAAAAGCCCATGCTTCCAGAGTTGCATCAGAACCTTTCGTGAAGTTTTATTCTTCATTTTTGTCCTCCTATGCCATAGTTAAGGGGCATAAAAAAAACTAGTGGGGTGGGCCTGGTGGCTCACGCCTGTAATCTCAGCACTTTGGGAAGCTAAGGCGGGCAGATCGCTTAAGCTTAGGAGTTCGAGACCAGCCTGGGCAACATGATGAAACCCTGTCTTAAAAAAAAAAAGAAAAGACTAGTAGAATCCCCCCTCCAAGCTTTCTCACTACTGTCCCACTAAGTAGAAATCTTTGAAACAGAAGTATATTATGGGAACTTTGCTAAAGACGACCCCTCTACCCCCTTGAATCCTCCCAATTCTGGCAGCCTGTGAATAGAAGATTGGCTTGATCCTGTGATAGACTTTGAGATGTATGTTAGACTAGTGCTGTACCCTCTTTTTCTCAAACTTTTTGCTTTCAGGACCACCTTCTTCTCCTAAAATTATTGAGAATCCAGAAGAGCTTTATATGTGGATTTTTTTTCTATTGAAGTCAGCTGGATTTTCATATATGCTTTTGCATTTAATCTGTTGTAATCTGTTGTTTTGGTTGAAGTATTTAAAGAAAATTAGGCTTTACACAGATATATGTAGTTGTTGAAGGGAGTTTTTTGTTGTTGTTGTTGTTGTTGTTGGTTTTTTGTTTGTCTGTTTGTTTTTGAGACAGAGTCTTGCTCTGTTGCCCAGGCTGGAGTGCAGTGGTGCAATCTCAGCTCACTGCAACCTCCACCTCCTGGGCTCAAGTGATTCTCATGACTCAGCCACCCGAGTAGCTGGGATTGCAGGTGTGTGCCACTACACCTGGCTAATTTTTGTATTTTTGTAGAGATGGGGTTTCACCACGTTGGCTAGGCTGGTCTCAAACACCTGGCCTCAAGTGATCTGCCCGTTTCAGCCACCCAAAGTGCTGGGATTACAGGCATGAGCCACCACACCTGGCCAGGGAGGAGAACTTTAATAGCCTTTCTAGATAATTGTGGATGTTCTTTGACATTACGTATACCAAAACTTGACAAGTGGTAGTGTTAAGGTTAATTGGAATGTGGAATCTGAGATCATATCATTGAATTTTTCTTGCCATCATACATTAAGATCCATTGGCCTTTCTTGCACTTTGAATGGACTTTTACCTATGCATCATTTTATAGCACCATGCATAGATCATTTGGAAAATATTGGTTCACTGTTGATGCAGATCTTCCAGGTGTTGAGATATTTCTTTATGTAATATTAAAAAAAAACACGTGTTATTATTATCATCTCTGACATCATCAGAAGTCTTTAAGTATTGGGAAGCTGTCAAGCTTATTGTGGTAGATGCAAGTTTTCCAAAATTCTTATTTTTGCTTGAATTTTATTGCTGGCAAAAAAGGAAAATACACTTATTTGTTCTTTTTTTTTGAAAGGACAAGGCTCAATTTGCTCATTTCTAGGAAAACATCTTCTAAATACCCAGGAATGAATAATCATAGTTTACTTGTCAGTTCATCTTTTAGGTAAAAATGTGGTTGATGAAAAAAGCGGCTAAGTTGAGCTGACATCTCAAAACAGTCATACAAGTGCTATTCCTTGAGACAACATTATACTTTGGGATATAGTAGAAGTTCTTTATGTAAATTCCATTTAATGATAGAGAATATTAAAAAGATGTGCACCCAAGAGTTGAGATTTAATACAATTAGTAATTTTTATTGCTTCATAAAAGGCACTGTTAATTGAAGCTGACTTTTTTTTTTAACTATGAATATATGGTGGTGGAGAAGAATACAATTATTATAGTATAGACTGGTTGTTACTGCCCTAATTTGTGCAAAAGTGTACCTACCATTGCTTTTGTGCCATTAATGTAAATGTGCCATTAGTGTAAATGTCAATACAGTGCATAAGTTAAATAACTCTAAGTATTATGAAAATAGTTTTGACCTCAAAGACTCCAAAAAGGGTACATCAACCACCGTTTGAGAACTGTTGCCTTTAACCTACTAAAAAAGATTTGTCTACTCGAACATAGTATTTACATTTCACTTTTTGGAGTCTGCTACTTTATAGAGGAAGGTTTTGTTTGTTTGTTTTTTGAGACAGGGTCTTGCTGTATTGCCCAGGCTGGATTCAAACTCCTGGGCTCAAGTGATCCTCCCACTTCAGCCTTCTGAATAGCTGGGACTACAGGTGCATGCTGCTATGCCCAACTTATAGAGGAGTTTTAATGGAGTATATTTTAGCAGTAAGTAAGAAGATATAATTAGTTTCTCATTTCAGATAATGGGCCCTACTCTATGCAGAGACTTGTTCAAAATCCTCGTTGGTGGCCGGGCGCGGTGGCTCACGCCTGTAATCCCAGCACTTTGGGAGGCCGAGGCGGGCGGATGACGAGGTCAGGAGATCGAGACCATCCCGGCTAAAACGGTGAAACCCCGTCTCTACTAAAAATACAAAAAATTAACCGGGCGTAGTGGCGGGCGCCTGTAGTCCCAGCTACTTGGGAGGCTGAGGCAGGAGAATGGCGTGAACCCGGGAGGCGGAGCTTGCAGTGAGCCGAGATCCCGCCACTGCACTCCAGCCTGGGCGACAGAGCGAGACTCCGTCTCAAAAAAAAAAAAAAAAAAAAAAAAAAAAATCCTCGTTGGTGATCTTCCTACCACCAGAGGAAGTTTTATATATTTCATCTTCTATTTAAAGGTTTTTTCAACAACTAGATCTGATGAGATGCCTTATAATCTTGGCATCAGGAAAGACTTTAAATTCTGAAAACCCATGCCAAGATTTCAAAGAGAAAGCACTATTTGTTAATTAAAGAATATACAGATTTCTAGGGAAAATGAGTTCCTTTTGTGGCCTTTTTGCTAATATGAAAAACAACACTACTAATATAATAGCCCATATCTATTGGTACCTGGTATGTGTCAGCCACCATACTAAGCACCTTATTATAATGAAAAATCTGTTTGGGGAATATTTATGACAAATGCCCTGCATATTTAAAGTTATTTCTTCCTTTCTTCTACGGAAAGAAAGCAGATAACTTTCTTAATACTTCTGACATTTTATTAGTTTTTCAGCAGTGTAATAGTTATATTGCATGCTTTTTGTTGTCTTCTGTGTGACCAATTTGGAATATCAGTTGGAAACATATCCTTTCATCATCGAAATCTTAGTCAAATATATGCCTTTCTTCTCTTTCATTTTTCCTATCTCACAGACATCTTAATTCAAGCCCCCTTTATAATTTATATTGCAGTATTGTCCTATTTTGTCCTTTTGTATCCTGTTGCTAACACGTCCAGACTATTAGGCTTATCTTAAAGTTAATTGTCTTTTTATCCTTCCTCTTTATCATTTGCTCTTTATTTTTTAGGGAGATCACAGACATGTTATTCATGTTTATCTTCTAGTTTATCTTAGTAGCTTTGCCTCATGACATACCTTTCCCCTAGACATGTTACTTTGCAAGATTCCCTAGGCACACCATGTTCTTTCCTATTTTTGCACATATACGGTTGACCCTTGAATAACATAGGGGTTGGGGTGCTGAGCACAACCCCCGACCCCAGTCAAAAATTCATGTACAATTTTGACTTTCCAAAAGCCTAATTACTAATAGCTTACTGTTGAAGCCATACTGATAACATAAACAGTTGATCATTAACACATATTTTGTGCATGTATTATATACTATATTCTTCTTATAATAAAGTAAGTGAAAGAAAATAAAGTGTTATTAAGAAAATCAGGGCCAGGTGCAGTAGCTCATGTCTGTAATCCTATTGCTTTGGGAAGCCAAGGTGGGAAGATTGCTTGAGGCCAAGAGTTCAAGACCAGCCTGGGCAACATAGCAAAAGCCTGTCTCTAAGAAAATCATAAGGAAGAGAAAATATATTTACTATTCATTAAGTGGAAGTGGATTGTCATGAACGTCTTCATCCTCATCATTTCACATTGAGTAAGCTGAGGAAGAGGAGGGGCTGGTCCTGTCTCAGGGGTGGCAGAGGCAGAAGAGGTGGAGAAGGTGGAAAGGGAGGCAGGAGAGGCAGGCACAGTTGGTGTGACTTTAAGAAGACACATGTAATTTCTGTGTAACTTTTTTGCTTTTTCATTTCTCTAAAAATGTTTCTATATGATAACAGTACTTTTCCACTATTTGCTTTAGTTTCAGTGCTAGTATCATATAAGGGTCTATGTCGTAAAAGGAGTCAAAGCAGTCTTGAATAATAGGAACCCTTCTGGCCAGGTAAGGGGTCTCATTTTCATAATCCCAGCACTTTGGAAAGCTGAGGTGAAAGGATTGCTTGAGGCCAGAAGTTTAAGACCAGCCTGGACAACATAGTAAGACTCTGTCTCCATTAATCAAAATAGTAAATAAAATAATAGGTACCCTTCTGCCAGATTGTCTAATGTCAGTTTGTTTTCAGGCACTGCTTCTTCTACATCTTCTTCCCCATTCTGGCATTGGTTCAGAAGCACTCATTTCCATCAAGCCATCTTCTGCTAATTCCTGTGATGTAGTATCTATTAGGTATTTAATTTCTCCAAGGTTCATATCTTGAAACCCTTCACCCTCTACCTTTTTTGCCGTATCTACAATCTGTTTCATGATTTCCTTTACTGACCCTGTTGTAAATCCTGTGAAGTCATGTGTACAACATCTGGACACAATTTTCTCCAACAGGAATCTATTGTTTTGGGGCTTGATGGCATTCATGACTTTTTTCTATAATAATGGCATCTTCTATGGTGTAATTTTCCAGACTTTCATGATGTTCTGTCTATGGGCCTCTCTTTCATAGCGTTGACAATGTTTTCCACAGAGTGTTGTGTTTACATGAGCCTTAATGGTCCTTCGGATCCCCTGATTTAGAGATTTTGCATTTAAGGGGGTAGATCACTTTGATACTTTTGGTGTTGAACTTATGGGGTTCTCAGTGGGCAGAGGCATTGTCCAACATTGTCCAACATTTAAAAAAAAAAAAAACTTTTAAAAGGCAGTTCCTTACTAACAAGATACTTCTGACTTCAGGGACAAAGCATCAATGGAACCAATCTAGAAAAAGCGTTCTTGTTTTCCAGGCCCTCTTGTTGCATAACCAGAGACTGGAAGCTGGTTTTGTCTTTTCCCTTCAAGACTTGGGGGTTAGCAGCTTTATAGATAAGGGCAGTCCTGATCATAAATCCAACTGCCTTTGCACAAAGTAGTAGTGTAGCAGGACGAGCCACAGACAAAACTCCTCAGACACCGAGTTAAAGAAGGAAGGGGTTTATTCTGCCAGGGGCATCGGCAAGACTCCTGTCTCAAGAGCCGAGCTCCCCGAGTGAGCAATTCCTGTCCCTTTTAAGGGCTCACAACTCTAAGGGGGTGCATGCAAGAGGGTCGTGATCGATTGAGCAAGCAGGGGGTACGTGACTGGGGACTGCATGCACCGGTAATTAGATTGGAACAAAACAGGATAGGGATTTTCACAGTGCTTTTCTATACAATGTCTGTAATCTATAGATAACATAACCAATCAGGTCAGGAGTGGATCTTTAACTACCAGGCCCAGGGTGTGGTGCCGGGCTGTCTGCTTGTGGATTTCATTTCTGCCTTTTAGTTTTTACTTTTTCTTTCTTTGGAGGCAGAAATTGGACATAAGACAATGTGAGGGGTGGTCTCCTCCTTTATTCGAGTTAACCTATCCCTTCCTGCCTTAAATCCTGGTGCTTGCTTCTCTTCCTTACTAATAAATGTCCCTTGTGGCATTTTTTTTTTCCAGAATAGGGTACTTTTGTTTGCATTAAAAACCTGTTCAGGCAGATATTCTTTCTTCTCAATTTTCTTAATGGCATCTGGGAACTTGTCTTCTGCCTTTTGGTCTACAGAAGCTGCTTCTCCTGCCATCTTGACATTTTAAAGCCCAACCCCTTTCTAAAATTATCAAACCATCCTATGCTGGCATTAAATCTCCAGCTTTAGATCCTTCACCTTTCTTTTGCTTTAAGTCATCATATAATGACTTTGCTTTTTCTCGAATCACATGAGAATCTATAGATAGGCCTTTCCTTTAGCAATCCTGGACCCACATAAAAGCTGCATTTCAATACAAGATAAAAAGGTATTTCACAAAAAGTGCAAAGTTTTTGCTCCTGCTGGCATAGCTGCAGTGATGCCTTCACAAATTCCCTTTTTGTTTTTTTACAATGGTCTTTACACTGGATTCATTTGTCTTGAAATGGTTGGCAACCGCAGCTGCAGACCTTAAAGTACAGTACATATGAAGCAATTAAACCTTTTCTTGTTATGTAATGACTTTTCTCTGCTTCTTGGGAGCACTTCTAGCATCACTAGTGACACTTCATATAGGTCCTGTGGTGTTATTCAAAGTTTACAATATTGCACTAAACACGATAAAAATACATGAGAACCACAAGAGATCACTTTTTACTGCCATATGCAATTTACTGGAGAGATGAACTGCTCACAGGGAGATGATTAGTATCACATAGTGTTTTAAGCAGATGCTCGTGAGACTTGAGCTCACCACAGTAGTAACAGGAAATGGCTATGAAATTATTACAGTATTTGCAGTATGTACTAAGTTAATCTTATGCAGTTATCATTTAATACTACATCTTTACATTTCTATTTTTCTTGACTATGAATAGTGCTGTTTACCATCTGTAAGTATATGTGTAAGTTTCGATAAATTTTAACTTTTTATAATAGATTTATGTATATGTTAGTAAATGATAAAATAGACTAGTATTTACATAAGTTTTATGTATCCATGACATACCTTTTTCTTAATTTTTTTATATTTCCAAGCTACATAGTTTGTCTGCAAGTTTTTTCAAATTGTCACAAATCTCCAAAAAATTTTCCAATATATTTATTGAAAAAAATCCACATAGAAGTATACCTGGACAGTTCAAACCTGTGTTGTTCCAGAGTCAACTATATGTGTTATCTCTGCCCTGAATACTCCTCTCCTATGCATCCTTTAAAGCACCTTCAAATATTGTCTCTTCAGTGAAACCTTTATCAACTATACCAAGCCAAAGAAGCAAAAAAGGAAATGCAACACTAGTAATCACTCTGCCCAGCATTCAATTTAACAATGAAATTGCCTTCAACTAAATGAATGGAAACGCCCCTCCCACCCCCCCACCCGCCCCCGGCCCACACACACACACACCTTTTATGGCCAAGGGGAATCCCAAAGAAACCTGAAAAACTGGTTCAGGCCATGACAGGAAAAGAGAGGTCTGACATGTCTGCTTATAACTCCTCCCATTGGAGTTTAGGCACAGCTGACCAGTGTCAGCATTAAAATAGAGATCATAAAAGACTGACAACCAGATTCTTTTTGCAATAAGATACCCAACTCCAACCTGACTCTCTGTTATAGCATCACATGGTAGATGGCAGGCCCTGAAGGAAATGAAAGTATTTTACCCCAAAGTAATATTTCTTCGACATATTTTGAAATGGCCCTGCAAAGCCACCTCTTATGGGGAAAATTTGCATATAGAGGATCTTCTTCCCTTTCAAGGTCTTTTCCTGATCCAGGAGAGTGTGACATCTTTTAAGGTCTGATAGGAGACATTTACTATCTATTATTCTCTCTGAAGTCTCCAACTTGGGACTTCATCTATATGATAAAAACATAACAAGAACTTGTTATTGGCTTCCAATACCCTTATTTTTATTTTTATTTCGAGATGAAGTCTCGCTCTGTCACCCAGGTTGGAGTGCAGTGGTGCAATTTTGGCTCACTGCAACCTCAGCCTCGTGGGTTCAAGTGATTCTCGTGCCTCAGTCTCCCAAGTAGCTAGGATTAGGGGCACACACCACCAAACCCAGCTGATTTTTGTATTTTTAGTAGAGACGAGGTTTCACCATGTTGGCCAGGCTAGTCTCGAACTCCTGACCTTAAGTGATCCCCACCTGCGACCCTGCCCCAGCCCCACAAAGTGCTGGGATTACAGGCGTGAGCTACTGCACTCTGCCCAACCCCCCTTATCTTAAGCATTTCTTTCTGTCTACTTCAACTCTTTAGGAAAACCTCAACTCTTTCAACCAATTGTCAATCAGAAAATCTTTAAATTCACCTATGACCTGTAAGCCCTCCCTGCCACCCCCCATAAAGATGTCCCACCCTTCTGGACTGAACCAATGTGTACCTTACATGCATAAATTTATGTCTTTGACTGTACCCTCTGTCTCCCTAAATTGTATAAAGCCAAGCTGTAACCCAGCCACCCTGGACACATATTCCCAGGACCTCGTGAGGCTGTGTCATGGACGTGGTCACTCATATTTGAGTCAGAATAAACCTCTTCAAATATTAAAATAAAAATAAAAAAATAAAATGAAATGGGTAAAATTGGGACCCGGCTGGAGATGAGGCACAATTAAACTGCACAAGCAGGTGATCTAGACTCCATGGTACCACCTCCTACTGTTTCGCTGCCCCTCTCAACCCACATCTGTGGCCTCATGGAAAAGTTCTTCTTAACCAGTTAATTATTTGCTATATGTCTTTTCTCTATGTATGTGTGTGTGTGTGTGTGTGTGTGTGTTTGAGATGGAGTCTCCCTTTGTTGCCCAGGCTGGAGTGCAGTGGCACAATCTCGGCTCACTACAACCTCCACCTCCTGGTTCAAGTGATTTTCGTACCTCAGCCTGCCGGGTAGCTGGCATTGCAGGTACATGCCACCATGCCCAGCTAATTTTTGTATTTTTAATAGAGATGGGGTTTCACCATGTTGGCCAGGCTGGTCTCGAACTCCTGACCTCAGGTGATCCACTCACCTCGGCCTCCCAAAGTGCCGGGTTTACAAGCATGAGCCACCACACCTGGCCATGTGTGTGTATTTTTTTAGTGAAAATGTGATTGTGCATTATGAAATATTTTGTGGCCTGAATAAAGTATGATTTAGAAGATTTTTTTTATGTTACAAGCTTACCTTTAAATTAAAAAAAATTGAATCTACATTTCTCTATCAAAAGTGAAACAATATCTATTGACTCCCCTCATGTAAAATAATGTATTTAGCATTTGTCGTTCTTTTACTTTTTTCTTACTTTACTTTTTATCATGCCAAGTCAAGGAAAGAGGGCCTGAAATATAGCAGTGATAATGGGGTGAATGGGGTGAATTCTACTGCAGTGAGCATTCATTGCCCTTAGACCTTTTGCCTTCTGTGGTAGCTCAAGACCCCTTTCCATTTCTTTCTTTTTTTCTTTTCCTTCTCCACCAACTAGGAAGACTCTTCTATATGCATATAAAGCATGAAACAAGACATTTGTGTAAACGTACATAAGGAAGTATAAACAAGGTTGCTCACTGCAGTATTGTTTAACAAAAACATAGGAAACAATCTAGAATGTTCATTAATATGGGAATGGATAAACAAAATGTGGTTTATATTTCTATGATAGCATACTATACAGAAATTAAAAGGAATGAAATATAGTATCTAATAGATCTCTCAAGAATAATTTTTATTGATAAAAGCTATTTGCAAAATGATATTTACACTTATTTTGATAAAACAAGAAAACAAAGCAAAACTATGTGGATATACATTTATGTAAAATCATTTAAAAATGAATTATAGTGATACACACCAAATTAACCATTACATCTGGAAATGCATGAAGGGGAATTGGCCAGACAGATGGTTGACTTTTGAAACTGCCTTTGCAAAGATTATGACATTGAGAGAAAGCTAACATGGCTGACTCCATCTTGCTTCTAGCCTCACAGGCTGGCTGCCTTCGCTCATTACTGTGTGTAGGTAAAGCTAACCATGGGAGGAATTTCGTTTATAGTTTTTAACTTTGAAGCAAGGATAATATTCCCTCCCTATAACTGATCCCCTGCTTGTTCAGGGGCTGAAACTGCCTTTGTAAGACTAATGAAAGGCCACAAGATTAGGATTATGGGAGGGGCCTGAATTCTGCTCAAGTATAGATGTAATTTCTGTAATCCCTTACTGCTCAGGAGTCACAGGCCAGAGGACACACATTTGTGACTTCTCTGATTACTCCTAGTATTGGTACTTGAAATTCAGATTTTTGCATTCTGGCATTGAGATTCATAACTCAACTGGTCCTGTCACCCCCTAACCAGAGACAGACTCAGCACAAGAGGATTGTTTTCCACACCCCTATGATTGTATCTCCAACCAATCAGCAGCACCCATTCCCTAGTTCCCTGCCCACCAAATTATCCTTGAAAATCCCTAACCTCCAAGCCTTCAGAGAGGCTAATTTGAGTAATAACTCTGTCTTCCGTGTGGCCAGCCTCACATCAGTTAAAATCTTTCTTTACTGCAGTACCATGGTGTCAGTGAGCTGGTTTTGTCTGTGCAGTGGGCAAGAAGAACCCCTCAGGCAATTACACTTTGACTTTTTTTTGTATTATTTTATTTTATTTTTATTTTAAATATTGAGATGGGATCTCACTATGTTGCTCAGGCTCATCTTGAACTCCTGAGCTCAAGCAGTCCCCCCACCTTGGCCTCCCAAAGTGTTGAGATTATAGGCATGAGCCGCCATGCCTGGACATGACTTTATCTACAATAGATTTTTGTATTCATTCAAATAAAAGCTTGATAGAGACATAACAAAATATAAACAATGATAAATTCTTAGGCATGAGCCTATTTGTTACATTATTCTTTATTCTGAATTTTACAGTTTCTTCAATTGAAAAAAAAGCGTCACGTTGTATAGCATCTGGTGCAAAATAGATACTTAATTCACTTCTCTCACTGTTTTTTTTCACCCTTTTTTACAGGATTGGATCATCAACTTACATTAGACAGCCAGTTTAATACCCCAATTATTTAAAGCTTCTCCTATCACTTTAAAGTGAATCCCTCCAATGAGGTACAAATTCAGGAAACAAGCATTCTTTATGATAGGCCCAGGAACTAGTTCTTATGAGTGTGATCAGTGGCCCCATCACAGCACCTTTTGTGTTATCTGGTTATAGCTTCTGCACTTGAAAGTCTTCTGTAGATCACAGCTCACTAGACACTATTTCAAGCAAATTTATTGTGAAACTAGTGTTATTTAGCTGATTTGTTCTTAGTGGACATGCTGTGTTTATATCTCTATTTTTGTGGTTCTCTTTCATATTGTTTCCAATAAGGATGACTGTTAAACTCATGGGCACATTAAGTAATATGTATGTATGTGATTTTCTTGAGTGCTTTTATTGTTTTCACCTTGATTTCTGACTGTTCAGATTTACAAGATTATTTTTGAATTGGATAAAATAAGCCAATAAAGCCGGGCACAGTGGCTCACACCTGTAATCCCAGTGCTTTGGGAGGCCAATGTAGGTGGATCACTTGAGGCAGGAGTTCAAGACTAGCCTGGCCAACACAGTGAAAGCCAGTCTCCACCAAAAAATACAAAAATTAGCCGGGCATGGTGATGCATGCCTATAGTCCCAGCTTCTTGGTAGGCTGAGGCAGGAGAGTCACTTGAACCCAGGAGGGAGAGCTTGCAGTGAGCTGAGATCATACCACTGCACTCCAGCCTGGGCGACACAGTGAGATCCTGTCTCAAAAAATAAAAATAAAAATAAGCCAATAAGTTCTAGTTTTATAAAGCTATTGTTGCTTGTCATTATATACAAATTATAATTTTTGCCGGGCACAGTGGCTGACGCCTGTAATCCCAGCACCCTGGGAGGCCAAGGCAAGTGGATCACCTGAAGTCAGGGGTTCGAGACCAGCCTGGCCAACATGGTGAAACCCTGTCTCTACTAAAAATAAAAAAATTAACTGGGCATGGTGGCACATGCCTGTAATCCCAGCTACTTGGGAGGCTGAGGTAGGAGAATCACTTGAACCTGGGAGGTGGAGGTTGCAGTGAGCTGAGATCGTGCCACTGCACTCTAGCCTGGGCGACAGAGCAAGACTCCATCTTGATTGTATGATTGTATATTTAGAAAATATGATTGTATATTTAGAAATAGTATGATTTTATATTTAGAAAACATATGATTGTATTATAATAATAATATGATTGTATATTAGAAAACCCCATCGTCTCAGCCCAAAAACTCCTTAAGCTGATAAGCAACTTCAGCAAAGTCTCAGGATACAAAATGTGCAGAAATCACAAGCATCCCTATACACCAATAGTAGACAAACAGAGAGCCAAATCATGAGGGAACTCCCATTCACAATTTCTACAAAGAGAATGAAATACCTAGGAATATAACTTACAAGGGATGTGAAGTACCTCTTCAAGGAGAACTACAAACCACTGCTCAAGGAAATAAGAGAGGACACAAACAAATGGAAAAACATTCCATGCTCACAGATAGAAAGAATCAATATTGTGAAAATGGCCATACTGCCCAAAGTAGTTTATAGATTCAATGCTATTCCCATCAAGCTTTTATTTGAATAAATATAAAAAACTATTGACTTTCTTCACAGAATTAGAAAAAAACAACTTTAAATTTCATATGGAACCAAAAAAGAGCCCATATAGCCAAGACAATCCTAAGCAAAAAGAACAAAGCTGGAGGCATCATTCTACCTGACTTCAAACTATACTACAAGGCTACAGTAACCAAAACAGCATGGTACTGGTACCAAAACAGATATATAGACCAATGGAACAGAACAGAGGCCTCAGAAATAACACCACACATCTACAACCATCTGATCTTTGACAAACCTGACAAAAACAAGAAATGGGGGAAAGGATTCCCCATTTAATAAATGGTGTTAGGAAAACTGGCTAGCCATATGCAGAAAACTGAAACTGGACCCCTTCCTTACACCTTGTACAAAAATTAACTCAAGCTGGATTAAACAGTTAAATGTAAAACCTAAAACCACAAAAACCCTAGAAGAAAACCTAGGCAATACCATTCAGAACATAGGTATGGGCAAAGACTTCATGACTAAAACACCAAAAGCAATGGCAACAAAAGCCAAAATTGACAAATGGGATCTAATTAAACTAAAGAACTTCTGCACAGCAAAAGAAACTATCATCAGAGTGAACAGGCAATCTTAAAAATGGGAGAAAATTTTTGCAATCTATCCATCTGACAAAGGGCTAATATCCAGAATCTACAAGGAACTTAAACAAATTTACAAGAAAAAAAACAACCCCATCAAAAAGCGGGCAAAGGATGTGAGCAGACACTTTTCAAAAGAAGACATTTATATGGCCAACAAACATATGAAAAAAAGCTAATCATCACCGGTCATTAGAGAAATGCAAATCAAAACCACAATGAGATACCATCTCACGCCAGTTAGAATGGCAATCATTAAAAAGTCAGGAAACAATAGATGCTGGAGAGGATGTGGAAAAATAGGAACGCTTTTACACTGTTGGTGGGAGTGTAAATTAGTTCAACCATTGTGGAAGACAGTGTGGCGATTCCTCAAGGATCTAGAACCAGAAATACCATTTGACCCAGCAATCCCATTACTGGGTATGTACCCAAAGGATTATAAATCATTCTACTATAAAGACACATGCACACGTATGTTTATTGCAGCACTATTCACAATAGCAAAGACTTGGAACCAACCCAGATGCCCATCAATGATAGACTGGATAAAGAAAATGTGACATATATACACCATGGAATACTATGCAGCCATAAAAAAGAATTAGTTCATATCTGTTGCCAGGACATGGATGAAGCTGGAAAGAATCATTCTCAGCAAACTAGCACAGGAACAGAAAATCAAACACCACATGTTCTCACTCATAAGTGAGAGTTGAACAATGAGAACATATGGGCACAGGGAGGGGAACATCACCACACACTGGGGCCTGTTGGGGGGTGGGGGGCAAGGGGAGGGATAGCATTAGGAGAAATACCTAATGTAGATGACCGGTTGATAGGTGCAGCAAACCACCATGGCACATGTATAACTATGTAACAAACCTGCACGTTCTGCACATGTGTCCCAGTACATAAAGTATAATAATAATAATAAAAAATTATGATTTTCACAGATAAGTTACTTAAGAGTAACTATTTCTTACTGCTTTCTGAAAAAAGACTACATATAATTCCATTGAATCTATTATTTTTTCTAACAAATTATTATAGACTGTATGTTTTTCTAAGATATTTCACCCTATCAGAATAAAGGTGTTTTATCTCATTGTAGAATAAACTCTTTAAAAGAGAACTAACATTTATTCCTTGCTTACTCAATTCACTTTTGCAATATTTCATCATCATAATAGGTATTATGCCTAATCTACAGAGGAGAAAATTAAGGCGCAAGGTGGTTAAGTAACTTGGATAAACATTTCGCCAAAGAAAATATACCATTAATAAACAGAAAATAATAAACATATAAATAGTTTAGTAACCCAGAGAAATGTAAATTAAAAAGTAATAATATATAGTTTTCTACCTCTTAAAGTAAGACATTATATTGTTCAATGTTACTGAAGTTAATATGTGAACCAGTCACCGTTATGTACTGCTAATAGGATTATAATTGGTCCAACCATTCTGGAAAGTAGTTTGGTTGTACTGTGTAATGCACCCACAAATATAATGATTAAGTGATTATTATATGATAGAACATTATGCTGCCATCGAAATTGTATTTTCAAAGATTATTAAGTTACATGGATGAATACTTACGTGATTATAGGAAAATCAGAAACAATGACCATTTTTCTGATTAAAATTGTTTATAGTTATTAAGATTACTCTCTACAGTCTCTGCTACTGTTACCCAATCCAGACCCCAAGAGAGGGTTCTTGGATCTTGCGCAAGAAAGAATTCCAGGCAAGTCCATGTAAATCGAAAGCAAGTTTATTAAGAAAGTAAAGGAATAAAAGAATGGCTTCTCCAAGGGCAGAGCAACCCTGAGGGCTGCTGGTTGGCTATTTTTATGGTTATTTATTAATTATATGCTAAACAAGGAGTGAGTTATTTATGAGTTTTCCAGGAAAGGGGCGGGCAATTCCTGGAACTGAGGGTTCCTCCCTCTTCTGGACTATATAAGGTAACTTCCAGACGTTGCCATGACATTTGCAAACTGTCGTGGCACTGGTGGGAGTGTCTTTTCGCATGCTAATGCATTATAATTAGCATATGATTAGCAGTGCCAGGGCCAGAGGTCACTTTTTTTGCCATCTTGGTTTTGATGGATTTTGGCTGGCTTCTTTATCAGCCAAAATCCCATCCTGCTGACCTCCTGTCTTGTTCCGTGATTATGAATGCCTAATCTCCTGAGAATGCAGCTCAGCAGATTTCAGCCTCATTTTATCCAGCCAGTATTCAAGATGGAGTTGCCCTGGTTCAAATGCCTCTGACACTACCATGGTGTTTAATGTCTGCTACTATCTGCCTCATCTGCCTTTTTCTTCTTCCTCTATAGAACAGCTTTCTCTCATTCCTTATATACTTGGCCTAAATATGGAAGCCTCAGCTTTAGCTTTACACTACCTTCACTATAAGTATCCAAAAAAGTATCATTTTTATTTGAGTCCTAATTCTGATTTTCCAGACAAAGAATCTGGGATTAGTGTGAGATTTGGCAAGGGGAATGAGGGAGTGGGGAAGGTCTTATAATTTGCTGCCTACCCCAATAGAGGCTAAAAGGAAAATTCTTAGAGGGAAGCTGGGGAGTTTCTCCAAGAGGAGATTCTACCCTAGGGAATTCATCCTGTGAACTTAACAAAATGTATGAACAAATAAATATTTTTAAGAATGTTCTAGTGGTTGTATAATGTCTCCCCAAAGTTCATGTCTGTCAGGAACCTCAGAATGTGACCTTAATTGAAAATAAGCTCTTTGCAGATACATTAATAATTAAGGATCTTGAGATTAAATCTACTGGAATTAGAGTATTCCTTAAGTTCAGTGATTGGTATCCTTAGAAGAAAACATAGTGACATAGAGAGTAGAAGGCAAAGTGAGGAATGCCAAAGATTGCTAGCAACCACCTGAAGCTGAGAGAGAAGCATGACACAATTTTTCCTTCAGGGGCTCTAGAAGGAACCACCCCTGCTGACACCTTGATTTTGAACTGTGGACATCCTGAATTGTAAGAAATTGAATTGGTTTTTTAAGCTACCCAGTTTGTGGTAATTTGTTACGGCAGCCCTAGGAAATTAATACAGATGTTCATAATATTGCTTTTTTCTGTTGTGAAAACCTGAAAATAACATAACTATCTGCCAATAAGGGATTATACAAATTATAATATATCCATATAATGTAATATTATGTGATAATTTAAAAAAATTGTGATCTCTATAGATTAAAGAAGACAATGACATATTGTTTTTAAAAAGGTTATAGAACCCAGATCACTAATCTTTGGGGAATCCTGAGTCTTGGTCTGAGTAATGTGGAGGCAGCGCAGTCGTCAGAAAAAAAATTTTTTCTCTTGTGTTTATATAATAAATAGCTGTTTGAAAAACTTTTTTTGCATGTATTAAGGCAATTGAGGAAATTTTTATGCTATTTAATGACAATAAATCATAAAACTATTGTATTGTTAGCGGTGGAAGAGATCCAAGTTACTGGCAGTGAATCCATATGGGTCCACAGCAACTTCAGTCCTTGCCTCCTCAGAAGAAAGAATTCGACTGAGGGCCATACAGCAGAAAAAGAGACTGAGGCAATTTTCAGATCAGGAGTGGAAGCTTATTTAAAAGGTTTTAGGATAGGAAAGAAAGGAAAATTTGCTTGAAGGAGACCTGAAGGTCCAAGAGAAGAAAGCAAAAAAACAATGGTTTGTAGTTCTCCTTGAAGAGGTCCTTCACCTCCCTTGTAAGTTGGATTCTTAGGTATTTTATTCTCTTTGAAGCAATTGTGAATGGGAATTCACTCATGATTTGGCTCTCTGTTTGTCTGTTATTGGTGTATAAGAATGCTTGTGATTTTTGCACATTGATTTTGTATCCTGAGACTTTGCTGAAGTTGCTTATCAGCTTAAGGAGATTTTGGGCTGAGACGATGGGGTTTTCTAGATATACAATCACGTCATCTGCAAACAGGGACAATTTGACTTCCTCTTTTCCTAATTGAATACCCTTTATTTCTTTCTCCTGCCTGATTGCCCTGGCCGGAACTTCCAACACTATGTTGAATCGGAATAGTGAGAGAGGACATCCTTGTCTTGTGCCAGTTTTCAAAGGGAATGCTTCCAGTTTTTGCCCATTCAGTATGATATTGGCTGTGGGTTTGTCATAAATAGTTCTTATTATTTTGAGATACGTCCCATCAATACCTAATTTACAAATGGAAGAACATTCCATGCTCATGGGTAGGAAGAATCAATATCGTGAAAATGGCCATACTGCCCAAGGTAATTTATAGATTCAATGCCATCCGCATCAAGCTACCAATGACTTTCTTCACAGAATTGGAAAAAATTACTTTAAAGTTCATATGAAAGCAAAAAAGAGCCCACATTGCCAAGTGAATCCTAAGCCAAGAACAAAGCTGGAGGCATCACGCTACCTGACTTCAAACTATACTACAAGGCCACAGAAACCAAAACAGCCTGGTACTGGTACCAAAACAGAGATATAGACCAGTGGAATAGAACAGAGCCCCC
Organism: Homo sapiens; assembly: GCF_000001405.40. Taxonomy (NCBI): domain Eukaryota; kingdom Metazoa; phylum Chordata; class Mammalia; order Primates; family Hominidae; genus Homo; species Homo sapiens. The sequence continues at coordinate 76,913,882 of NC_000011.10, forward strand.
AGAAATAATACCACACATCTACAACCATCTGATCTTTGACAAACCTGACAAAAACAGGAAATGGGGAAAGGATTCCCTATTTAATAAATGGTGCTGGGGAAACTGGCTAGCCATATGTAGAAAGCTGAAACTGGATCCCTTCCTTACTCCTTATACAAAAATTAATTCAAGATGGATCAAAGACTTAAATGTTAGACCTAAAACCATAAAAACCCTGGAAGAAAACCTAGGCAATAGCATTCAGGACATAGGCATGGGCAAGGACTTCATGTCTAAAACACCAAAAGCATGGCAACAAAAGCCAAAATTGACAAATGAGATCTAATTAAACTAAAGAACTTCTGCACAGCAAAAGAAACTATCATCAGAGTGAACAGGCAACCTACAGAATGGGAGAAAATTTTTGCAGTCTACTCATCTGATAAAGGGCTAATATCCAGAATCTACAAAGAACTCAAACAAATTTACAAGAAAAAAACAACCCCATCAAAAAGTGGGCGAAGGATATGAACAGACACTTCTCAAAAGAAGACATTTATGCAGCCCAAAAACACATGAAAAAATGCTCACCATCACTGGCCATCAGAGAAATGCAAATCAAAACCACAATGAGATACCATCTCACACCAGTTAGAATGGCGATCATTAAAAAGTCAGGAAACAACACGTGCTGGAGAGGATGTGGAGAAATAGGAACACTTTTTACACTATTGGTGGGAGTGTAAACTAGTTCAACCATGGAGGAAGACAGTGTGGCGATTCCTCAAGGATCTAGATCTAGAAATACCATTTGACCCAGCCATCCCATTACTGGGTATATACTCAAAGGATTATAAATCATGCTGCTATAAAGACACATGCATACGTATGTTTGTTGTGGCACTATTCACAATAGCAAAGACTTGGAACCAACCCAGATGTCCATCAATGATAGAATGGATTAAGAAAATGTGGCACATATACACCATGGAATACTATGCAGCCATAAAAAAAGGATGAGTTCGTGTCCTTTGTAGGGACATGGATGAAGCTGGAAACCATCATTCTCAGCAAACTATCACAAAGACAAAAAACCAAACACTGCATGTTCTCACTCATAGGTGGGAATTGAACTATGAGAACACTTGGACACAGGGTGGGGAACATCACACACCGGGGACTGTTGTGGGGTGGGGAGGGATAGCATTAGGAGATATACCTAATGTAAATGACGAGTTAATGGGTGCAGCACACCAACATGGCACATGTATACATATGTAACAAACCTGCACGTTGTGCACATGTACCCTAGGACTTAAAGTATAATTTAAAAAAAGGAAAAATAAATAAATAAGTTAAAAAAAAAAGACAGCAAAAGAAGACAGAAAAAAAAGGCCCTTTTACCTTGATCCTAGGACTTTATGGGCTCGCCTCTTTCCCATGATACTTCCCTTAGGGTGGGCTTTCTCATGCCCCGTGCTTTCCTTACCCTTTGGAATTGAGCACGCGCAGTGTGTTCAGGGAGTTATACACATGCCCATCTGAGGCTTTCTTCCCTTTTCTGGTGGAGCGTACCCACCCCCCCGAGATCGTACTTCACCATTTTTGTCTCGATGTTAACAGGTGTGGACCATCCGGAAACAACCTCTCCCTGGCACCCCTACTGCTGAGAGAGGCAATGCGATAATTGCTGAACTATCACCCGACATTTCTAGTGGGTGGGGGGAGAGCCCTCCCCGGCCTCACTCATGCCTAACTACCTGTAACAGTATTAGTCCATTTTCACACTTCTATAAAGAAATACCTGAGACTGGGTAATTTATGAAGAAAAGAGGTTTCATTGACTCACAGTTCCACATGGCTGGGGAGACCTCAGGAACCTTACAGTCATGGAAGAAGGCGAAGGGGAAGCAAACTTGGACCTTTTCACATGGCAGCAGGAGAGTGTGTGCAAGCACAGGGAAAACTACCATTTGTAAAACCATCAGATCTTGTAAGAATTCACTCAGTCTCAAGAACAGCATGGGGGAACCACCCACATAATCCAATCACCTCCCACCAGATCCCTCAACACCTGGGGATTACAATTCAAGATGAGATTTGGGTGGGGACCCAAAACCTAACCATATCAAATATAGAAGGTATCTTTTGTGAGATTTTAACAGTAATAAATCATCTGCATTTTTAATAATTAAGGTTAATTTAGTCTAAATTTAAAATGCATTTTAAAGGTCTTATGCATTCATGATTTTTGACTGATGCATTTTAATTCTAAGTAAATGAAGAGTGAATGAAAAATTATACTGAAATTAGTTTGGGGTGAAGGATGAATCTGTTAAATTAATTTTGGGGAAAAGAATAACTTTATTACATCATAACTGAACCACATCTGAAATAATATCTATTAGGTTTTAAATACCTGTACTCTTGAAAATTTGGAACTAGTTTAATTTGCATGAGGGCAGTCTGTCTGGTTTTCTTTTGTATTCCTTTATAGAGCCTTTTGTAGTAGATGATCAGTGGGTATTTGCTATTGAATGAATATAAGGCCACTGCCCTCAAGAAATGTAACTGAGGAGATAAGTCATAAATATCAGTTGATCAGATTTAGTGAAAAGAGATCTGTCTATGCAAGGCAATCTATGCTAAGTGCCAGGTGAGAGGTTAAAACGGTTAAGTGCTGTAACAAGAGTGGTCATTTTGAGTAGGATGATTAACAAAAATTCACCAAATGTAGGTAGGATTTGATTTGGGCCCTTAAAGAAGTTTCGGTAAAAGTGGAGAGGAAGAAGGGATTATCAAAATAACCATTTTCAGATTATGTCATTTCAATAATGCCTCTTCATTACTGAACATAGTTTGGAAACTTTCCCTTTTTGACCTTTGAATAAATCAAAAATGTTCATTTCACCAACTATTTCTCTAGGGATTTCAAGACCCTGTTACTTACCTTGTTCTTCTCTGGCTCATGACTTCATCATGGTTATCTGTTTTAAATCTTTCTCAGTGTGCTCATCTTTGATCCTTCTCTAAAGCAGCATTTTAGACCTGTAAATGCTGTTTGTACAGAGTCATTCCCCTCCCCTGTAACCTCCCTCTTGTGAGGCCAGAGTTTACCTAAGCCGTATCTGATATGGAGCTCCCAAGTTCTTCTCTTAGCTCTTTACCACTGTGTACTTGGCCTTTCTTCCCAAACCTACAATGTACTTCCTCTTGAATTTAACATGAACATTTCCATTTTTACTGGGTCCCAATGATCATTACAAGCTCTGCTTAGTGAATGTGGGTTCCAGCAAACTGAAGACAAAAGGCCCCGACTTCTGGATGAAATGTTTCACCATAAACCTACCTAGACTGGAGGTCTTCCAGAAGCCATCTGCACAATTTCCCCCTTACCCAGGAAATGTTTCTGGGCAATATTGGTGGTTTAAAAATATTTTTAGTAATACTTACATGCAATAAAGTGAATGTGTAATGTATATTTTTAAAAATAATGTGAAAAAACTAATTTTCATAAATTAAATATTTTTCTAAACTATTATATATATCCCAAAGAAAATAGAATGACTTAGGGCAGCCACGGTGGCTCATGCCTGTAATCCCAGCACTTTGGGGGGCTGAGGTGGGAGGATCATTTCAGCTTAGGGGTTCGAGACCAGCCTGAGCAACATAAGAAGACCTCGTCAGTACAAAAAAACCAAAATATATATAATTGGCCAGGCGCAGTGGCTCATGCCTGTAATCTAAGCACTTTGGGAGGCCAAGGTGGGAGGATTGCTTGAGTCAAGTAGTTCAAGACCAGCATGAACAACATAGGGATACCTTGTCTCTACAGAAAAATTTTTTTTTAATTAGCCAGGAGTGGTGGCATATGCCTTTAGTCCCAGCTACACAGGAGGCTGAGGTGGGAGGATCACTTGAGCCCAAAAGGTCGAGGCTGCAGTAAGCCATGATTGTGCCACTGAACTCACTCTGTGCAACAGAGAGAGACCCTGTCTCAAAAAAAAAAAAAAAAGAAAGAAAAGAAAAGAAAATAGAATGACTCTTGTAGTAATAAAAATCCCACATTCCTGCATATCTTTTTATCTGTCAGAAGCATAGCTTAAGTGTTATCTTCTTACTGAAACCCATCTTGGATTCTCTCCCTCCCGCTAAGTGTATTGGTTTTTTTGCCTTCTTTGTTCCTATCACTCTCTTTTGCTAGTTGTTTACCTGTCTGTCTTTCCTGCTACACTTATATATACTTTTTCAGGATAGGTACCAAAGTTATTCACTTGTTAATTTTTCTTCTAGCTCCCAACTTAGTGCCTTGCATGTAGAAAATACTTGATAAATGTTTGTCAAATTGAATTACATTTGTGTTTATCATTTTTTAAAGTAAGACACACTTGGTTTCCTGTTTTTTTTTTCTTCTGATATCTATCTTAATTTAAAGCTACTGGAAGGAGTCCCTTGTACTGTAATATGCATTTATATGATGGTTATTATTATTATTTTTTTCTTTAAGCTTAGCGTGAACCAGTGTACCCTATAACTTTCTTTGTTACTGGCCTGGATTAGAAGACAAACCTTCTCCCTTGTGATAACTGTTCTTGAGCTGGTGCAAGTACCAACACAATTCCCAGGTTGCACCTATTTTTGTTCGTTTTTTACTTTTTATTTATATCATAAGTAGTTATGTGGGGTTTTTTTTCAACTTTTATTTTAAATTCAAGAGTACATGTGCAAGTTCACTATATAGATATTAATTCTTAACACAGCAAGATTGTGGAAGTTCTTATATAATATTCTATGGATCTTTCTCATATCAAATAATCTTTATATGTGTTATTTGGTCATATTTATTATTTATATCATATTCAATTATTTAAATAATGTAAATATAATTGTTTTTACCCATTTTGCAAGTTAGGAAACTAAGGCTTAAGCATAAATAAGTTGCCTAAGTTCACACAGCTAGAAGGTGGTAGTAGATAAGAACACAGTAATGCCTACTCTAAATTGTGAAGATGAATTTAGATGATCTCCCTATCTACATCCATCTCTGAAGTCTCTGAAGCTCTGGGAATGTTTAACATTATTTGAAGATCTGCATAATCAGTAAAATATTTGGCAAAATGAACTTGCATTGGGGAAAAGTGCTGGGTTGCTTTCAGGCTCAAACCAGTTACAGCTTTCATCAAGCTAATTTGCTGACTGGGCAGGACGGCTTTTCACAGTGGAAGTGAAGCAATATAGATCACTTTTTCAGCTTCACTAGATTTTAATGCTTCTATTTATTTATCTTTAGCTCTGGGTGATGGTTTTACAGTTGTAAATACAACCGAGCTCTAAATTGTTTATCCAGTCACCTCAGGGTTTTATGTATTCAGCCAAATGTTGGAAAACCGTTTAGATTGTGGAGCACACTGGCTCCACCTACTGTCCTATGAGAAAACACTTTCCTACTGTATCTTCATTCACAATTCTCTTAAATTGTACCCTTTTGCACATGTGCTTTTCCCCAAACTTTGTTTCTCATATTTTTGATATTTGAGTTTCCGTTTACCTTGCTGAAAGATAAATTTACCTATTAAGAAATCGTGAAATTACTGTAACGTCAGTCTTGCCTGTAATTTATATTATAAGGAGAATGTGTTTGGGGGTATAAAAATATCATAGTTTTCAAAAATCTAAATCTATATCAAAATAAGACTTTCCTTCCAGAAAAAAAGTGTTCAAAATATTTTAGTACACTATTGTGTGGTGTATGAATGAATATCTCGCTTTTATTTCCAGAACAGAAATTTTTTAATTGAATTTTCTGGAAGCAGTTAACCTCAAATCCAATTAAACTCTTAGTAGAAGTAATTTTATTTTCTACCATTCATCTTTTTAATACTTTAGTTTTCAGTTATAAAGACAATATAGCAACATTGTAGAAAATATGGAAAAAGGGGGAAATCCATTATTTAACCTGCTTAAATGTTTATTCTTAATTTCTTGGTTAGGGAACCCTCACCAACTATAGTTTTACCAAGTCATGATTGATGAAAACATAGTTTTATAATTGTGGTCGTTATCAATTTATTACTTCTTAGCTCTGAGTTCAACATTCATTGCATGGTTGGTGAAAATAGACCTGAGCCCTTTGAATATTTTCCTTTGACAACTGGCTGGATGTTAAATTTTGTCAATAGAGGGCGCCAGAGAGACATTGCAAGAGGAAGAGATTTTCCTTCCTGGTTCTGGTGTGCTGGCTTGGCAACTTCTCTGGCGCCAGCTCTTGCAGTCCAAGTGGCTTAATAGCTTCTGGCTCCTACAGTGCTGAGGCTTCCCCAGTGCCCACCTCTTAAAGCTTGGTCAGCTTCTGGTGCCAGGCTATTGCAGAACGTGGCTGTCAGCAGCACCTAGTGGTCAGTAGCATCCCCTGCCCACCTACCTCTCCGCTCTATGGGATTAGCTTTAGCTGGCACCCTAGAGGGCAGAGTTCTGACAAGTTCTGAACAGTAGATTTCAGCAAGCTCTATGGGTATAGCACCACAGCAACTTCTCGGCTATTCAGTGAACCATGGTCATGCCTTCTCCAGCAAGGTCTGCATCTCAGCCTTGGGGAAACCTCTTTTTTAATGCTCTATCTCAGCCTTAGGGGTAGTGGCTGCTCCTTACCTCTGATATTCCTTTATTCTGTAGAGTTTTCTTTACTTGTGACTAGCCTGTCTCTCCTTACTCTTATAAGTTAATAATTCTCTATTCAAATTACTCTGGTTTATCTTTTCTGATTGAACTCTTGACTTTTTTTTTTTTTTTTTTAACAGACAGAGTCTTGCTCTGTCACCCAGGCTGCAGTGCAGTGGTGTGATCATGGCTCACTGCAGCCTCAGCCTCCCAGGCTCAAGCGATCCTCCCACCTCAGCCTTCTGAGCAGCTAAGACCACGGGCAAGTGCCACTATGCCTGGCTAATTTTAAAAAATTTTTTGTAGAGATGGGTTCTCCTTATGTTGCCCAGGCTGGTGTCGAACTCCTGGGCTCAAGCAATCCTCCCCCCTTGGCTTTCCAAAGTGCTGGGATTATAGCCATGATCCACAATGCCTGGGCTGAAACCATTTTTTTACCCAAAGTTTTAAGTCCACGATCATTTTATGTGCATTATTTTGCTTAGTAAAATTAAATTAGCTAACATGTATAGCTATATAAGCTAAATTGCTTATTTACAAAGCAATTACATATCTATTATTCTTTAAATCAGCTTTTTAAAAGTAACCTTTTATTCTTTTTTCCTGACTTTACAGTCTTACCTGATTTATCAATTTTTTGCCTTTGTGGTTAATCCTTTTCATGTCCTACTGAAAAAAATCATTGCCTCTCCAAGGTGATAAAGATGTTCTCCCATATTTTCTTCTGAAGGTTTTATTGTGTTACCTTTTACATTTAGATCTATAGTACCTCTGGAATTTATTTTTAATTAAAACAAATTTTTAATTGTTTATCGAATTGGGCAGCCCTTGAACCAGAATGGGTTCAGAGAAGCTCCCATCTGGAATTTATTTTTGTGTAAGGAGTGTGAACCTGGGATCCAGATTAATTTTTTTCCTATATAAATATGCAGTTGATCCAGTATCTGTATTGAAAAGACCATCCTTTCCTTAATACACTGCAGGCTTATGTTTGTCATAAATCAGGTGCTCGTAAATGTTAGTATGTTCTTATAATCTTACCTGTTCTATTTAACCTTGTTAGTCGGCCTTGATATCTAGTAGTGTAAATACTCCAGGTTTGTTGTTACTCAAGATTGTCTTGGCTCTTCTTAGCCTTTTGTATTTCATATAAAGTTAAGAGTCAGCTTTTTAATTTGTACCCAAAACCATTTGGGATTTTTATTAGTATTATGTCTTATATGTCTTTGTCAGATTTATTCCTAGATATGTGATGTGTTTTGATGCTATTGCAAATTATATCTGTAACACCAAAACTGCAGTTACGTGTTCAGATTGTCAATCTGACCCAGGAATCCTTCAGATATTTGAAGATAGCAGTCATTCCATTCCTTATATGTTGTGTTTTATTTATTTAGTATATTATGCCTTTATATGAGTCTCTACTCTGAATGCTTTAGTATTTCTGTTTTGTTTAGGGTGCCACAAATAGATAAACATCCCAATGAGAAGCTGAATTAAAGCAGAGAAAAGTAGGAGGACCACTATCTAGCTCTTTCCATTTTTACCTCTGAATACTAGTATATTGAGATTTTCCTCCCAGAATAGCCTACTGTCATCTTTCTGTCTTTGGAACTTTCTGTCAGGGTTGTCCTTACTCTCTCTAACAAGCCTATATTTGTGGTTTGCAATTCTTCATTCTAATTTGTAAAACTTGTGCATTGTCCTTAAATGAGTTTCATATAGTTTGTAAGACCCTCCTGCACTCCCTGCCTCCAGGTAATTTGAAATGTATTACTGACTTCCATACTATTGACATTTCAGCTAAATTTAATACTACCTGTACGTTTGGGCATGTTTCCATTGCTTTATCTTAGTCATCAGTAAAGATTTTCATTAGTTTGAATCTTAGGGCACTCCTGAATGGTAAAATATTCAACATCTCCTACAGGTTTACTTAAAACTATTGATAACTGCTGTTTGGATATATAACTCTCAATCTGTCTGGCTCCCCACCTTACATTTTCATACTCTACCTAGGCAAATTACTTTATTCTTTGTACAGTTTGGAAGTCATTTAATATATTCTGAATAAAATACTCTGATATAATTTTTAAAACATTATAATTAATAAGCACCCTCTGTGTGAACATTGTGCTAGCACATCTAGTGAGAGGAACATTAGCTATAAGGACAGATAGACCTGGAATAAAATCTTGCCACCACCATTTGCTTATTGTGAGAACTTGGAATTGTATACTGTAAATTGTATAATTTCTTAACCCGCTTTTACTGTTTATTTTTAATAGGGACAACAATACTTCACAAGATTGGTTGTGAGAAGCAAGTAAGATAGCACATGTAAAATATAAAGTTCAGTACCTGGTACTTAATAGGCTCAGCATATTTTTGTTCCTTTCTCTCCTTTCAGGGTCTAGCTCAAATCTTAATACATCTATGAAACTATTCCCAACGATCTTACTCCCTCTCCTAAATGGTTTCTGTATTAATTTTTATTTTATCAAAGCAATATATAAAAAAAATTTAAAAATCTAGATAATGCTAAACAACTTTAACAAAACCAGAAGGCAATGTTCTTTCCCAACCCTTCTTTGCTTCCCACTGTCTAATTCTACTCCCCAGAAGCAAAATTAAAAAAAAAAACAAACCCAGCTTGATTGAGGTATAATTGAGATACAAAACAGACTGCACCTATTTAAAGTGTACAAATTAAAATTTGACATTGGCTTATACCTGTGAAACCATCAAAAACAAGATAGTAACATATCCTTCACCTCCAAGTTTTATTTTATTCCTTTGTAAGCCCTCCTTCTGCATTGAACTTCCACCATTTCTCCCCCAGCAACCACTGATCTTCTTTCTGTCACTGTAGATTAGTTTGCATTTTCTAGCCTTTTATATGATCTGTTTTAGTCCTTGTCTGCTAATTCTAACATCTGTTCTGGGTTGGTTCCAGTTGATTATTTTCCTCATGGATCATGTTTCTTGCTTTTTTTGTATGCCTGGTAATCTTTGATTGAATACCTGACATCGTGCTTTTTTTAACTTTGTTAGGTGCTGAATAACTTTTGTATTAGTATAAATAGTCTTGAATTTTGTTCTGGATTTCAGTGAAGCTACTTGGAAACAGTTTGATCCTTTTGGATTTTGCTTTTGTGATTTGTTAGGTGTGTCTGGAACAGGGTTCAGTCTAGTACTAGCTATTCCCTATTACTGAGGCCAGGCCTTCTTGATTCCTTTATCCAATGCCCAGTGTGATACAAATTTTACCATTTCAGCTTTTGGGAGTAGGCACTGTTTCTGGCTATGTGTGTACTGGCTATGTGTGAACACCTGGTACTGTTCCCTCTAATATTTTCACCATGATTCTTTCCTGGCTTCGACTAGTTTGCTCCTACACATCTGCTAATCAGTCTTCTGCTGAATAGTTAGGGGGCCCTTTATAGATTTCCTGAGTTCTTTCTCTCTAAAGTTGTCTCTCATATACTGTCTCCTGTGAAATCTAGTCACCTTGGTCTTCCTGAACTCCCCGCTTTGTTTCCTCATCAGGGAGCCTGCCAAGGTCCCGCTGGGTACTCCCTCCTTATGCTGTGGCTTGAGTACTCCAGGCAGTAAGGTAGGGGCAATCATAGGGGCCTCCATTTGTTTCTTGGTTTCTCGGGAATCATTGCCTGATGTCTATTGTCTTGAAAATAGTTGTTTCATATATTTTGTCTCCTCTCCCCTTCCCTCTGCTCCCCTCTTCTTCTTATTTCAGGTAAGAGGATAAATCTGGTTCTTGTTTCTTCATCTTGTGTGGAAACAGAAGTCTGACAATAACTGTGTTAACATTTATTTTATTTATTTATGTATTTATTTATTTATTTTTGTAGAGATGAGTCTCACTGTGTTGCCCAGGCTGCTCTAGAACTCCTGGGCTCAAGCGATCCTCCCACCTTGGTCTCCCAAAGTGCTAAGATTACAAGTGTTAGCCACTGCCCCTGGCCAGCTATTTTTTTTTTATTATTATTAATTTGGCTTCAGATTTCTGAATAACTTGCCTTACAGTCCTATTTCTGGATCTGTAAATTTAAGATATTGTCTGTTGTCTTCTAGTTTTGGTGGTTGGGGATTTCACTTTTTTATACCATCCCTGCTTTCCCCACTATATTTTCTCAATAAAGTCAGAGCATAATTTTTTACTAAATAAGTAGTTAGGATGTAACATCCATAATATCAATATGGCTATGTAAATAATGTGCACTGCTAAGCCAGATAGTGTACTCTATGGTAACATTTCTTTCTGTGTAGACTACTAAAAATACAAAAATTAGCTGGGCATGATGGCATGCACCTGTGTTCCCAGCTACTCAGGAGGCTGACACACAAGAATCTCTTGAGCCCAGGAGGTGGAGGTTGCAGTGAGCTGAGATCACGCCACTGCACTCCAGCCTGGGCAACAGAGGAAGACTCTGTCAAAAAAAAAAAAAAAAAAAACACCAAAAATTTGTCTACAGCAAATACATAGGGTTAATATTAATATCCCTTTTACAAGAAGGGCTCCTTCTTATAGAAAAAGGAAAGACCAATAGAAAAACTGGCAAAGGGCATGAAATACATTTCATAGGAGAAGAAATACAAAAGAAGATAAAATTATACCCATCCTTATTCATTGTAAAAGAAAGAACGATGCGTCCATGTTTTCTGTTACTACTTTTTGGGCCAATAGATTTATTTCTTGACTTGACAATCTCATTTTTGTGTATCTATTTTACAGATATACCTGCACTTGTAAATATATATGGTTATTCATTGCAGTATTACCTGCACTTGTAAATATATATGGTTATTCATTGCAATATTGCTTGTAATAGTGAGAATGGGAAATAACCTGAATGTTTACAGTTATAGAGGACTGGTTGAATGAGTTATAGTACAATTTTTCCAACACCTCTGTCAAATGCCCATTGGCATTTTTTCCCCAAAATTTTTTAATTTATCAAATTATCTATCCTTTTCTTCCTTTTCTTCTTGGAAACTTCTTTCCTGCAGTTCTTGGTTCTCCTGCCGCAGTTTGGATGGACTGTGTGGTCCCTGGTCCTTTTGTAGTCTTGAGCCTTTTCTTTACCTCTCTCCTGTGTTGCAGCCCATGTTTCTTAGCTCTCATGTCATCCTTTCTCATGGTCAGTTTCCTTGTTTGCACTCATTACATTCTCCAGTTGATTCCAGAAAAAGATATGTTGTAAGTATATTTTTTTAATCCTTGACTGTTTGAAAATGTTTTCTTCTACCCTCTCAGTGAATTGATTATTTGTCTTGATATTAGCATCTCTGCTGAAAATCATTCTTTTGAAATTTGGAAAATATTGTGCCCCTTTATTCTTCTGATAATCAAATTTATAAAATACTGTTTAGCCATTTCTTTCTCCATTTTATTTACTTATAAATTCTACTGGGGTTTTTTACTATTCCTTTGCTATTCATGTTTGCACTTTGTTTTTGTGAAGACAGGAGGAAAGATCAAATTAAGATCCATTAATTAGGCCTTCTATGTTTTACTAGAAACAGAAACTAGAAATTAAAACATTACTAGAAAATGAAATGTTAAAGAGACACACAAAATGTAAACTGCAATTTGTTGCTTTTTTATTCCAAGTAACAAAATTAAGCCAATCCTGTATTCATCATGTCATACTGCATCCATGGACCACAATTTCAGTGCATCAGTATAGGCTGCCTCCCCCAACCCATTTTCTGCTGTATCTCTGAGGTTCTTCCGGAGATCTTTTTCTTGCTTGCCTTTAGAAATTAGGATTTCCTTTAGTGGGTTTGCTGGTGGAAAATTTTTAGTTTCATTTGTCTGAAATATCTTTATTTTATTTGGATTATTGTGAGAAATTTTTGGTGAGTACAGAATTTTTTTTCAGCACCTTGAAAATATCTTCCCAATGTCTTTCTGAGAAGTTACTTGTGTAATTGTTGTTAAAGCCTACGTGAATGTATCTTTATTTAAAGTGTTATTGATTAACCTAAATGTCTTCTTATATTTTTCTCTTAAAGGGAATACAGTGAGTAACCTGATCATGATTATACCTCCAATGTTCGGTGCAGTTCAGAGTGTTAGAGACGGTCTGGAAAAGCGGTACATTGCTTCTTATTTAGCACTCACAGGTATGTATAACACTGTATCTGAAGAAATGTACAGTATTCAAATGGGCCATTTTTCTCATTCATTTCTAAAAGCGGTTTTCAATTTTGTGTTATTACATAACTTGAATATATTCTGAAACTTCTTAGTTAAAACTCCAAAAACCTTGCCAGTGAATTGAACTGCATTTTGAATAAAATGTTTTAGAAATTACAAAATATTTTAAGCATACAAAAAAGAATAGAGATAATATAACAAATATACCCACACATCTTACTACCCAGTTTTGTCAGGTCCTAACAATTTATAATATTTGTTTCAGATCTTTTTCTTTTTTAAGGAAATTACTACAGATAAAATTAAAACTCCTTTGTATTCCTCCCTGATTGTATCCCCCTCAGCCTCCCAGCCCATCCCCTAAGAGCTAGCCTCAATCCTGAATTTGATGCTTATCATTTTCTCATGTTTTCATGTTTATACTATGTATGTATATATCCTTAGAAGTATACATAGTATGGTTTTGCATAGTTTTAAACTTTTTGGAAAGGATACCATCCAACCTTTTGTGACTTACGTATATTCTACTTGTCTGTGAGGTGGAGGACTGTGTCTTAATGATCTTTGCGTCCCTATTGTCTGGCAGTTTAGTGTTCCTCAATAAGTACTGGATGGATGGGTAAATCAGCTATACCAGAGCCTAACGTAGTGAAATCACTTCTGTCTTCTGTCATGTTCTTGCATCATCATAATAAATAAAAAATACCAAATGAAGTAGATTCTTTCTAGTAGTTTCATTTCTTCATTTTCTATTCTGTTTTTTTTATTATTATTATACTTTAAGTTCTAGGGTACACGTGCACAACGTGCAGGTTTGTTACATATGAATACATGTGCCATGTTGGTGTGCTGCACCCATTAACTCGTCATTTACATTAGGTATATCTCCTAATGCTATCCCTCCCCCCTTCCCCCACCCCACAACAGGCCCTGGTGGGTGATGTTCCCCACCCTGTGTCCAAGTGTTCTCATTGTTCAATTCCCACCTATGAGTGAGAACATGCGGTGTTTGGTTTTTTGGCCTTGCGATAGTTTGCTGAGAATGATGGTTTCCAACTTCATCCATGTCCCTACAAAGGACATGAACTCATCCTTTTTTAATGGCTGCATAGTATTCCCTTGTGTATATGTGCCACGTTTTCTTAATCCATTCTATCATTGATGGACATCTGGGTTGGTTCCAAGTCTTTGCTATTGTGAATAGTGCCGCAATAAACATACGTGTGCATGTGTCTTTATAGCAGCATGATTTATAATCCTTTGAGTATATACCCAATAATGGGATGGCTGGGTCAAATGGTATTTCTAGTTCTAGATCCTCAAGGAATCGCCACACTGTCTTCCACCATGGTTGAACTAGTTTACAGTCCCACCGACAGTATAAAAGTGTTCCTATTTCTCCACATCCTCTCCAGCACGTGTTGTTTCCTGACTTTTTAATGATCGCCATTCTAACTGGTGTGAGATGGTATCTCATTGTGGTTTTGATTTGCATTTCTCTGATGGCCAGTGATGGTGAGCATTTTTTCATGTGTTTTTGGGCTGCATAAATGTCTTTTTTTGAGAAGTGTCTGTTCATATCCTTTGCCCACTTTTTGATGGGGTTGTTTGTTTTTTTCTTGTAAATTTGTTTGAGTTCTTTGTAGATTCTGGATACTAGCCCTTTGTCAGATGAGTAGATTGCAAAAATTTTCTCCCATTCTGTAGGTTGCCTGTTCACTCTGATGATAGTTTCTTTTGCTGTGCAGAAGCTCTTTAATTTAATTAGATCCCATTTGTCAATTTTGGCTTTTGTTGCCATGCTTTTGGTGTTTTAGACATGAAGTCCTTGCCCATGCCTATGTCCTGAATGCTATTGCCTAGGTTTTCTTTTAGGGTTTTTATGGTTTTAGGTCTAATATTTAAGTCTTTGATCCATCTTGAATTAATTTTTGTATAAGGTGTAAGGAAGGGATCCAGTTTCAGCTTTCTACATATGGCTAGCCAGTTTCCCCAGCACCATTTATTAAATAAGGAATCCTTTCCCCATTTCTTGTTTTTGTCAGATTTGTCAAAGATCAGATGGTTGTAGATGTGTGGTATTATTTCTGAGGGCTCTGTTCTGTTCCATTGGTCTATATCTCTGTTTTGGTACCAGTACCAGGCTGTTTTGGTTTCTGTAGCCTTGTAGTATAGTTTGAAGTCAGGTAGAGTGATGCCTCCAGCTTTGTTCTTTTGGCTTAGGATTGACTTGGCAATGCGGGCTCTTTTTTAGTTCCATATGAACTTTAAAGTAGGTTTTTCCAATTCTGTGAAGAAAGTCATTGGTAGCTTGATGGGGATGGCATTGAATCTATAAATTACTTTGGGTAATATGGCCATTTTCACGATATTGATTCTTCCTACCCATGAGCATGGAATGTTCTTCCATTTGCTTGTGTCCTCTTTTATTTCGTTGAGCAGTGGTTTGTAGTTCTCCTTGAAGACGTCCTTCACATCCCTTGTAAGTTGGATTCCTAGGTATTTTATTCTCTTTGAAGCAATTGTGAATGGGAGTTCACTTATGATTTGGCTCTCTGTTTGTCTGTTATTAGTGTATAAGAATGCTTGTGATTTTTGCACATTGATTTTGTATCCTGAGACTTTGCTGAAGTTGCTTATCAGCTTAAGGAGATTTTGGGCTGAGACGATGGGGTTTTCCAGATATACAATCATGTCATCTGCAAACAGGGACAATTTGACTTCCTCTTTTATTAATTGAATACGCTTTATTTCTTTCTCCTGCCTGATTGCCCTGGCCAGAACTTCCAACACTATGTTGAATAGGAGTGGTGAGAGAGGGCATCCCTGTCTTGTGCCAGTTTTCAAAGAGAATGCTTCCAGTTTTTGCCCATTCAGTATGATATTGGCTGTGGGTCTGTCATAAATAGCTCTTATTATTTTGAGATATGTCCCATCAGTACCTAATACCTAATTTATTGAGAGTTTTTAGCACGAAGGGCTGTTGAATTTCGTCAAAGGCCTTTGCTGCATCTATTGCGATAACCATGTGGTTTTTGTCTTTGCTTCTGTTTATATGCTGGATTACGTTTATTGATTTGCATATGTTGAACCAGTCTTGCATCCCAGGGATGAAGCCCACTTGATCATGGTGAATAAGCTTTTTGATGTGCTGCTGGATTTGGTTTGCCAGTATTTTATTGAGGATTTTTACATCGATGTTCATCAGATATATTGGTCTAAAATTCTCTTTTTTTGTTGTGTCTCTGCCAGGCTTTGGTATTAGGATGAGGCTGGCCTCATAAAATGAGTTAGGGAGGATTGCCTCTTTTTCTGTTGATTGGAATAGTTTCAGAAGGAATGGTACCAGCTCCTCCTTGTACCTCTGGTAGAATTTGGCTGTGAGTCCGTCTGGTCCTGGACTTTTTTTGGTTGGTAGGCTATTATTGCGTCAATTTCAGAGCCTGTCATTGGTGTATTCAGGGATTCAGGTTCTTCCTGGTTTAGTCTTGGGAGAGTGTATGTGTCCAGGAATTTATCCATTTCTTCTAGATTTTCTAGTTTATTTGCATAGAGGTGTTTATAATATTCTGTGATGGTAGTTTGTATTTCTGTGGGATCAGTGGTGATATCCCCTTTATCATTTTTGATTGCATCTATTTGATTCTTCTCTCTTTTCTTCTTTATTGATCTTGCTAGAGGTCTATTAATTTTGTTGATCTTTTCAAAAAACCAGCTCCTGGATTCTTTGATTTTTTGAAGGGTTTTTTGTGTCTCTATCTCCTTCAGTTCTGCTCTGATCTTAGTTATTTCTTGCCTTCTCTTAGCTTTTGAATGTGTTTGCTCTTGCTTCTCTAGTTCTTTTAATTGTGATGTTAGGGTGTCAGTTTTAGATCTTTCCTGCTTTCTCTTTTGGGCATTTAGTGCTATACATTTCCCTCTACACACTACTTAAATGTGTCCCAGAGATTCTGGTATGTTGTGTCTTTGTTCTCATTGGTTTCAAAGAACGTCTGTATTTCTGCCTTCATTTCGTTATGTACCCAGTAGTCATTCAGGAGTAGGTTGTTCAGTTTCCATGTAGTTGAGAGGTTTTGAGTGAGTTTCTTAATCCTAAGTTCTAGTTTGATTGCACTGTGGTCTGAGAGACAGTTTGTTATAATTTCTGTTCTTTTACATTTGCTGAGGAGAGCTTTACTTCCAACTATGTGGTCAATTTTGGAATAGGGGTGGTGTGGTGCTGAAAAGAATGTATATTCTGTTGATTTGGGGTGGAGAGTTCTGTAGATGTCTATGAGGTCCGCTTGGTGCAGAGCTGAGTTCAATTCCTGGATATCCTTGTTAACTTTCTGTCTCGTTGATCTGTCTAATGTTGACAGTGGGGTGTTAAAGTCTCCCATTATTATTGTGTGGGAGTCTAAGTCTCTTTGTAGGTCACTAAGGACTTGCTTTATGAATCTGGGTGCTCCTGTATTGGGTGCATATATATTTAGGATAGTTAGCTCTTCTTGTTGAATTGATGCCTTTACCATTATGTAATGGCCTTCTTTGTCTCTTTTGATCTTTGTTGGTTTAAAGTCTGTTTTATCAGAGACTAGGATTGCAACCCCTGCCTTTTTTTGTTTTCCATTTGCTTGGTAGATCTCCCTCCATCCCTTTATTTTGAGCCTATGTGTGTCTCTGCACATGAGATGGATCTCCTGAATACAGCACACTGATGGGTCTTGACTCTTTATCCAATTTGCCAGCCTGTGTCTTTTAATTGGAGCATTTAGCCCATTTACGTTTAAGGTTAATATTGTTATGTGTGAATTTGATCCTGTCATTATGATGTTAGCTGGTTATTTTGGTCGTTAGTTGATGCAGTTTCTTCCTAGCATTGATGGTCTTTACAATTTGGCATGTTTTTGCAGTGGCTAGTACCAGTTGTTCCTTTCCATGTTTAGTGCTTCCTTCAGGAGCTCTTTTAGGGCAGGGCTGGTGGTGACAAAATCTCTCAGCATTTGCTTGTCTGTAAAGGATTTTATTTCTCCTTCACTTATGAAGCTTAGTTTGGCTGGATATGAAATTCTGTGTTGAAAATTCTTTCCTTTAAGAATGTTGAATATTGGCCCCCACTCTCTTCTGGCTTGTAGAGTTTCTGCTGAGAGATCAGCTGTTAGTCTGATGGGCTTCCCTTTGTGGGTAACCCATCCTTTCTCTCTGACTGCCCTTAACATTTTTTCCTTCATTTCCACTTTGGTGAATCTGACAATTATGTGTTTTGGAGTTGCTTTTTTTTTTTTTTTGACAGAGTCGCACTCTGTCACCCAGGCTGGAGTGTAGTGGTACAATCTTGGCTCACTGCAGCCTCAACCTCCCAGGTGCAAGCGATCCTCCTACCTTAGCCTCCCAAGTAGCTGGGACCACAGGCGTATGCCACCATGCCTGGCTAATTTTTGTATTTTTTTGTAGAGACAGGATTTCGCCATGTTGCCCAGGCTAATCTCAAACTCCTGAGATCAAGCAATCTTCCTGCCGTGGCCTCCCAAAGTGCTGGGATTACAGGTGTGTGCCACTGTGCCTGGCCTTATTTATTTTTTATAACTCTCTAAAGTCTCTTTCTTTTGTTTTAGCTCATGGTGAGTATTTCCACATTGACAGAAAGGACTTCTAATTATCCCAAAACTGTAAGCTATAGTGAATCATGTCAGATTCTACCTTAGATTATTTATTAGATATGAGAGACTTTAATTTCACAATCTGTTGCTCATATGCATTTTAAGAAAGTTACTTGATTATCTTCAAAAGGAAGACTTGTCTACAGACTTATCCCTTTGCTTTTTTTCTGGGGTGTTTTCATAATGTTTATAAAACATGGACAGATCACAATCTGTAACAACAATAAGAACAAAAAGACCTGAGGGACTTCCAGTTGCCCTAGGATAATGGTGGCCTCCTAAGCTGGAGTTTGTCCACTTATTCTCCCAGAAAAACATAGAGATTAATAAGGAAAACAAATAGAACTACGTGCAACCCACACTTTCAGCCTTACTAGGAGAAACAGTATTATGACCTTCAATTTATTTTAAAATAAGAAATAAACACCAAGTTCCAACAGAACTGTTTTCAGTGTTTCAGACTTGGAGATGTTTGAAAAACTATATGGAAAAGAGAAGAGAGGACTCAAGGGCCTAATTCTGACAAAAGTAGCAATAGAAAGATAAAACTCCACAATAAAGGCAGAATCTATGAAAGCAGTCTAAGATCTGGTAGATCACAGTACTGTCTAAAGGTAAAGGCCTTGAAAGTGTGTCAGACCAAAGGTGGCAGTTTTGGAAAGGCATCACTTCTGGGAAAGAGATAAGTAGAAAGGGGGAGGTGCCCTTTGGAGATGCGTTAGTGAAAGGAAAGAAGAACATTAAGGGGAATTAAGATCCTACCTAAAACAAAGAATTACAAAACACATCAACCTCTTCTCCCTTCACTGCTTCCCCAAATATATACGTATTTCATATATATATATATATATATGAAACTTCACTATTCTGACTGAAGTGGGCAGTCTTGAATTAGAAATCTTTTTTTTTTTTTTTAGCACATACTTATAATTTTTATTTTTTTTATTTTTTTATTTTTTTTATTGATCATTCTTGGGTGTTTCTCGCAGAGGGGGATTTGGCAAGGTCATAGGACAATAGTGGAGGGAAGGTCAGCAGATAAACAAGTGAACAAAGGTCTCTGGTTTTCCTAGGCAGAGGACCCTGCAGCCTTCCGCAGTGTTTGTGTCCCTGGGTACTTGAGATTAGGGAGTGGTGATGACTCTTAACGAGCATGCTGCCTTCAAGCATCTGTTTAACAAAGCACATCTTGCACCGTCCTTAATCCATTTAACCCTGAGTGGACACAGCACATGTTTCAGAGAGCACAGGGTTGGGGGTAAGGTCATAGATCAACAGGATCCCAAGGCAGAAGAATTTTTCTTAGTACAGAGCAAAATGAAAAGTCTCCCATGTCTACTTCTTTCTACACAGACACAGCAACCATCTGATTTCTCAATCTTTTCCCCACCTTTCCCCCTTTTCTATTCCACAAAACCACCATTGTCATCATGGCCCGTTCTCAATGAGCTGTTGGGTACACCTCCCAGACGGGGTGGCTGCCGGGCGGAGGGGCTCCTCACTTCCCAGACGGGGCGGCTGCCGGGCGGAGGGGCTCCTCACTTCTCAGATGGGGCGGCTGCCGGGCGGAGGGTCTCCTCACTTCTTAGTCGGGGCGGCCGGGCAGAGACGCTCCTCACCTCCTAGACGGGGTCGCGGCTGTGCAGACGTGCTCCTCACATCCCAGACGGGGCGGCGGGGCAGAGGCACTCCCCACATCTCAGACAATGGGCGGCCGGGCAGAGACGCTCCTCACTTCCTAGATGGGATGGCGGCCAGGAAGAGGCACTCCTCACTTCCTAGATGGGAGGGCGGCCGGGCAGAGACGCTCCTCACTTCCTAGATGGGATGGCGGCCGGGCAGAGACGCTCCTCACTTTCCAGACTGGGCAGCCAGGCAGAGGGGCTCCTCACGTCCTAGACGATGGGCAGCCAGGCAGAGACACTCCTCACTTCCCAGACGGGGTGGCGGCCGGGCAGAGGCTGCAATCTCGGCACTTTGGGAGGCCAAGGCAGGCGGCTGGGAGGTGGAGGTTGTAGCCAGCCGAGATCACGCCACTGCACTCCAGCCTGGGCACCATTGAGCACTGAGTGAACGAGACTCCGTCTGCAATCCCGGCACCTCGGGAGGCCGAGGCTGGCGGATCACTTGTGGCTAGGAGCTGGAGACCAGCCCGGCCAACGCAGCGAAACCCCGTCTCCACCAAAAAAATACGAAAACCAGTCAGGCGTGGCGTGCGCCTGCAATCGCAGGCACTCGGCAGGCTAAGGCAGGAGAATCAGGCAGGGAGGTTGCAGTGAGCCGAGATGGCAGCAGTACAGTCCAGCTTTGGCTCGGCATCAGAGGGAGACCGTGGAAAGAGAGGGAGAGGGAGACCGTGGGGAGACGGGAGAGGGAGGGAGACCGTGGAAAGAGAGGGAGAGGGAGACCGTGGGGAGACGGAGAGGGAGAAGGAGAGGGATTGAATTAGAAATCTTGTAAGCCACTTAAAATCTTTACTCTCTCTATAAAATAGACCCCCCAACATGCAGCCTATTTCCATGTAAAATTAGGGTAAAAACAGAAAATGAGAATCAAAACCATTTGCGTGATAGAATTTCTTCTCCACAACAAACTGTGAAACAGAAGGAAGATGTAATACAATACTCCTAACTGAATTAAGTTGCCTCAAACAAAGAAATGAATCAAAAATTTAAAAACTAATAACAGAAATAGCTCAATTCCTCTCCTCAAAAAAGACGAAACAAAATTAGAATTCATCGAACTTAATAAAGAAATTAAGACTAAATTACAGTGTGCTTGAGGGAGAGTAGAGTCTACTGAATATTTAATAGGGGCTGTTGTAGAAAGTCAGAGAAACAAGCAAGAAAATTAAAAGGAGATAAAGAAATAAAAAGGGTCAGAGAGAAAAGGATTGAAATGGAAGACAAGCAGAAAAGATCCAACGTGCATATAATTGGAGTCCCTAGGTGGCATGGGGGAAACCAGTGGAACATAATTATATTTAAAATTATAATTCAAGACAACTTTCTAGAAATGAAAAAAGACTTTAATATGTATATTGAAAGGTCCAATTTTGCCTGGTAAACTGATTTAGAATGATCAATTTTGAGATAGAGCCTAGTAAAACTATTGGATTGTAAAAATGAAATTATTGTCAAAGCTCTTGGAAATAAGCCTTGATTACTTACAAGGGACCGAAAATTAGACTGGCATCAGACCTTATCAGTAATATACAAAGAAAATACCAGTGGAGCAGCATTTTCTAAAAAAATGAAGAGGAAGTATAAGCCAAGTATTTTATATTCCAACCAGGTTGTTCTCTAGGTGCTCTAGTTATAGAAAAACAGTTTTAAACCTACAAATACTCATTGAATACTGTACACATGACTGCTTCCTGATGAATCTACTATTACTGCACTGTTCAATTTAGTAGCTGCTAGTCATATGTTGCAATTTAAATTAATTACATTTAAATAAAATGTAAAATTCAGTTCCTTTGTCACACTAGCCACATTTCAAGTGTTCAATACCCACATATGGCTTGTGACTACTATATTGGGCAGTGCAGATATAGAACATCTTCATTACTGCAGAAAGTTCTACCAGCCACACTGTACTAGAATGTCCATCCAGTCATGAGTACTGAAAAAGGCTTAATGCAAAAATAATTCCTAAAACAACAACAAAACACCCTGCATTAGTTTGTTTTCATGCTGCTGATAAAGACATACCCAAGACTAGGAAGAAAAAGAGGTTTACTGGACTTACGGTTCCACATGGCTGGGGAATCATGGCCTTACAATCATGGCAGAAAGCAAGGAGGAGCAAGTCACTTCTTACATGGATGGTGGCAGGCAAAGAGTAGATTCGAATTAGAATAGTATAGCACTGATATTCCAATAGACCATACAGTAGAGTTTTTAAAAAGTACAGAAATAGACCCAAACCTATATTGGGGTTTAGTATTAATAAAGATGACATCTCTAGTCACTGGGGCAAAGATGATGTGTTTTAATAAATGATGCTGAGGAAAAGAATTGGATGTGTGCCTTATACATAAGAATAAATTCTAAATTGATAAGAAGGCTAAAAGTAAAAATAAAAATCTTCCAACTACTAGGAGAAAACGTGTGTGCATTCTTACATGGGGAAGAATCTTTGGGAAAAGACTTTCTATGATTCAAAATTCAGGTATAAGAAAGGAAAAGGTTGACAAATTATGTAAAATAAAAAAAACTTTTGTTATATAACATTTACGTTGTATTAAAAAATAAAGTCGCTTTTGCATGACAAAAAATAGCATAAGCAAACTCAAAAGCAAAAGGCCACATGGTAAAAATATTCACAAGAAAAGGTTTAATATCCCTAATATACAATTTTTCTTTTCTTTCTTTCTTTCTTTTTTTTTTTTTTAAGACAGAGTCTCGCTCTGTCGCCCAGGCTACAGTGCAGTGGTGCAATATTTGCTTGCTGCACCCTCCCCCACCTGGGTTCAGGCAGTTCTCCTGCCTCAGCCTCCCGAGTAGCTGGGATTACAGAGTGCACCACCATGCCCAGCTAATTTTTGTATTTTTAGTAGAGATGGGATTTCCCCATGTTGGCCAGGCTGATCTTGAACTCCTGACCTCAAGTGATCTGCCCACCTCAGCTTCCCAAAATGTTGGTATTACAGGCATGAGCCACTGTGCCCGGCCAATAATTTTAAGCATTGAATTATAAAAAGATGAAAAATTCAATAGGAAAACGTGGTCAAATACAGAAAATTCTCCAAGAAAGATATAAAAAATAGCTCACAAGTATAAGAAAAAATATTCAGTTTACTTAATAAGAGAAATGCAAATGAAAACTACACTGATACATTATTTCTCATTTATTAGATGGGCAAAGTGTCAGACTCTTGACAACACTATTTTGGCAAGGCTGTGGGAGAAATAGGCATTCTTCTTGCATTGCTGATGAGAACACAAAGTTTTTGAAGCTGAATTTGGCAATATCTGACAACTATATATGCATTTATCGTTTGACCCAACAATCACACTTCTAAGAATTTACTGTGAAGATATGCCATCAACAGTTCAAAATTAAATGTACACAAGGTTACTGTAGTAGTATTTGTAATTACAAAATAATGTGAACAGACTTACAAAAATTGGTTGAATAAACTGGTATATGTACATCACAAGTACTATGAAGATGTAGAAAGGATGAGAAGTGTCACTGAACTGATATGGATATGTTAAGTAAGTAAAAGATGAGAATGTAAAATAATATTTAAAAAGTTGGTATACAACTTTTTTGCTAGTAAAAAGAAAATATACACATTACTTATTTTTTCAAAAAGAAATAAGATGAACCAGAAAATAATGAAACTGTCTACTGCAGGGGGTGGATAGAAATGGTGTGGAAAAGATAGAGGAGAGAGTGACACTTCTGAGTATGTATGTTTGTATTTTTATTTCAAAAGTATGTTATTATTTCACATATTCAAAAATGTAACTAGATTATCCAGACTAAATCTGATTAACTTTTGAAATAGTATTATTATTACATATCCTCAATCTGAAAACAAAAGAAAACCTCGCTTTCCTACGTTTATTTACTATATGTTTATTGTTGGTAGTGGTATGGGTATAGCAATTCTGAAGCTGTCTTTGTATGCATCTTAGGATTTTGTTTTTTGGGGTTGTTTGTTTGTCGTGGTTGTTGTTTTGAGACAGGTTCTCACTCTCCTGCTCAGGCTGGAATGCAGTGGTGCAATCACGGCTCTCTACAGCCTTGACCTCAGGGCTCAAACAATCCTCCCACCTTGGTCTTCCTAGTAGTTGGGACTTCAAGCATGCATCACCATGCCTGGTTAATTTTTGTATTTTTTTGTAGAGATGGGGTTTCACCATGTTGCCCAGGCTGGTTTGGAACTCCTGGGCTCAAGCGATTCGCTCACGTTGGCCTGTCAAAATGCTGAGATTACAGGCTTGACCCATTGCATTAGAAAAGCAAATGAAAAACTTTTTTTTGAGACAGGGTCTTGCTCTGTCACCTAGGCTGGAATGCAATGGTACTATCACGGCTTACTGCGGCCTCAACCTCCCAGGCTGAAGCAATCCTTCCACCTCAGCCTCTGAAGTAGCTGGGACTACAGGTGCGCACCACTACACCCGGCTTACTTATTTATTTATTGGTAGAAACAGGTCTCCCTATGTTGCCCAGGCTGGTCTTGAATTCCTGGCCCCAAGAAATCTTCATGCTTCAGCCTCCCAATGTGTTCAGATTACAGGTGTGAGCCAGCATGTCTGGCCTTGAAAACCTATATTGATATTGTTAGGAGCTAGGATTCTCACTGTGGAAGAAGGGAGATACAGATTTGGATGAGCGAAGGCAAGGAAAAAACCCTGTGGTACTGGATTGGAGTTAGAGGTATCAGCATGATTTTTTTTATTGATTTCAAATGCTCTATTGTCTGAAAGGGCCTGGGAGCAATGACGGCTTAGTAGCAATGAACATACCTATTAATAGTGCTAGACTTTGGTTTTTAAGTCTTTCTGCACTGAAAGGAACCAAAACTTCGTGGAGAAGTGGCCCATTTTTGGGCTAAGGCAGGGAAAGTACAAGATAAGCCTGGAACATCTTGTCAGAAAGTAAGAAAGTGCTAAAAAAAATGAAGGAATCATGTCAAAGTAACACAGAAGGCAGTTTGGCCAAACCAGGACAATCTGAACTTAATAATCTGAAAAATAACAGTAATAGATTTTAACATGTGGTATAAAAAAAATCCATGAGTTCCTATGATTCTAAAAAACACAAATGGGGTGAGAAGAGAAAGCTTAAAAAAAGTAGAATGCCAACTAATAAATGTAAACAGAATGATAAAATAACTGATTTAGGCAAGAGTCATCAGTGAATATAAAACTATTTGGTCAGAGTGTTTGGTCAACAAGATAATTACAACTTCACAGTATCTCCTCACAGATTACTCATTATTTACAAAGGGAAGAATGTTAACAGTGGGGAAATCTGGCAGATACCATCTTGTTTTCAAGTAATCAAAGTTAACCGCATTAATAATGGTACATTCAGCCTGGGCAACATAGTGAGACCTTGTCTTTGCAAAACAAAAATCTTTTAAATTAGACAGGCATGGTGGTGCATGCCTGTAGTCTCAACTAGTCAGAAGGCTGAGGCAGGAGGATTCCTTGAGTCGAGGAGGTAGAGGCTGCAGTGAGCCAGGATTGTGCTGCTGCACTCTAGCCTGGGTGACAGAGTGAGATGCTATCTCTAAAAACAAACAAACAAAAACAAAGGTACAAACTGACAGCAGGTTCTTCCTGGTGTGATATACCAAAAAGGAAACATCATTATACAGTATTATTGCCAAAAGTGCTGAATGAAATTAAGAGAATATAACCAGAAAAAAACAAATTGAGGAGCAATTTATAAAACAACTGTCCTGTGTGCTTCTAAAATGTTAGTGTCATGAAAAACAAATAATTCATCTTGAATTGTTCCAGATTAAAAGAGACAAGACGGCTAAATGCAATATGTAATCACAGATTAGATTCTGGGTTGGGGCATGAGGGGAAGAAGCTCTACAGGGACAATATTGGATGAATCAGTGAAAGTTGAATAAGGACTTTATAATAGATAGTAATACTACATTAATGATAAATTTCCTGAATTTGCTTATTATAATATGATCATGTAAGAGAATGTCCATGCTTAGGAGATACATCCTGAAGTATTTAGAGGTAAAGAGTCATGCTCTCTGCAACTTACTTTCAAATAGTTGAGCAAAATAACAATATGTTTATTGCTTTATTTTAGATACTTAAATTTTTTTTTTTTAAATAGAGATGGGTTCTCACTATGTTGGCCTGGGTTGGCCTTCAACTCCTGGCCTCAAGCAGTCCTCCCACCTCAGCCTCCCAAAGTGCTAGGATTACAGGCATGAGCCACCGCACCCAGCCAACTTTTTAAATATATTGAGAGATAAAGATAAAATGCAAAATGTTAATAATGCGTAAACCTAATTTAAGGTTGTATAGGAGTTCATTGTAATACTTTTGTAACTTTTTTTTCTAAATGGGAAATGGGTTAAAATATTTTTAAAATAAAATGTGTAATTGTTTTAAAAGAATTGTTGAACATTTTAAAAGATTTATTGGTATACTATCATCAGCTATAAGTACATATAGACAATAGTATGTATAGTCTATAGTATACCAAGCAACTTAACAATGAATGAGAGTTTTGGAATAAGTAAAGCTAGGAACAGAAGTGGGTAGCGATTATAGGAGTATTTTTCTGACTTAACAATCCTTCTCTTCTTATCCACCAACTGTGGTGGTAAATGACTTCTTCCTCTGTGCTACTTCTATACCTTATTCTTACTTTTTGGATTGCACTTATATCACTGTATGTGGTACTGTCATAATCTGTTTTTAAGTATCCGTCCCTTCTATAAGACGAAGCTTCCTAAAAGTAGGGTTGAGTTTTATTCTTTTGGATTTTCTGCATTCAGCAATACCTGGTACAAACTAAACACATGGGAATGTTCGATGGATAAGTGAATGAAAAAAATGAATGCTTTATTTTAAACACCTCTAAACATTAGGCAAATTTTGCTAAAACTTCTTATATTCTTGTTTGAATTTTACACTGAGTTAAGTCTCCCCACCAAATATGTGTGTGTATAAACACACACACACACACACACACACACACGCACACACACACGCACACAGAAAGCAGGGAAGAGAAGGGGAGAAGAGAGAGGAACACAACTTTACCTGGAAACAGAGATTTTATTTCAAATCAAGGATATTTGCTGAATACCGTAACAAGATTTTCAGTTTTTTATTTTTTGACAAAACCCCATAACAACTGCTTAACTGATATGCACTTAGTTGTTGGTGTTGAAAGAGATTTTGTAGAAAGAAGTGGGAATTTCGGCTTTGTGGAGAAATATTTCAGAAACAGACAATAATTTATGAGGTTTCTGGTTTAGAGCATAGATCCACTAAGAATTTAGTCATTTTAAAATTTATTTGAAAAATATTTACTGAATATCTATTATGTGCTAGTTATAATTCTCAAAACCAGTGTTCATTGGAGCTTATAGTCTAGCATGGGGAGACAGAAATTAATTAGATAATTTTAATTTTTTATTTTTATTTATTATTATTTTTTGAGACAGAGTCTTGCAGTGTAGTTTGAAGTCAGGCAATATGATGCCTCCAGCCTGTTCTTTTCACTTGAGGCAATATGATGCCTCAGCCTTGTTCTTTTCTCTTTCACTTAGGATTGCTTTGGCTATTCTGCCTCTTTTTTGGTTTCATATGAACCTTAGAATAGGTTTTTTCTAATTTTGTGGAAAATGATGATATTTTGATAGGGATTTCATTGAACCTGTAGATTGATTTGGGCAGTATGATCATTTTAATGATATTAATTCTTCCAATCCATGAGCATGGGATGTTTTTCCATTTGTTTGTGTCCTCTACAATTTGTTTAATCAGTGTTTTGTAATTTTCCTTGTAGAGCTCTTTTATCTCCTTGGTTAAATATATTTCTAGGTATTTTATTATTATTATCATTATCATTATTTAACTATTATAAATGGAATTGCTTTCCTGATTTGGCCCTCCAATAGATCATTGTTGGTTTATAGAAATACTATTGATTTATGTACATTGATTTTGTATCCTGAAACTTTACTGAATTCATTGATCAAATCTGAGAGTTTTTTTGGTGGAGTCTTTAGGATTGTCTGGATATAAGATTATATAGTCAGCAAACAGGGCTACTTTGACTTCTTCTTTTCCAATTTGGATGTCTTTTATTTTTTTCTTTTGCCTGATTGCTCTGGCTAGAACTTCCACAGTATATTGAATAAGAGTGGTGAAAGTGGGCATCCTTGTCTTGTTCCAGTTCTTAGAGGGAATGCTTTCAACTTTTCCACATTAAGTATGATGTTGGCTATGGATTTGTTGTATCTGGCCTTTATTATGTTGATATATGTTCCTTCTATGCCTTGTTGAGGATTTTTGTTATGAAAGGATGTTGAGTTTTAATGGATTTTTTTTTGCATCTATTGAGATGATCATATGGTTTTTGTTCTTCATTCTTTTTATGTGATGATTTGCATTTATTGATTTGCATATGTTGATTTTTGTATTTGCATATGTTTAACTATCCTTGCCTCCCTGGGATAAATGCCACTTGATCATGGTGTATTATGTTTTTGATGTGCTGTTGGATTTGATTTGTTAGTATTTTGTTGAGGTTTTTTATGTCTATGTTCATCAGAGATATTGGTCTGTAGTTTTCTTTTTTGTTTTTGTGTCCTTGTCTGGTTTTGGTATCATGGTGATTCTGGCTTTGTAGAATTAAGAAGAATTCCCTCCTCTTTGATTTTTTGGGTTAGTTTCAGGAGTATTGGTATTAGTTCTTCTTTGTATGTTTGGTAGAACTTGGCTGTGGATCCATCTACTCCTAGACTTTGTTTTGTTGGGAGATTTTTTTTAAATCACTGATTCAATCTCACTAGTAATTATTGATCTATTCAGGAGTTTCATTTCTTCCTGGTTTAGTTTGGGGAGGTTGTATGTTTCCCAGAATTTATCTATTTCCTCTAGGCAGAGTGAATAGTTGTTTATAATAGTCTCTGATGATCTTTTGTATTTTTGTGGTATCAATTGTAATGTCTCCCTTTTCATTTCTGATTTTTATTTGGATCTTCTCTCTTCTTGGTTAGTCTAGCTAGTGGTTTATCAATCTTGTTTATCTTTTCAAAGAACCAACTTTTCATTTTGTTGATCCTTTGCTTTTTTTGTTTGTTTCATTTATTCCTGCTCTTATCTTTGTACTTCTTTTCTTCTGCTAACTTTGGGTTTGGTTTGTTCTTGTTTTTCTAGTTCCTTGAGGTGTGACATGAATTGTTAATTTATGATCTTTCTACTTTTTTGATGTAGGGATTTAATGCTATCAACTTCCCTCTTAGCACTGCTTTTGCTGTATACCACCAGTTTGGGTGTGTTGTTTCCATTTTCATTTATTTCAAAAGATTTTAAAATTTCTATCTTACTTCCTTCATTGGACTAGCGATCATTCAGAAGCATGTTGTTTAATTTCTGTGTGTTTGTATAGTTTCCAGAGTTCCTTTGGTAGTGATTTCTAGCTTTATTCCACTGTGATCTGAGAAGATACTTAATACGATTTTGATTTTTTTAAAAATTTTAAGACTTATTTTGTGGCCTAACATGGTATATCTTATACAGTGTTCCATGTGGTGATGAAAATAATATATATTCTGTAGTTGTTGGGTAGAATGTTCTGTAAATATCTGAAAAGTCCATTTGGTCTAAAGTCCAATGTTTCTTTGCTAATTTTATCTTGATGATCTATCTAGTGCGGTCAGTGATGTGTTGAAGACCCCCCCCCCCACTATTATCATATTGCTGTATACTTCTTTCTTTAGGTCTAATAATACTTGTTTTGTGAATTTGGGTGCTCTGATGTTGGGTGCATATATATTTAAGATTGTCATATTCTCTTGCAGAATTGATACCTTTATCATTATATAATGACCTTTGTCCTTTTTTTTTTTTTACTGTTTTTGATTTAAAGTCTATTTTATCTGATATAAGTATAGTTATTCCTGTGCACTTTTGATTTCTGTTTTCATAGAATGTCTTTTTCTACCCCTTTACTGTCAGTCTATATGTGTCTTTATAGGTAAGGTGAGTTTCTTGTATGTAGATATAGCTGGATCATGCTTTCTAAAATCCATTCTGTCAATCTATATATTTTAAGTGGATCATTTAATCCATTTACATTCAAGGTTAATATTGATATGTGAGGCTTTGTTCCTGTCCATTGTTAATTGTTTTCTAGTTGTCTTTTTGTCTTTGTGGTTTAATGAAATTCTATTGTGTTCACATTTGATTCTTTTCCTCCTTTGTGCAATTGTTTTATAAGACTTATGAGTTTTATATTTTCATGTGTTTTCAGGATGGTGGTTATTGACCTTTCGTTTCCATGTTTTAGACTCCTTTGAGTATTTCCTGAAGGACCAGTCTAGTGGTAACAAATTCTCTCTGTGTTTGCTTCTCTGGGAAAGACTTTATTTTGCCTTTATTTGTGAAACTTATTCTGGCAGGATATAAAATTTTTGGCTGATTCTTTTTTCTTTCAGCACTTTGATAATGCCATTCCATTCTCTTCTGGCCTGTAAGGTTTCTATTAGAAAGTCTGCTGTTAGTTTGATGGGGTTTCCTTTATATTGACTAGATGCTTTTCTCTTACTAATTTTAAAATTCTTTCTTTTACTTTGACTTTTGACATTCTGAATATAATATGCCATAGTGATGTCCTCTTTGCAGTGTATTTGCCTGGGGATTGCTGGACCTCCTGAATCTGGATGTCTAACTCTCTTGCTTGACTTGGAAAGTTTTTATTGACTATTTCCTTAAATATGTTTTCTGAACTTTTTGATCTCTCTTCCCCATTGGAATACTGATAATTTATAAGTTCAGTCATTTTATGTAGTCCCAGATGTCTTGAAGGCTTTGTTCATTCTTTTTTATTATTTTTTTCCCCTATTTTTGTCTGATTGGATTATTTCAAAAGACCTGTCTTCAAGTTCTGAGATTCTTTCTTCTGCTTGGTCTAGTCTATTATTGAAGCTTTTAAATGTATTTTGTTGTTTTTTTTTCAATGGATTTTTCATTTCCAGAATTTCTCTTTGGTTTTTGTTTAAGATATTTATCTCTTTGGTAAATTTCTCATTTATATCCTGAATTGTTTTTCTGATTTATTTGTATTGGTTCTCAGATTTCTCCTGTATCTCATGGAGCTTCTTCAAAATCAATATTTTGAATTTTTTATCTGGCATTATTTTTGGTTGGGATCTGGTGCTGGACAACTGTTGTGGTCCTCTGATGGTGTCAGTTTCCTGCTTGTTCATGTTTCCCATGTCCTTCCGTTGATATCTAAACATCTGGTTTAGTATTCACTTGTTCCAATTTTTTGAAATTGCTTTTGCAGGGCAGAATTTTTTCCTGAAGATAGATATATGTTGTTGGTTGAATAGGATGCTTTGGCTTTGATTTTGGGTGCCTGCAGTAGTGTGATCTTTGTATGACTTCTTTGGCAGTACACGGGTTCAGTGGTATCTGTTATTTCCTCTGTGGCTTAGGGTATAGTTAGATGAGGCTGTGGTGAAGTTTTGCTGGGGGCTTGGACACCCGCTGAGCCAGTATTCATACCCCACTGGTGGCAGAAGTAGGCTGTGTGTCAGTTTTTAGTCTCCAAAGCAGCATACGCTGGCACCAGTGTTAGTGGGTACTGGAGGGCTGATTCTTGGGCCTGCACTTCACTTGCTTAGAAGCTAGGAGTGGAAGTACAGCTTCCAGGTATGTGGGCAGGTTCTCAAACTCCTGGGCAGCTGGTGTGATATGGGTAATGGCAATAGTGGTAGTGGAGCAATCCACTGGGAGCCACGTGGTCTTTGCTGGTGTTGCTAGTAGCTGTGATGGGTTGGGCAGGCTAGTCCTCAGTCCCACAGCTGCCTGAAACAGGGTGATAGGTATTGTCCTAGTTATGAGCAGGAGAGTCTGTTTTCCCTGTGCCTCCCTCGGCTGGTTGGTGGTTGCAGCCGAGTAGCCTCAAACTCAGTCTGAGGGCACAGCCTTGCATTAAACTCTCAAAATGGTGCTAGCAGGGGCCTGTGACCAGGGAGGGCAAGGCCCCTCTCAGGTGCGTAGCATGGGCAAGTGTGAGGAGTGTGTTCTGCTCAAGTCTCAGTCTCACAGCAGTCTGTAGCAGAGCAGTGGGTATTATCCTTGGTACATGTAAGAGAGCCTGATTTCCCTGTCCCTCCTCAGCCAGGCAGGAGATGCAGCCTTATCAGCTCAAACTGAGCCCAAGGGCAAGGCACAGCCCAGCATTAAACTTTCTAAATGATGCCTTGGACCTGCAACCCAGGAGGGAAGGGTGCATCTTAGGAAGGCAGCATGGGCAAGAAGCTGTGGGGAGTACGATCTGCTTGAGTCTCAGTTTCACAGCAGTCTGTAGCAGGGTGGTGGGTATTGTCCTAAGTATGAGTAGGAGAGCTTAGTTTCTCTGTCACTCCTTGGCCAGGTGGTGGCTGCAGCCACATCAGCCCAAACTCAGCCTGAGGGTGGAGCACAGCCCAGCATTAAACTCTCAATATGGTGCCTAGGGTGGGGACTAGGTAGGGCAGGGCCCCTTCCAGGTAAGCAGTGTGAGCTAGAGGCTCTGGAGAGTGTGGTCCACCTGCATCTCAGTCTCAACAGTAGCCACAAGCAGGGCAGTAAGGACCCTCCCAGGGGTACATGGGAGCACCCAGTCTCCCCTCCCCTCCTTGGAGCAGCGTAGCATCAGCAGCTTCATCTGTAGGTTCCTGATATCTAGGCTGTCACAATGGCATTTAGCCAACGCTGGTCTAGGCTTGGATGCCTGTGGGATTTCACGTTGATTCCCTTTCTGGAGCAACATCTCTGGGCAATCTCCAGGTAGCTTTCTGTGTCAGGCCTGAGGCCCGCAAGGGTTGAGGGGTTCTCCCTAGCCAAGATTGTAAAAGCCCATTTTGGAGTGTGGAACTCAGAGGGTTTCTCTCTTCTTGTTTTTCTACATCCAGGACCCTCCCCAGGCTTTCAGTCAGTCCCTGGCTAGGCAAGTTGCCTTGAACCCTCTCTTTATTCACTTTTGGTGCATCTTGTCACTTCTATGGCGAATCCTAGTGTTCTCTCCTAGACAATCTGTTTGAAAGGTATCTGCTTACTATTCTGGTTCCTCTCTGTGGAGGAGATACACACTACCTGTGTCTTGTCAGTCATCTCTCCCTCTTTTCCTTCACAGTGCCTGATATTCTTAGGTACTGGCAATGAAAATATGAACAACACACCTTCCCTGAGCCAGAGGAATTTATGACAGTTCCCAAGAGGAGAGGGTACACTGCACTATGCAGGGCCTCATGGGGAAGCACCAGGACCCAAAGTGATTTTCATCAGAAAAGGCCCATTGGAAATTCTTTGCATGGAGCAAGCTTAATTAAGTTTAGTGTGATCATATCTATAGTCTGTCACTGCCAGAGTAAATAAAAGTCATCTTAAGTGATCTTAACAATATTTTACGTCTTATCAAGGAGAAATTGAGTGGATGCTTTAGCATACTATATCCTGGTCTAATAGACTTTTAAATTGTAGCAATTACACTTAGTATTGAAATAGGCATCAAATCAATGTGCCATGGAAAGGATTTTTGGAAATCATTTTACAGCTTGCTTAGTAGCTCATTTATTTCCCCCTCTCTTTTTTAGTCCAATCTGTCAAAAATATTAGTGACCTCTTATTTTTTAGTCTGCTAAATAGTAACATTGAAGAAAAATGTGGGGAAAGCAATGAAAAATATTCATAATCCCATCATCCAACAGAAATAATATTTTTATTTTTTGGTTAATAGCTCCAGTACTTGTGCATATGGAAGTATGATTTTCAGATAACTACATTTGGAATAAACATGTTTAACCTAGTAGCCCAAACCCACGGACAGGACCAATCAGAGATGCAGAACCACAGATAGCTAAGTAGCCCATGTAGTCAGTGAACAGGAAATGAAATGAGATGGCCAGGTACGTAGCTTGGTAGAATTGCCTAAGGCGGAAAGCAGGCAGCTGCAATGGCTCTTCATGTGGTTCCTATAGGCCTCAGTTGTGGCTTATGTTTCATAGGGTTTTAGGCTGGAGCTAGAATTAGACAATAATTGAATAACAAATTATTTTCTAAGAAAAAAGGTATAAAAGATTATAACATCTAGTCTCATTTTTGGTATTACCATTCTGTTATTGCTGTAGCTCCATTCTGGCTCACTCTGTGTGTGTGTGTGTGTGTGTGTGTGTGTGTGTGTGTGTGTGTGTGTGTGTGTAGGTGTGTAGGTTACTATAATAAGGTTACATACTAGTTAACAGATAAATTAGAGAATGATCTGTTCCCTTGAGGGTAGATGGGGAACAATTTAAAACGCTCTTTTTAAATAACCTAAATGGCTTCTTATCAGTATAAGGATAAAGTCCAAACTTCTTAGGACAACTTTCCAAGGTTCATGCTCTCAATTACTGCACTCTACTACCCCTCTAATATGATAGTGCATTTTGTTTCTATTGTGAATGCTATCTTCACTTGGAAAGCTACAGCCATGCATGCCCTGGAAGTCATAGTTGGCATTATTTTGATAGTACTAATAACACTAAAACCTCTGAATATGTAGATTTTATATCATATACCAGGCTGCTGATGCCTTGACACTTTATGGAAACATGACCTTCTCCTTGTATCATGTATTCTAGGTCCCTTCTTATGCATTATGGTAAACCATGATGTGATTTAAAAGGAACTTGTAATTCTTGGGCTTTTAAATTTCTGTCATGGCAAATAAGCTAACTTGCTTCCAAAATCTAATTATGTCATCTTTGTACCTGAATTTTTCATAGTTTGAGTTAGACTAGAAAATAAAATTCATTGATACCTATTGTATGCCAGACACATGGTAGATAATCCTCATAGCAACCTTTCATGACAAATATTATCCTTATTTTATAGCTAAGGCAACTGAGTCTCAAAGAGATTTAAGCAGCTCTCTAAAGTTAGTAATAAGTGATAAATCTGGGATTCTAGTCTAGGTCTGATCCCAAAACCCTTGTACACTATTTCCAGTGTGATCAGATGAGTCAAAATAAATGTGTATCGGAGCATATTTGTGTTTTATTGTAACCTTGAAAAACTTTGGCTGGTAGTTTGCCAAGATATCTGAATCCAGAGGTTCCAACTGAGTGAAATTCTATTATACACTTGAGAAACTCTTAAAACTATAGTAAAGTGTGAATATGAACATCTGATTAGAAGATGCAGATGGTACCCTGACCTCCTTTTTCCAATTTCATTTCTATTTTAATTGTATCTGTCTTCACTTTGGACATGACCATATGGGGAAACGTATCCCTATTACTTATTTTGTGGAGTGTGCTGGATAATTTCTACAGATATGAATTTTATATTAACTTTGATGTCACAAACAGGCAAGTCAAATGCAGCTCTTCATCATGATGAAATGTTGGCTAAAAGAGTCACCCTAATATTAATAAAATGTTTTATTCTTCATGTGACTAAATCAGTGTGCATGCAAGAAAAAGAAAGAAAAAATGCTTAGATTCCTTTTTTAAATTATCTCCAGAATTTCTAATTTTTATAAATTAAGGACCAACAAATCCCATTTTGTTTTCACGTTTGACATTTGTTCCTTTGACTTAAATAACTTCTCCACTCTTTATTTTCCTATTTGTGGTGATTTGAATAATTTTTCAGAAAATATGTACTTTCTGATAAATTGTAGTGTGTCAGTAATGAAAACTGTTCTATGGTGCTAAACTTCACCTGTTCTCCAGCCCTGCCTACCTCTTTCTATTCAACCATTTTCTGTTTAAGTGAGATCACCTATTTGAAAATCTATATTCCTTGGCACATGGGTTCTAATCTGGACTCTGTCTGCCTTGCTAGGTTCGTCTTCCGTAACTCTCCCACATATACCCAACAGTTTAGCTATATCAAACTACTTGCTGTTTTCAGTACCATATGTATTTTCACCTTTCTGCCTTTAACCTTCTTTGTCTGGTGAACTCTGCATTGCTATCACTTAGGACTCTGCTTTCTCTAGAAAGCCGCCTTTTAAATCTTCCTCAGTCTCCTGCTAGGATCAGATGACTTTTCTGCTCTCCCACAGAATACAGTGCACACTATAGCATTTAGTGCACCATATTGTAATTATCTGTGTGCTTCCTAACTTTCTCCTAATATGCCTTAGAAGTCAAGAGGGAAAGTGGTAGAATATGAGGTTGGAGAGATTTGGGCAGGAGCCAGATCACCCAGGGCCTTACCATAAGCCGGAGTAGAGTCTAAAGTTTATTCTAAGAGCAATGGAAAGCCAATGGAGGGTTTTAAACAGGAGAGTGACATGATCATATATATATATATATATATATATATATATATATATATATATATATATATATATATATAATTTACACATGTAAGTGTGTGTATGTATATCTATATCTATATTTATATCTAAATATAGATATAGATTTGAGGCAGGATCTCACTCTGTCACTCTGGCTGGAGAGCAGTGGCGCAATCATGGCTCACTGCAGCCTCAATCTCCTAGGTTCAAGTGATCCTGCCACCTCAGCCTCCCTTGTAGCTGGGACCATAGGCGTGCACCACCATACCAAGCTAATTTTTTACATTTTTTGTAGAGACATTGTGTCACCATGTTGCCCAGGCTGAGCTGGTCTTGAAGTCCTGGGCTCAAGCAATCCCCGTCTTGGCCTCCCAAAGTTGTAGGATTACAGGCATGAGCCACCATGCCAGGCCCAGAATTTACAAAGGAAGAAAAAAGTTCCAAAGTTGATTTGGAGGTTTTCTCTTGATAGCCTTGTTATAACCACAGAAAGTATGTTTTGTTGAGAGAAAGATAATATGGACGATCTTTTCTGTCTTTTCCTGAATTTACTAAGATCTAAAAATTCTACTTGCCCTCATTTTTCTTCCCATCTAATGAAAATATGTTTGATTCTAAATATGTGCCTTATACTTGCACTTCTGCCTTTTGAATTATTTTATTTGGTTCCTCTAATTTTGTCTTCATTCATATCCTTACCATGAAATGATCCTCTCCTAAGTTTTGGATCAGCTCTGACTTTTTAAAATTTATATACTAAAATCAGAGGTTCTAAAGTACCTGTATCCTATCAAAAACAATTTTATGTACAGCCTTAAGTTACAACTTATTTTTTATCACAAGATTCATAAATAAAAGTCTTAACGGGAATAAATTATACAGCAATTGCTAACTTTGGTGGGATATTTTTATTGCTCTTTTACTTTTGTGTCTTGCTGATTTTTATAACTAGAAGGGTTTTTTTTACTCTCCCCTCCTCCATTAAAGCACATCATAGTATTCCCTTGAAGTGGATATAGTCAACATAATGAAACATTTTAAGAGGCTCACAATAGCAGTGTTGATCCTCTTGGTCTTCTTTTCTTTCCAGTATTTTAATGTGTCTGGAGAGCATTTGAGTTCATCATTGACTAGAGAGAAAGTGACCAAAATGCTTTCTGAATTCTCCCTTGATTTCTTGTTAAATGTGGAGATGTGACTGAGTTTCCCCCATCTGGTTCACTTTAGAGAGCTAATTTCAGGCACCTTATTTTATTTCTCCCCCTTCCTTCTATTCTTCTGCCCTATTTCTTGTGAAATACTGGATTACCAAAGGAGAAGGGAAAAAAATCAGCCATTCAGCAAATACCTAATAAGTATTCTCTATATGCCTGGCACTGGGCAAGTTTCTGGTGACAGTGAACTGTGGAGACCTAGACTATGCCTTTATGAACCTTAGAATCCAAAAGTGGTCTTTGGCTTTTCATGGGCAACAGTCATTGACAGCCCTTTAAAATACATGTACCAGGGTACCCACTGAATCAGAAGCTTCTGGACTGGCCTAGCATTTTAAAAGCTGTATGGGCAAAACAGTATGATCCAAAAGCTGATAACTACTGGCCTTATCAAACATTATTTCTTGGATGCTTTGTATAGTAGACTTAACTGGAGAGGAAGCAGATGAACATTTGACTTAGGAGATGGCACTTAAAATGGATCTAGGATACACACTGAAGTATTAAGGAGTAAAAGGGCATGATGTATCAATTTACTCATAAATGTTCAGAAAAAATATTATATATATATATACACACACACACACACACACACACACACATATAAATATGAAAATTAGCCAGATGATAAAAATTGGTGAATCTGAACCAATGTGTAGAACATATCCAAGAATTCACTATACTATTCTTTCTTTCTTTTTTTTTTTTTTTGAGATGGAGTCTCTCCCTGTCGCCTAAGCTGGAGTGCAGTGGCACAATCTCGGCTCACTGCAACCTCCGCCTCCCAGGTTCAAGGGATTCTCCTGCCTCAGCCTCCCAAGTAGCTGGGACCACAGGCGCCCGCCACGACGCCCGGCTAATTTTTGTATTTTTAGTAGAGACAGGGTTTCACTAAGTTGGCCAGGCTGGTCTCGAACTCCTGACCTCGTGATCTGCCCACCTTGGCCTCTCAAAGTGCTGGGATTACAGGTGTAAGCCACTGCGCCCAGCTACTATACTATTCTTTCAACATTTTTGTAAGTTTGAAATTACTTCAAAAGAAAAAACTTGAAAGAAACAAAAAGCAAACAGTAAAATGGCTATAGAAGTTACGTAAGATTTCTTTTTTTTTTTTTTTTTAGACAGAGTCTCATTCTATCGCCCAGGCTGGAGTGCAGTGGCACAATCTCAACTCACTGTAACCTCCGCCTCCCAGGTTAAGCAATTCTCCTGCCTCAGCCTCCCAAGTAGCTGCAATTACAG
The DNA here is from genome assembly GCF_000001405.40 of Homo sapiens. Lineage (NCBI taxonomy): Eukaryota > Metazoa > Chordata > Mammalia > Primates > Hominidae > Homo > Homo sapiens. Next base: position 76,952,809 of record NC_000011.10, read on the forward strand.
GTGCCTGTCACCACACCTGGCTAATTTTTGTATTTTTAGTAAAGAGAGGGTTTCACCATGTTGGCCAGGCTGGTCTCAAACTCCTGACCTCTAGTGATCTGCCTGCCTCAGCCTCCCAAAGTGCTGGGATTACAAGTGTGAGCCACCGCACCCAGCCATGAAGTTGCATAAGATTCCAATAAACAGAGAGACAGGTTGGGGGCAAGTGGGATTGAGCAACGGAAAGAGTAAGTATTCCAGGCAGAAGTGACAGAGTGAGCACAGGATGAGCAAAGGCAAAGCAGACTCGAGTTAATGGTGTGAGATGAGAGACCAAAGGCAATCAGCTGTGACTGAACTACAAGCTACAGTGGAAGAAATCAGCGGAGCCAAATTATGAAGCTCCATGTATGCCTTGCAAGGAGTTTATTCATTATTTAAGCTAGCAGTTAAAGCAGGATGCACACACTGCAGGGAATGAAAACAATCTTTTGGGATGCAGGAAGAAAACTCTTTAACTTCTATTTGTGGCTGGGTGCGGTGGCTTACACCTGTAATCCCAGCGCTTTGGGAGGCCGAGGTGGGTGGATTACTTGAGGTCAGGAGTTGAGACCAGCCTGGCCAACGTGGCAAAACCCTGTCTCTACTAAAAATACAAAAATTAGCTGGGCATGGTGGTGGGTGCCTGTAATCCCAGCTACTCAGGAGGCTGATGCAGGAGAATCACTTGAACCTGGGAGGCGGAGGTTGCAGTGAGCCAAGATTGCGCCATTGCACTCCAGCCTGGGTGACAGAGTGAGACTCTGTCTCAAAAAACAAAACAAAACAAGACAGAAAACTTCTATTTGTATATAGTTACTTCTTTACCTCACTTTTTAAAAAGTTGTATTTTATGTGTTTTAAAATGTATAGTATCTTAGCACCACAGTTTGTATATAGTTTACAAATAAATATATGGGGTTGCTTAAAAATATTTTTGATATCAAAATTGGAAAACTAGTCTTTAGACATTTTCCTGCCTTGTAACCCAAGTGATATTTTTAAAATGCAAAACTGATTATATCAATTCCTATGTGTATGTGTCATTTTTTAACAACTGTACTTTCTCCTTAGGATAAAGTCCAAATCTGAATCAGATTTTAACATCGCTTTAAAAGTTCTTTTTTTTTTTTTTTTTGAGATGGAGTTTCACTCTTGTCGCCCAGGCTAGAGTGCAATGGCGCAATCTTGGCTTACCACAACCTCCGCCACCCAGGTTCAAGCGATTCTCCTGCCTCAGCCTCCCAAGTAGTTGGGATTACAGGCTTGCACCACCACGCCCAGCTAATTTTGTATTTTTAGTAGAGACAGGGTTTCACCATGTTGGTCAGGCTGGTCTCGAACTCCCGACCTCAGGTGATCCACCCACCTCGGCCTCCCAAAGTGCTGGGATTATAGGTGTGAGCCACCACACCTGGCCTAAAAGTTCTTCTTAATCTATTTTCTATAAACCATGCATGCGAGTTTCATCATTGGATCCCTACACCAAGTTGTTCATGGCTTAAGCCAAACTCTTTTAGTTCTTCAAATGCACAAACTCTGTCTTTATTCTAGATGACTCTTCTACATAGAATGATCTCATTTTTAAAAAAATTCTTTCATCTGGCTAATTTCAATTTATTCTTCAAATTCTAGCTTAAATATTACTTCCTCAGACAGCCCTCTTTTGACCCCCTAGACGAGGTAATAACATTATTCTTTGCATTGATTCTCATAGCTCTATAACTCCCCTTTTTTATGTTTTTTTGTTTAGTGGTTTGGTTGGTTTTTTTTTTTGTTTTTTGCTTTTTTTTTGACAAGATTTCACTCTGTCACCCAGGCTGGAGTGCAGTGGCACAATCATGGCTTACTGCAGCTTCAACCTCCCAGGCTCAAGTGATCCTCCCACCTCAGCCTCCCAAGTAGCTGTGACTACAGGACTATGCCATCACACCCAGTTAACCTTCTGTATGCTTTGTAGAGACAAAGATTCTCCATGTTGGGCAGGCTGGTCTCAAACTCCTGAGCTCAAGGGATCTACCCACCTTGGCCTCCCAAAGTCCTGGGTTTACAGGTGTGAGTCACCATACCCGGCCCCCTTTTTGTATTTTTAATGGTTTGTTTAAAGTTCTGAGACAGGAACCATATTTCTCTTGTACACTCACTTATCCCAGTGGAAATGCTTGGAGTATTAAGTACACAGTAAATATTTATTGAAAACAAATGGTGTCCTCGTTAAGGAAATACTAATCAAAATGATAATGAAATACCACTTCACATCCATTAGGATGGCTGTAATCACAAAGACAGCCAGTGATAAATATTGGCAAGATGTGGAGAAATTAGTATATTGCTGATAGGAATGTAAGATGGTACAGACACTCCAAAAAACACTTCCTCAAAATACTAAACCATGTGACCCAGAAATCTCACTCCAAAGTATATATGAATGAATGAAATAAAAACATATGTCCACATAAAAACTTGTATATGAGTGTTCACATATACAATATGTGAAATACAATATGTTCATAATAGTGAAAATGTAGAAACAACCTAAATGTCTTTTTTAGCTCAGGCTGCCGTAACAAAATACCATAGACTGGGTGGCTTAAGCAACATACATTTATTTCTCACAGTTCTGGAGGCTTGGAAGTCCAAGATCAAGGTGGCATTTAATTTGGTTCCTGGTGAGGAACCAAAACCAAAAAACGTCTCCTTCCTGGCTTGCAGATGGTCACTTTCTTGCTGTGTCTCACATGGCCTTTCCTCTGTCTGTGCTGTGGAAAGAGAAGAAGCAAGCTTCAGTGTCTTACTCTTATAAGGGCACTAATGCCATCCTGGGGATGCCACGCCCATATGACCTCATCCAAACCTAATTAACTCCCAAAGGTCTCACCTCCAGATACCATCACATTAGGGGCTAGAGCTTCAACATATGAACTGGGGAGTTGGGGAGGCAGGCATAGAAACATTCAGTACATAGCAATGTCCATCACCTGATGAATGGATAAGTAAAATATGGTATGTTCATATAATGGAATATTATTATTCGTCCATAAAAAGGATGAATCACTGATGCATGTGATGACATAAATGAACCTTGGAAACATTATGCTTAAGGAAGAGAAGCTAGACATAAAAGACTACATGATGTATGATTCCACTTAGATGTAATGTCCCCAGCAGGCAAATCTGTACAGACAAAGTAGACTAATGATTGCCCAGGGCTGGAGGGGTTGAGAGAAAATGGAAAATGACTGCTAATGGGTATAGGCTTTCTTTTAGGGGTGATGAAAATGTTCTAAAATTAGGTTGAGGTGATGTTTGCACACCTCTGAATATACTGAAAACAATTGAATTGTATACTTTGGATTGATTTTATGTGAATTATATCTCAAGAAACCTGATAAACAGCAAAACTTGGTGGTTTGCTTTAAAGGGGCAAAATACAAAATATTGCATAGAGAATGCTGTTCTATTACATGTTTTTGGACTCTAAATGTCTAGAAATGTCAGTTGCAGGAGAGCACTTTTTAAAAGAAAGGAAAATAACAAAGAAAAAAGAGGAGTAAACCTAGTGCTACCCTCTCCTGAAAGGAATTTGAAACCTCTGAGTAGCCACCAGAATAGATTTTCATCAGAATACTTTTTTATGTGTTACCCAGATTGTTGAAAGGAAATAAACTGTAGAGATCTCTAAAAAGTCAGATGTTTAATGGCTCTGTGAGCAAAAGCAGGGAAAAAAATCAGACTTTTAATGCTATATAATTTAACAGTATCAAGAGAACACTTTGAAAAGGTTTTGATAAAAACAGTCCTTGAGTAAGGCATGATAAAGTGGCCATTCTACCAAGATGAACAATCATCCCATCTCACTTTTTTTTTTTTTTTACTTCATAGTATATTGTTATTGTGTGACTTTAAATAACTTAAAGGTTTTTTTTTTCCTTTACATTGAATAATTTATCCACCTTTGTACCTTCTAATTACTTTTTTGGGAAAAAAGGCACGAACCACCCCACTTCCTTATTTCTCTAATGAGATGAGTGCAATAACTATCTTATTTCCCTCCTTTCATTTTGAGGAGTAAAAATTACAATCTAGTGATTTTTTTAAAGGCAAGAATAACATATAGTTTGAAATTTTTCTCAGGTGGCTTCATACAAATTATTTAATGACGCCCCTACTCACTACATTTGTTGGGCTAAGTCCTATGTATCCTTAAGTTTAATCTGTACCATCATTCTTGCATTCTTGGATTTCCTTCACAAGTGTTCCTTCTCTGTGCTTCTGTGGTACTCAACGCATATGTCCATGTGCAGGCACCTTCTGTTTATCTGCCTGTCTCTTCCATTAGACTATATGTTTCATTAAGGCCAATGACTGGATCTTATCTTTGTACCTCAGCATCTATAACTGAATTTGGCAAATAGGATGCACTCAGTAAATTCTGAACTAAACTGAATCAGAAAAAAAAGCTTTATTAGATGTTATAAGGGCTGATACTTGATCAGTTAATTTTTTTAAGTTGAAGCATAGAATTTTTTAAATTTTGGATATTAAACCTTTGATATATTGAAGCACAGAATTATTGAATACATATATACATGAAGTTTAATTTTTAACTTTTTGTGTGTGTGTTTTTTCATTTTTGAGATGGAGTCTCACTCTGTCGCCGAGGCTGAAGTGCAGTGGCACAATCTCGGCTCACTGCAACCTCCATTTCCCAGGTTTACGCGATCCTTCTGCCTCAGCCTCCCAAGTAGCTGGGACTACAGGTGTGTATCACCATGTCTGGCTAATTTTTATATTTTTAGTAGAGATGGGGTTTCACCATGTTGACCAGGCTGATCTCGAACTCCTGACCTCAGGTGATCTGTCTGCCTCAGCCTCCAAAGTGCTGGGATTACAGGTGTGAGCCACCGGGCTGGGCCTGAAGTTTTATTTTTGTTGTATATAATCTTTGACAATTACTTAACATAGGGCATGACCATTGAATGAGAGACCCTAATTTTAGTTCTACTTACTCTTTGCTTTAAAAACCAAACATTTTATAAAACGCTAAAATGAAAATAGTTTATTTAAAATGGAGGCACTTGGGAAGAACTTAGGACATGAACACAGAATCTTTTTATTTTTTAATTTTATTATTATTATCTTATGTATTAATAGAGATAAGGTCTCACTATGTTGCCCAGGCTGGTCTTGAACTTCTGAGTTCAAGCGATCCTCTGGCCTTAGCCTCCCAAAGTGCTGGGATTACAAGCCTGAGCCACTGTGCCCTGCCTACAGAATCTTTTTAGATTTTTACTATTTTTCCCAGTCTGTAACAGATATCCAACCACACCTAATTCAACATGATTTTTATTAGCAACTTTTTTTTTTTTTTTTTTTTGAGACAGAGTTTTGCTCTTGTTGCCCGGGCTGGAGTGCAGTGGCACAGTCTCAGCTCACTGCAACCTCCTTCTTCTGGGTTCAAACGATTCTCTTGCCTCAGCCTCCCGAGTAGCTGGTATTACGGGGGCCTGCCACCATGACCAGCTAATTTTTGTATTTTTAGTAGAGACGGGGTTTCACCATGTTGGCCAGGCTGGTCTTGAACTCCTGACCTTAGATGGTCCACCCACCTCAACCTCCCAAAGTGCTGGGATTACAGGCGCGAGCCACTGTGTCCGGCCAGCAACTCATTTTTATTAAGTCTACTTTAAGCATTTTAAATAGTTCTTGGAGAAGCAACAACTCTTTTTGCAGTCATAGCTCTGATAACCAAATACAATGGCATCAACAAGTTCAGGAACAAACTGACTGGCTCTTAGTAAGCATACACCTTAGCCATTTGGGTCAGAAGTGCAAAGGAGTAGCTAACCAGCTATGTGCATTAAAACTTATCCTGAGCATCAGATAATACATTTTACAGAAATAATGGAATATTGTTAGTCTAGTAAGTCACTTAGTAGAGGGAATTTAGGAGAACTTATATTGTACTTCTTTTCTACACCAAAATTTCACCAATTATAGCACTTACTCAAGAGTCAGCTATATCTTGCCACTAGATTTTATAAACTTCATTATCCTTAACTCAATGCTTTGAAATGTCTTATTGTCTTCTCAGGTCACTGTCCACGCACAAAGAATTTCATGCTAATTTTTTTTCATTTGTTTAATTTCAGTGGTAGGAATGGGATCCTGGTGCTTCCACATGACTCTGAAATATGAAATGCAGGTTAGTAATGATGAAATTGACAAATGCTTATTTCTCTTAATTCAGAAGTACTTCAGATTTGAGAAAAGAGCACATAACTATGGCTAAAAGATGGGATTTGTAATCTCTGGAGTTTTTTACTTCAAGTCTGAGGATCCAAACTGACTAAGTGAAGTAAAGAAATAAGCAGGTGAGTCCATAAGGAAAACAAGTACAAATAGTATAGGGCTTTTTGACCATCTCTGTGCGGGCATATAAAATTGAGAGCAGCATTAGAGAGCAGAGTCACATGGGGACATCTTAAAAAGACATAATCAGTTCACCAGAACAATATATTCTTATTCTGAGATACCTGCATTCTTTCATGGCTGTATGGCATCCATTTGAATAGTCTGAGTCCCTCTATGTAGCAAGACTTTAAAGCAAGCTTGTCCAACCTGTGGGCCGCATGTGACCCAGGATGGCTTTGAATGCAGCCCAATACAAATTCATAAACTTTCTTAAAACATTATAAGGTTTTTTTTTGCAATTTATTTTTATTTTTATTTTTCATTTTTTTGAGTCAAAGTTTTGCTCTTATTGCCCAGGCTGGAGTGCAGTGGTGCAATCTTGGCTCACTGCAACCTCTGCCTCCCAGGTTCAAGCAATTCTCCTGCCTCAGCCTCCCAAGTAGCTAGGACTACAGGCACCCACCACCAAGCCCGGCTAATTTTTTATATTTTTAGTAGAGACGGGGTTTCAACATGTTGGCCAGGCTGGTCTCGAACTCCTGACCTCAGGTGATCCGCCTGCCTCAGCCTCCCAAAATGCTGAGATTACAAGCATGAGCCACCGCACCCGGCCGTTAGTGTTAATTTTATGTGTGGCTCAGGGAAGCCAAAAGATTGGACACCCCTGCAGAGCTAGCCAAGGATTTTTAGTTTCCATCCTTACTCTGAGGAGGGCATATATGTCAAGTCCTCAGTCTTTTGATCTCTTGATTTCCCATCACTAATCCAGAAACTTCTAGAACAGTAGTACAAGTAAAATCTGAGCTACATTTGTAATTTAAATTTTTCTAGTAGCTACATTGAAAAAAAGTACACAGAAATGGGTGAAAATAATAATATATTTTATTTGGCTGGGCGCGGTGGCTCATGCCTGTAATCCCAGCACTTTGAGAGGCGGAGGTGGGTGGATCACGAGGTCAGGAGATTGAGACCATCCTGGCCAACATGTGGAAACCCCGTCTCTACTAAAAATACAAAAATTAGCTGGGTGTGGTGGTGTGCACCTGTAATCCCAGCTACCCGGGAAGCTGAGACAGGAGAATCTCTTGAGCCTGGGAGGCGGAGATCGCAGTAAGCCAAGATCACGCCACTGCACTCCAGCCTGGCGACAGAGCAAGACTCTGTCTCAAATAATAATAATAATCATAATAAATTTTATTTAACCCAGTATATCTAAAATACTACTTCTCTCTCTATATATAATCAATATAAAAAATTATGAATAAAGTATTTCATATTCTTAAATCTGGTTATTATACCTGCAATATATTTTTAGTTCAGATTAGGCTTATTTCAAGTGCTCAGTAGCCACATTGGAGTGTCAAAACCTGAGTGTGGCTTATAGGATAGCCACATGGGGTGGGGACCATCCATCACAGAACTCTGGGACCTCAGCCAGTTAAAGAGAGTGTCAACATAGGGGGATAGTCCAGTGTAGGGTGTCAGAGCCTAACTAGGAGTGAGGAGGGTATTTGCACATCAAGGCAGCCCAGGGACAGTGTATTAGAGACCAGGGTTGAAAAGGTATCCATGCAAAGGGGACAGCTCAGTGCAGAATAAGAAGGGTGTCCTCCCAAGTTGGGGGGGTCATTTGACATGCGGTTGGAATCTGAGTGGGATGGAGAGAGTGCCACATAGTGGGGACAGCTTTGTGCCATGTTTTGGTACCCTGGGAAGGTGAGAGTGACTTCTACATGGCAGAGTGGCCCAGTGCAGGATCTGAGAGCACAAGCAGAGTCGAGAGGCTGTCTAAGTGGAGGTGCAGCAGCAGCCCAGCACCAAGTGTTGGAGCCTGAATTGAGTGAGAAGGGCATTGCTTGGGAAAAGGAGAGGTAGCAATGGAAGCCATGTTGCATACAGGGTAATTAATCAAATAAATAAATACATTAAGGAGAATGGGAGCCAGGTTTCTTACTGTTAGAGAACAAAAGTCGCAAATACGGAAAAGATGAAAACTAGAATGAGCTCTGTGGTGACAAACTGAAATTGGAGTTAACAGTGCAGACTCCTATGTTCAATACATACATATATAATAGACATAAATATAGATGTGAAAATATGTGATATGCATATGTATGTATTTTGTGTATATGTATACATACTTAAATATTTTAATACACATATATATACATACATTCTCAAGCTCTGTCCATGAGAGGATCTGGGAATGGGGAACTTCAAAGCCAAAGAATATACCTAGCATCCAGATCTTGTTTTCTAAAAATCATTCTTCTTTAAAAGGAACCAGGGCTGATTCCAAGGGCTGGGGCAGAAAAAAAAAAAAGGACAATATCAGCCTAGATCATCTTTTTATGCCAGAAAAAATGGAAAGGCTCAAAAAATTATGGGAATATGTCAAAAGGACACTGAAGCCAACTTGAAGAGGTTCCTGCTGGCCAAATATGGGGCAATTTGAGCATCAAAATAAATGGTAATGGGTTATAATAGTTATAATGTAACCCGATGAGTAATATGGGAAATCTGAGTCCATACTAGATAATAAATGATGTATTAAATGAAATAATACATGAGTATAAATAAATGAATAAAGAAAAAGTTTGATGTTAAAGAGTATATTTACATAGTTTCAAAGTACCTTTCCACAAAATACTTAAAAAGGGGAGAAAGAATACCTTTACAGTGGAGAAGCCAAGTGGGAAACACCTTAATCAAGCAACCTAATCATCACTAATGGGACAAATCAAAATTATATGTGTTAATGGAAAAACTAAACCCTGTCAAATATCTTTATTTTATTATTTTTAATTTTTATTATTATTATTTTTTGAGATGGAGTTTCACCCTTGTCACTTAGGCTGGCATGCAGTGGTGTAATCTTGGCTCACGGCAACCTCTGCCTCCCAGGTTCAAGTGATTCTCCTGCCTCAGCCTCCCGAGTAGCTGGGGTTACAGGCGTGCACCACCATGCCCAGCTAATTTTTTTTTTTTTTTTTTGAGATGGAGTCTCACTCTGTCGCCCAGAGTGACACTGGAATGTAGTGTGATCTCGGCTCACTGCAACCTCTGCCTCCCAGGTTCAAGCGATTCTCCTGCCTCAGCCTCCTGAGTAGCTGGGGTTATAAGCACCCGCCACCATGCCTCGCTAATTTTTGTATTTTTAGTAGAGACGGGGTTTCACCACATTGGCCAGGCTGGTCTTGAACTCTTGACCTCAGATGATCCACCCACCTGGCCTCCCAAAGTGCTGGGAATACAGGCGTGAGCCACTGTGCCTGGCCTGTCAAGTATTTTTTAAAGGTTTATTCTGAGCCAATATTAGTGACCATGGCATGGTGTGATACTGGTGGGCTGGGGGAAGTCCCCAAACAGCAGTGGACCTCTATCCTAGCCAATGTCTAGGCTCTTGGCACCATCACAAGAATGAATTCAAGGACAAGTCGAAAAATAATGAAAGTAAAGAAATTTATTGCAAAGAGTAAAAGTACACACTCAAGGGAGTGCAGGTGTACTTGAGAGAGTGTCATGCAGTGGGGTTTGGGGCTGCTACCTTTATGTGTTTCTCTAACCAAGGAATGGAATATTCATGAAAATTCCTGGAAAAAGGTAGAGATTTATCAGAACTGTGGTGCCACCCAATAGGTGTTCCTGGAACTGTCATAGTGAGGGAGAAGAAAAGGAAAAATTAGTTAGGTAAACGGTTAAGGCTGGTCCTTGGAAAAGCTGCCTGCCTGAAAAATCACAGCTACAGGCAAGATAGAGCAGCTTGGAGAAAAACTCAGACTGTAGAAGCTGCCTGCCTGAAAAATCGCAGCTACAGTGCACCTGCACAGATAAGCCACAGATAAGCAGGCAAGGCAGGAAAAGTCCAGCATAGAAGCCTTTTGCTCTTTGTATGATTAGCGAGCTCCCAGGAAGTTTCCTCCCCTTTTCAGACATGTACACAGTGGGCCCCATGGAAACTTGCAGAGGGAGGAGGGGGGCTTACTTTAAACAAAACCACAATTATACAAACAAAAAGTTTCACTTTATGCTTACCTAGAGACATACCCACAACTACATAAAGGGAAGTTATGCATAGATAAGTTTCTCAAACACTTACAGACATGAGAGCAGTTTCTTGTGAAAGCTTTTCAATTCAGCTTTTCTTCTTTTGCTTATTAAACTTTTCCTCCAACCTCATTCTTTGGGTCCACACTCCTTAATTTTCTTGAGACCACAAGCTCGGATAACACATTAGACAACGAGACCAGTGACCCTGACCTATTTCAATGGTGCTGCTGGGTTTGTGGTTTAGTATGTTAATGAGCATATAATGAGGTCCTAGGTGAAACCTCGGTCAAATCCAGTGACATGCTGGATCCAATCGGTCTTAGCCAGCTTGGTCCACACCCTGTTTTTCAGGATCTTACCAGCCCAAAGACTCTAAGTCATGTGAAATTGCTGCCTGGAATTTCTTCTCCACCCTGTATTATTCCTATCTCAGGACAATAGAGTCTCAAGAGGTCCTTTGATTTCCTTGTCATGTGATGCTATACCAAAGTCAGGTTGAAAAGTAAGCCACATTATGCTGCGTTAAGAAAAGAAACCTGGTCAAGTAGCCAAGATGGCCAAATAGGAACAGCTCCAGTCTACAACTCTCGGCGTTAGCGACACAGAAGACGGGTGACTTCTGCATTTCCAACTGAGGTACCGGGTTCATCTCACTGGGGAGTGCCGGACATTGGGTGCAGGTCAGTGGGTGCAGTGCATGTGCGTGAGCCAAAGCAGGGCGAGGCATCGCCTCACCCAGGAAGTGCAAGGGGTCAGGGAATTCCCTTTCCTAGTCAAAGAAAGGGGTGACCGATGGCACCTGGAAAATCAGGTCACTCCCACCCTAATACTGCACTTTCCCAATGGGCTTAACAAACCGCACACCAGGAGATTATATCCCGCACCTGGCTCGGAGGGTCCTACGCCCACGGAGCCTCTCTCACTGCTAGCACAGCAGTCTGAGATCAAATTGCAAGGCAGCAGTGAGGCTGGGGGAGGGGCGCCTGCCATTGCCGAGGCTTGAGTAGGTAAACAAAGCGGCCGGGAAGCTCGAACTGGATGAAGCCCACCACAGCTCAAGGAGGCCTGCCTGCCTCTATAGGCTCCACCTCTGGGGGCAGGGAACAGACAAACAAAAGGCAGCAGTAACCTCTGCAGACTTAAATGTCCCTGTCTGACAGCTTTGAAGAGAGTAGTGGTTCTCCCAGCATGAAGCTTGAGATCTGAGAACGGGCAGACTGCCTCCTCAAGTGGGTCCCTGACCCCCGAGTAGCCTAACTGGGAGGCACCCCCCAGTAGGGGTGGACTGACACCTCACACGGCTGGGTACTCTTCTGAGACAAAACTTCCAGAGGAATGATGAGGCAGCAGCATTTGCGGTTCACCAATATCCTCTGTTCTGCAGCCACCACTGCTGATACCCAGGCAAACAGGGTCTGAAGTGGACCTCCAGCAAACTCCAACAGACCTGCAGCTGAGGGTCCTGACTGTTAGAAGGACAACTAACAAACAGAAAGGACATCCACACCAAAAACCCATCTGTACGTCACCATCATCAAAGACCAAAGGTAGATAAAACCATGAAGATGGGAAAAAACAGAGCAGAAAAACTGGAAACTAAAAATCAGAGCGCCTGTCCTCCTCCAAAGGAATGCAGCTCCTCACCAGCAATGGAACAAAGCTGGACGGAGAATGACTTTGACAAGTTGAGAGAAGAAGGCTTCAGAAGATTAAACTACTCCAAGCTAAAGGAGGAAGTTCGAACCAATGGCAAAGAAGTTAAAAACCTTGAAAAAAAATAAGATGAATGGCTAACTAGAATAACCAATGCAGAGAGGTCCTTAAAGGACCTGATGGAGCTGAAAACCACGGCACGAGAACTACGTGACGAATGCACAAGCCTCAGTAGCTGATGCGATCAACTGGAAGAAAGGCTATCAGTGATGGAAGACGAAATGAATGAAATGAAGCCAGAAGAGAAGTTTAGAGAAAAAAGAATAAAAAGAAACGAACAAAGCCTCCAAGAAATATGGGACTGTGAAAAGACCAAATCTACGTCTGATTGTTGTACCTGAAAGTGACAGGGAGAATGGAACCAAGTTGGAAAACACTCTGCAGGATATTATCCAGGAGAACTTCCCCAATCTAGCAAGGCAGGCCAACATTCAAATTCAGGAAATACAAAGAATGCCACAAAGATACTCCTCGAGAGGAGCAACTCCAAGACACATAACTCTCAGATTCACGAAAGCTGAAATGAAGGAAAAAATGTTAAGGGCAGCCAGACAGAAAGGTAGGGTTACCCACAAAGGGAAGCCCATCAGACTAACAGCTGATCTCTCAGCAGAAACTCTACAAGCCAGAAGAGAGTGGGGGCCAATATTCAACATTCTTAAAGGAAAGAATTTTCAACACAGAATTTCATATCCAGCCAAACTAAGCTTCATAAGTGAAGGAGAAATAAAATCCTTTACAGACAAGCAAATGCTGAGAGATTTTGTCACCACCAGCCCTGCCCTAAAAGAGCTCCTGAAGGAAGCACTAAACATGGAAAGGAACAACCGGTACCAGCCACTGCAAAAACATGCCAAATTGTAAAGACCATCAAGGCTAGGAAGAAACTACATCAACTAACGAGCAAAATAACCAGCTAACATCATAATGACAGGATCAAATTCACACATAACAATATTAACCTTAAATGTAAATGGGCTAAATGCTCCAATTAAAAGACACAGGCTGGCAAATTGGATAAAGAGTCAAGACCCATCAGTGTGCTGTATTCAGGAGATCCATCTCATGTGCAGAGACACACATAGGCTCAAAATAAAGGGATGGAGGGAGATCTACCAAGCAAATGGAAAACAAAAAAAGGCAGGGGTTGCAATCCTAGTCTCTGATTAAACAGACTTTAAACCAACAAAGATCAAAAGAGACAAAGAAGGCCATTACATAATGGTAAAGGCATCAATTCAACAAGAAGAGCTAACTATCCTAAATATATATGCACCCAATACAGGAGCACCCAGATTCATAAAGCAAGTCCTTAGTGACCTACAAAGAGACTTAGACTCCCACACAATAATAATGGGAGACTTTAACACCCCACTGTCAACATTAGACAGATCAACGAGACAGAAAGTTAACAAGGATATCCAGGAATTGAACTCAGCTCTGCACCAAGCGGACCTCATAGACATCTACAGAACTCTCCACCCCAAATCAACAGAATATACATTCTTTTCAGCACCACACCACCCCTATTCCAAAATTGACCACATAGTTGGAAGTAAAGCACTCCTCAGCAAATGTAAAAGAACAAAGTATAACAAACTGTCTCTCAGACCACAGTGCAATCAAACTAGAACTCAGGATTAAGAAACTCACTCAAAACTGCTCAACTACATGGAAACTGAACAACCTGCTCCTGAATGACTACTGGGTACATAACGAAATGAAGGCAGAAATAAAGATGTTCTTTGAAACCAACGAGAACAAAGACACAACATACCAGAATCTCTGGAACACATTCAAAGCAGTGTGTAGAGGGAAATGTATAGCACTAAATGCCCACAAGAGAAAGCAGGAAAGATCTACAATTGACACCCTAACATCACAATTAAAAGAACTAGAGAAGCAAGAGCAAACACATTCAAAAGCTAGCAGAAGGCAAGAAATAACTAAAATCAGAGCAGAACTGAAGGAGATAAAGACACAAAAAACCCTTCAAAAAATCAAAGAATCCAGGAGCTGGTTTTTTGAAAAGATCAACAAAATTGATAGACCGCTAGCAAGACTAATAAAGAAGAAAAGAGAGAAGAATCAAATAGACACAATCAAAAATGATAAAGGGGATATCACCACCGATCCCACAGAAATACAAACTACCATCAGAGAATACTATAAACACCTCTATGCCAATAAACTAGAAAATCTAGAAGAAATGAATAAATTCCTTGACACATACACCCTCCCAAGACTAAACCAGGAAGAAGTTGAATCTCCGAATAGACCAATAACAGGCTCTGAAATTGAGGCAATAATTAATAGCTTACCAACCAAAAAGAGTCCAGGACCAGACGGATTCACAGCCGAATTCTACCAGAGGTACAAGGAGAAGCTGGTACCATTCCTTCTGAAACTATTCCAATCAATAGAAAAAGAGGGAATCCTCCCTAACTCATTTTATGAGGCCAGCATCATCCTGTTACCAAAGCCTGGCAGAGAATTTTAGACCAATATCCTTGATGAACATTGAGGCAAAAATCCTCAATAAAATACTGGCAAACCGAATCCAGCAGCACATCAAAAAACTTATCCACCATGATCAAGTGGGCTTCATCCCTGGGATGCAAGGCTGGTTCAACATAGGCAAATCAATAAACGTAATCCAGCATATAAACAGAACCAAAGACAAAAACCACATGGTTATCACAATAGATGCAGCAAAGGCCTTTGACAAAATTCAACAGCCCTTCGTGCTAAAAGCTCTCAATAAATTAGGTATTGATGGGACATATCTCAAAATAATAAGAGCTACTTATGACAAACCCACAGCCAATATCATACTGAATGGGCAAAAACTGGAAGCATTCCCTTTGAAAACTGGCACAAGACAGGGATGTCCTCTCTCACCACTCCTATTCAACATAGTGTTGGAAGTTCTGGCCAGGGCAATCAGGCAGGAGAAGGAAATAAAGGGCATTCAATTAGGAAAAGAGGAAGTCAAATTGTCCCTGTTTGCAGATGACATGATTGTATACCTAGAAAACCCCATCGTCTCAGCCCAAAATCTCCTTAGGCTGATAAGCAACTTCAGCAAAGTCTCAGGATACAAAATCAATGTGCAAAAATCACAAGCATTCTTATACACCAATAACAGACAAACAGAGAGCCAAATCATGAGTGAACTCCCATTCACAATTGCTTCAAAGAGAATAAAATACCTAGGAATCCAACTTACAAGGGATGTGAAGGACGTCTTCAAGGAGAACTACAAACCACTGCTCAAGGAAATAAAAGAGGATACAAACAAATGGAAGAACATTCCATGCTCATGGGTAGGAAGAATCAATATCGTGAAAATGGCCATACTGCCCAAGGTAATTTATAGATTGAATGCAATCCCCATCAAGCTACCAATGACTTTCTTCACAGAATTGGAAAAAATTACTTTAAAGTCCACATGGAACCAAAAAAGAGCCCGCATAGCCAAGTCAATCCTAAGCCAAAAGAACAAAGCTGGAGGCATCACTCTACCTGACTTCAAACTATACTACAAGGCTACAGTAACCAAAACAGCCTGGTACTGGTACCAAAACAGAGATATAGACCAATGGAACAGAACAGAGCCCTCAGAAATAATGCCACATATCTACAACTATCTGATCTTTGACAAACCTGAGAAAAACAAGAAATGGGGAAAGGATTCCTTATTTAATAAATGGTGCTGGGTAAACTGGCTAGCCATATGTAGAAAGCTGAAACTGGATCCCTTCTTTACACCTTATACAAAAATTAATTCAAGATGGATTAAAGACTTACATGTTAGACCTAAAACTATAAAAACCCTAGAAGAAAACCTAGGCAATACCATTCAGGACATAGGCATGGGCAAGGACTTCATGTCTAAAACACCAAAAGCAATGGCAACAAAAGCCAAAGTTGACAAATGGGATCTAATTAAACTGAAGAGCTTCTGCACAGCAAAAGAAACTACCATCAGAGTGAACAGGCAACCTACAGAATGGGAGAAAATTTTTGCAATCTACTCATCTGACAAAGGGCTAATATCCAGAATCTACAATGAACTCAAACAAATTTACAAGAAAAAAACAAACAACTCCATCAAAAAGTGGGCAAAGGATATGAACAGACACTTCTCAAAAGAAGACATTTATGCAGCCAAAAAAACACATGAAAAAATGCTCATCGTCACTGGCCATCAGAGAAATGCAATTCAAAACCACAATGAGATACCATCTCACACCAGTTAGAATGGTGATCATTAAAAAGTCAGGAAACAACACGTGCTGGAGAGGATGTGGAGAAATAGGAACACTTTTACACTGTTGGTGGGACTGTAAACTAGTTCAACCATTGTGGAAGACAGTGTGGCGATTCCTCGAGGATCTAGAACTAGAAATACCATTTGACCCAGCCATCCCATTATTGGGTATATACTCAAAGGATTATAAATCATGCTGCTATAAAGACACAGGCACACGTATGTTTATTGTGGCACTATTCACAATAGCAAAGACTTGGAACCAACCTAAATGTCCAACAGTGATAGACTGGATTAAGAAAATATGGCACATACACACCATGGAATACTATGCAGCCATAAAAAAGGATGAGTTCATGTCCTTTGTAGGGACATGGATGAAGCTGGAAACCATCATTCTCAGCAAACTATCACAAGGACAAAAAACCAAACACTGCATGTTCTCACTCATAGGTGGGAATTGAACCATGACAACACGTGGACACAGGAAGGGGAACATCAGACACTGGGGCCTGTTGTGGGGTGGGGGGAGGGGGGAGGGATAGCATTAGGAGATATACCTAATGCTAAATGACGAGTTAATGGGTGCAGCACACCAACATGGCACATGTATACATATGTAACAAACCTGCATATTGTGCACATGTACCCTAAAACTTAAAGTATAATAATAATAAAATTAAAAAAAAAAGAAACCTGTTTAATAAGATCTTATAGTGTGCAGGGTGTAACTTAACTCTTAGCTTTCATGGCTACCTTGCAACTCTTACTGTGATTATAATTTGGTAATGGCTGTTTATTGGCACAGTCTGTTTTGTCAGTCTTATGATCTCTATTTTAACCTTAATCATGGGCAGTTGTGCCTAAACTCCAAAAGGGTGAGGATTATAACGAGGCATGTCGGACCTCCTTTCCCCATCATGGCTAAAAATTCAGTTTTCATGTTTCTCTGGGGTCCCCTTGGCCAAGAGGGGTTCATCCAGTCAGTTGGAGAGCTTAGAACTTTATTTTTGGTTTACATATGCCATCTAATAGGCTGCAGTGACAAGAAAAATGTCATCACTTCTCTGATACTCTTGCCAAACATGCGTAATCTGAATTTAATATTATGAAAACATCAGACAAAACCAAATTGAAGGACATTATACAAAACATCTGGCCTATCATCTTCAGAAGTATGATAGTCATAAAATTCAAAGACTGATGAAGTGTTCCAGATAAAAGGAGATAAAAAGACCTGACAACTAAATACAATGTACATGTGTGTGTGTGTGTTCATATTTGTATTTATGATATTATTGAGACACTTAAAAAAATTGAATGAGGTCTGTGGATTACATGTAGTAATAAATCAATGTTAATTATTGATTTTGTTGGTAGTATTGTGGATATGTAGGTGAGTTTTTTTTTAAAGTATAACTTACTTACCATAAAATTCACCTTTTTTTTTTACCCTATCATACAACAGTAAAAATTCACCCTTTTAAAGTGTACAAGTCAGTGGTTTTATGTATGTTCACAGATTGTGGAGCCACTGCCACTATCTAATCCCACAACATTTCATCACCCCAAAGAGAAATCCATGCCCATTAGCAACCACTCCCTATTACTCCCTCCAACAACCCCTGACAATCACTCTCTTCCTGTATGGATTTGCCCATTCCGGACATTTCATATCAATGGAATCATATAATGTGTGGCCTTTTGTGTCTGGTTTCTTTAACTTAGCATGTTTTCACACAGTTCACCCATGCTGTAGCAAGAAGTACTTAATTTTTTTACCTGAATAATATTCCATTGTATGGATATGCCATATTCTTTTATCCACTTGTCAATTAATGGAAATTTGGGTTGTTCCCACGTTTTAAGTATTATGAATAATGAATAATGTTGCTATGAACTTTTGTGTACATGTTGTGTTGTAGGGAAGTTTAAATTTTTCCCCAAAGGCTCAATGATTTGAGTCTATAAAACACACTAATAGGCCGAGCGCAGTGGTTCACGCCTGTAATCGCAGCACTTTGGGAGGCCGAGGTGGGTGGATCACGAGGTCAAGAGATCAAGACCATCCTGGCCAACATGGTGAAACCCCGTCTCCACTAAAAATACAAACATTAGCTGGGTGTGGTGGCACGCGCCCACAGTCCCAGCTACTCGGGAGGCTGAGGCAGGAGAATCACTTGAACCCGGGAGGCAGAGGTTGCAGTGAGCCAAGATCGCGCCACTGCACTCCTCCTGGTGACAGAGTGAGACTCCATCTCAAAAAAAAAGAAAAAAAAACCGATAATAGATTAACAAGAAAAAAGGCATACAGGTCTTATTAACATGTATGGGCATGGCATACAAAATATGAAAAACTCAAACGGTCAGAAGATTGATACTTTTATACCATCTTGAGGTCACAGAAAGAATAGGGGCTTGGAGCTTAGCAAAACAGGTTATGGTAGCAAGACTGGTTATAAGAGGGAAAGAAGAGGAAAGGCCTGGCTGGCAAAGGCAGCCTTGTTATATGGATGAAACTTCATGGGTAGCAGCTCTCAGAAAGAATAGATGGTAGCCTTTGGTAAATATTTCTGTCAGACCTTTAAAGGTGTCAGATTCTCAGTTAATCTTTCCTAGATCCAGATGAAGGGGTGGGGGGTGGTTCAAAGAAAGCCTGTTCGCATCTGTTGTTTACTTGACTTTATTTCCTCTACAGATGCACATCTCCCCTAGAAAAGACAGCTTTTTAGCTATTCTTTGGTTTCTAGTCCCTCTGAATCGCTGTCCTGAAATATATCAAAGAAATATATTTGGGGGTGAAATATTTTTAGTTTCCCTCATTGTGGATGTATGTTTTCAGTTTTCTTAGACCTATACTTAGGAGTGGAATTGCTGGGTCATTTAACCTTTTGAGGAACTGCCAGGCTGTTTTTGAAAGTGGCTGCACCATTTAGATTCCCACCAGCAACTTCTCCATATCATTGCCAATACTTGTTATTGTTTATCTTTTTAGTATAGCCATCTTGTGGGTATGAAGTAGTTTCTCTCATTGTGGCTTTGATTTGCATTTCCTTAATGACTAATGTTGAACATCTTTTCATGTGCTTATTGACACCATTTGTATATCTTCATAGTAGAAATGTCTATTGATATCCTTTGCCTATTTTTAAAATAGCCATAGTTGTATTTTTCTTATTGAGTTGTAAGACTTCTTTCTATATTCTAGATACTAGACTCTGGATACAGATATGATTTGCAAATATTTTCTTCTGTGAGTTTTCTTTTCACTTTCTTTTTTTTAACATCAATTAAATTACATTTATTTAAATATCCTCATCAAAACACATCTTATGAAGCATCTTTTCTGTGACACCCTGATCTATGCCAGATCCACTCTATGCTGCTGTTTTCTGACATCAGTTTCTGCCAGTGCCCTCCAGTGAGGAGCCCCCAACTGGGCATTCTGAGGGTGCATGTGTCTCCCTCGAGGCTTCCTGAAGCAGGGGCACGACACCTCCTCCATGTACCAGGGGGTGAAGGTCTGCAGGGTCAGGGGTTGGGGGGAACCCCTGTATTGTTGCTGCTCCCTGCTGCTGTCCAGAGTCCTCTGCAAACTGCTGACCCCCTTCCCAAAGTGGCAACAATCTGAGGGTCTGACACCCACAGTGGTGTGTGTGGGACCCCCAAGGTGCCCGACAGTAACTGATGGTTCCTATACCCATCTGTGGACTTCTGGGCTTCCAGTGCATCCCAAATGTTCCTTTGTCAAGATAGTAACGCCACAGGGCTCTCAGGATGATCTAGGCACTGTTCTTGGAGCCCTATAAGTGAGGCCAGGCCCATGGAGCAGAGCAGCTGCCCAGGTGACAGCCATGATGGGGCCTTTCAAGCCGGGAAAGGCAGGCAACGGATTCCCCTGAAGTTGACCCCTTGATTTCAGCCTGGTGAGACCCATTCTGGACTTCTGACCTCCACAACTGTCATCAGCTTGTGCCGTTTTGAGTCACTGCATTTATGGTGACTTGTTACAGCAGCCTTGAGACACTGAGATACCCCCCTGTGCCCCAAGTCTGTGGTGTCACTGCTTCAGCCTGGCCCTGCTTTTGCTGGGACTGCTGCAGTAGCCTGGTGAGCCTGACTGGATCCTCAGTGGCGGTCAGACTTTTTATCTGAGGACCCCAGGGGTGCTCGCTCTGTGGTAGTCATGATCTTGGTCCTCAAAGGGACGGACATGTCCATACCTCATGCCTGTCCACACCCTCAGCTCCTCCACCCAGCTCCAGGGAAGCATGAGTGCCCAGCTCAGGGTTGGGTGCCAGTCCCTTCCTGCCCCTAGCAGGCCCCCTACAGATGCCGAGTTCTAGCATGTGGGACACAGGCAAGCAGGCCCTTGCCAGGCTTAGAGCACGGATGGCCTGTCCCGTCTTTTCACTTTCTTAGTAGTGTCCTTTGATGCAAAAAAAGTTTTCAGTTCTACTGAAGTACACTTTATCTGTTTTTTTTTCTTTGGTTGCTTATGTTTTTGGTATCATAGCTAAAAAACTATTGCCTAATCCAAGGTCGTGAAGATTTATATCTGTGTTTTTGTCTAAGAGTATAGGTCTTACATTTAGGTCTTGGTCCATTTTGAGTTAATTATTTATGTGGTATGAGGTAGGGGTCTGGCTTCATTCTATAGTACTTGGATATCTAATTGTCCCAAAACCATTTGTTGAAAAGACTGTTCTTTCCTTATTGAGTTGTCTTAGCACTCTTATTGAAAATCAACTGGTCATAAATGTGTGAGTTTATCAGCTCTCAATTCTATTCTATTGACTTATATATCTATTCTTATGCTATTACCACATAGCCTTAATTACTGTACATTTGTAGTAAGTCTTGAAATTGGAGAGTGTGAGTATTCCAAGTTTGTTGTTCTTTATTGTTTTAGCTACTGTGGGTCCATTTTCATATGAATTTTAGGATCAGCTTGTCAGTTTCTGCAAAAAGGTAGATGGAACACGTTTTCACCATGTTGACCAGGCTGCTGTTCTATATCTTCTTACCTAACTTTGAAATAGGGCTTGATGCCATATGGGTCATAGCAGCTAGATGGCATTCTTACTTTTATTGTTTCTGGATAAAGATCAGTCTTAGTACTAAGGTAAGAGCCAACAGTGATATAGTTGGTTATAGCTTACTAAAAAGAAAAAAATCTTTCAATTACTTTAGTGTGTACCATTAACTTCAAGAGAGGTATCAGGAAGTAGAAGTCAGATATGAACTGCTCCACCACTTAAAAGTGTCTCAGGATCCTTAGGGTGAAGAAGTGGCATATACAGTGAAACCTGAAAAATATCCAGAAGTGATTAAGGTAAAGAGGGACTAGGGGAAGAGGAGAAGCTTAAGTAGAGGAAACAGCACATGCAAAGGTCCTGTGGTAGGAAAGAAACGTGAAGAACTGAAAGCCCAACATTGTTCAAACTTAATTAGTGAGGGAGAGAAGGGATATAAATTTTTACTGTTGTATGAAGGGGTTAAAAAAAAAGGTGAATTTTATGGTATGTAAGTTATAGCTTAAAAAAAAACTCACCTACATATCCACAATACTCCCAACAAAATCAATAATTAACATTGATTTATTATTACATGTAATCTGCAGACCTATTTCAAGCTGGGATTGTGCCATTGCACTCCAGCCTGGGTGACAGAGTGAGACTCCGTCTCAAACAAACAAACAAACAAAAAAATTAATGACTAAAAATAGTTAACTTGCACAAATGCTATTATTTTCATAATTCTAATAATTTACCAGAATGAATCATTCACTTTACATAAGCTCTCTTCCTACTTCCTAGAATGCCTTTCTCCGCCACCCCATTTCATTTCATTCCTGCCATCACTTTCTTTGGCTTTTGTGTCTTTTGTTGGAGTCCTTACTCTATATTTAATCATGCTTTCATTCCCTTAACCTCTAATTAGAATGCGAACTCCTTGAAGGCAGTGACTGTGTCTTAAAATTGTATCCTCAGCTCTTAACACATTACTTGGCACATAGTGGACATTTTATTAAAGAATTAATTAAATGTGTATCTAGTAATAAATAAACTCTAAGATTGGTATCTACAACACCTAGCTTAGTGTCTAGCTTGCAGTTTAACACATAATGGCTGTAATTATTATTACTACTATTATTATCATTGCTAATAATAATAATAAATGTTATTTCTCAGAGGTATACTTTACTTAGATTAATAAAATTATTTCCCTGGCCATTAATACCTCTTCTTATGTATGTTAGTAGACACTTTATCCATTTAAGGTGATATAGGAAGGATGGAAATGCAAAAGAATACTGATAGGACCTATGGACCTGTAGATGATGGACATCATTTTTTTCTGGAGGTACAATATCATAGTTTGTAATACCAGATGATATGAGCAGCACAATGACAAGTCTGCCCTCCAGGAATAGTGAGTCAGGTACCCTGCTTAGTATGTACATTAGGACACTTGGATGATAACCTTGTTTGTTCAAAAACAGTAAACTACACACACATACTCAGAGTAAATTTGATGACAAATATATAAAGAGAATTAGTAAAAGAAATAAGAGCTGAAACCTTTTTTTCTTTTCTTTTTTTTTTTTTTTTTTTTTTTGAGACAGGGTCTTGCTCTGTTGCCCAGGCTGGAGTGCAGTGGTGCAATCATGGCTCACTGCAGCCTCGACCTCTCAGGCTCAAGCGATCCTTTTGCTTCAGCCTCCCAAATAGCTGGGACTACAGGCACATGCCACTACCATGCCCTGCTGATTTTTTTTAAAAGTTTTTGTAGAGACAGGATATTACTGTGTTACTCAGGCTGATCTCAAACACCTAAGTTCAAGCGATCTTCCAACCTTGGCCTCCCAGAGTGCTGGGATTACAGGTGTGAGCCTCTGTGCCTGGTCTAAGAGCTGAAAATCTTAATCATTTTGATGTTTTATTTTGATTTGCATAATAATTGCTGCTCCATGATATTCAAGCCTGTTATCTATCTTTGTTTCTTACAGCTATTGGATGAACTCCCAATGATATACAGCTGTTGCATATTTGTGTACTGCATGTAAGTACTTTTAAAATTTCATTGTTTGATTTATTTTTAAATTTATATTTACCTCATAGTGGATTAATATAACTGATACATTTATATTACTAGGATATTTTAATAATGTAGAAGATTATAAATTTTATGATATCAATATAGAGTATAATTTCTGGGAAGTTACAATAATGTTGTTTATTAACTTTTGTGATCTCAAAACCCTGTAGCCAATTTAGATAGGATCTAAATAGCTTAAATTCCATAATTTTCCTTTCCCAAGTGAATAATGTGTACAAATTTAGATAAAGATTTTCATATTGTGCCATAAAAGTTTTCAGATACAGTTTCTGTATTCTACAATATAGTTTAACAAGACGCTTACCAGAAAAGTGAGGTACACTTCTAGTTGTATAGTGATCGTGTCAACTTAATCTCCTTTTTGTTTGAAGTTATCTTTTAAATAGATACTTGCTTTCTTATTCTAAGGTAGACTAAATGCTCTCAAGAATATACTTATTTTGATTGGTTATTTACAAATATGGAAACAGCTTACAGGCCATTCCCAATCCAAAGTTCTCTTACTGTATTATATTCTGTTTACTTTATTATCAAGTTAATTTGCATTTCCTGAATGTCAAGGAAAAAATCAATCTTGAAAGATAAAAATGATTATGATAGTAACATTAATAAATGCTAATATGTAACTGCTTTGTACTGTGCTAGGCAGTGTACAATGCCATCTCTAATTCTCAACAACTATGCAAGATAAATGGGTATTGGCCCCATTTTATAGACAAGGAAGTAAAGCACAGAGAGATGTAGTAACTTGTCTATGGACAAAAACAGAACTTGATTTAAAAGCATACTGGCCAGGCCATTGTCCAGGTAAACAGTCTCTAAGGAACACTGAAATATCCCTGGAAATATATCATGATGGAGAAAATTACAATGATCACAATTCCTCTCAAGGAGAGGTTGGAAGAACACTTTGATAGGCTGCCTGGGTATGTGGTAGAAGTGTAGAAGTGAGACCCTTCCTGTACTGCATGATCAAATAATGTGCCTTCTAAGGAGGGTGGGTGAGGTTAGCTATAGGTCTTCTATTTGAGTAAGTTAGGGTATGCAGGTTTGGGCTCTAGCTAAGTCACTGGGAACATTAGAGGAAAGCCTCCTTCACCCATTACCCTGCAACATCAGCCTTCTCTAAATGTTGGACAAGTATGTTAAGAATATGTGTTTGGAGGGGCAAAAAAATTACTAGCTTATGTAGGGACCCACATGCCTGAGTCAGGCCCTAGTAACGAGGCTTTTGAGGGCAGCAGTAGCCCAGTTAGAGCAGCCACTGCAAAGATGCTGGCTGCAGCAGGGGAGGCAGTGCTGGTGGGGGCCGGGAACAGGTGGGAACCCCGTCCCCTACTGAGTTGGTGGGGCAGGAGCCCCACACTCCCGGGCACAGCTGCAGATGCCCAGCCATGGCTCTGGACCTGGGCATCCCTGCACTCTTGGAGTTCCAGGAAACCCCTTGCCCCTGCAGGCTTGAAAGTGCCTGCTCCCACTGCCTGGCTTCTCTCCGCTCCCAGCTCCCACTCCAGGGCAGAGCAAAGCTGTGGCCGAGCCCGGGTGCTGCCACAACTTGGCCAGGTGTGCATGTGCTTGGGGTGGTGCTGACATGCCAGCCCCCTGCCACCTCCGCCCCCTCTGGACTTTAGGCACTGACAAGCATGGGAGGGAGGCCGAGGCGGGGACTGAGGGCAGCTTGGTGTGGGCCTGCAGGCACCCCTCGGCAAGAACAGCCTGGGCACCATGGGCCATACATTGATGGTGGCAGGAGGCAGACAGGTTCCTGGGCAGAAAGGGGCAGTCCCCGGTGAAGCTCCACCTTCAAGCCGGGGACAGCCTGAAGCCTGGGGGCCAGGCTGTCATTTCCGGGTGGAGTCTGTGGCCCAGAGTGAGAACTTACAGTGCTTTTTCCAAGCCCTCCCATGGCTGCCCATTGATCAATCAGCACTCACTTCCTCCCTCCCGAGCCCATAAAAACCCCAGACCCAGCCAGACTCACACAGATGACTGGAGGACCTACCTGCGAATAGGAGCTGCCCACTCTGGGTCTCCTCTCCACTGAGAGCTGGACATTCACTGGGATGACCTGCCTGCAGATAGGAGCCACCCACTTTGGGTCTCCCAAGAGCTGTTCTGTCACTCAATAAAGCTCCTTTCCACCTTGTTCACCCTCCAGTTGTCCGCATACCTCATTCTTCCTGGATGCAGGACAAGAACTTAGGACTTGCCAAATGGTGGGCTGAAAGAGATGTAACACAAACAGGGCTGAAACATATCCCTCTCCCCAGCTTGCCACATTGCAGGAGATAAGAAGGAGAGAAGAGCTGTGGCCCTTCAGGGAGCCCAGACCTAGGGGCTCCGCGAGCCAGGGCTGTGACACCCTTTTGGGGGCTTGGTGGTTTCTGGCATCTCCCAGTTTCCAGGCACCACTGCATTCCCCTTGTCCAGATGGGGGTGCCCACAGTGGAAGATGCTTACGGTGTATCTGATCAAACCGCAGGCTTACATGGAGCCAGTGCCTATGCTGGCTTCTGGAGCTGCCTGCCCTGCTGCAGTAGCCAGTGTGCCTGGCTGTGCACAGTGGCTAGACCCCAAGCTTGCTCATTAAACACTTCTCACTGCTCCATTCCTGGCTTCCCCTTGGCAGGCATGGGATCCAGGCTGGTAGCATGAGCCAAGTGCAGCCTGCCAGGCCGAGTGGGCAGAATGAGCCCAGTGGGCCAGAACAAAACTTGGGCAAAGGTGCCACCAGCCACAGAGGTTTCTGGCTAGAAAAGCAACACCCTAAGGATCCTGAGACACTTTTAAGTGGTGGAGCCACAATTCAAAGCAGTTCATATCTGACTTCTACTTCCTAATACCTCTCTCAAAGTTAATGGTACACACTAAAGTAATTGAAAGATTTTTTTCTTTTATTTTTAGTTAGCTATAACCAACTATATCACTGTTGGCTCTGACCTTTACTAAAACTGATCTTTATCCAGAAACAATAAAAGTAAGAATGCCCATCTAGCTGCTATGACCCATATGGTGTCAAGCCCTATTTCAAAGTTAGGTAAGAAGATATAGAACAGCAGCCTGGCCAACATGGTGAAAACCTGTCTCTGCTAAAAATACAAAAAATTAGCCAGGCGTGGTGATGTGTGCCTGTAGTCCCAGCTACTCGAGAGGCTAAGGTGGGAGAATCGCTTGAACCCAGGAGGCAGAAGCTGCAGTGAGCTGAGATGGCACCACTACACTCCAGCCTGGGTGACAGAGTGAGACCCTGTCCCCCCCAGAAAAAAAGATATAGAACGGGGATCAGAAAACTTTTTCTGTAAAGGGCCAGATGATAAATATTTTAGGCTTTGTAGGACAGGAGTCTCTGTTGCAGCTCTTCAACTCTGCTATTGTAGCTTGGAAGCTGCCACAGATAATATGTAAATAAATGAGTGTGACTATGTTCCAGTAACATTTTATTAAAAAAAAAACAGGTTTAGCTGGGCACAGTGCTCACAAATGTAATCCCAGCACTTTTGGAGGCCAAGGTGGGAGGATCGCTTGAGCCCAGGAGTTCAAGATAAGCCTGGGCAACATAGGGAGACCTTATCTCTACAAAAATTACAAAATTAGCCAGGCATGGTAGTGCATGCCTGTAATTTCAGCTACTTGGGAGGCTGAGGTGGGAGAATCACTTGGGCCCTGGAGGTTGAGGCTGCAGTGAACCATGATTGTGCCACTGCACTTCAGCCTGGGAAACAGAGGGAGACCCTGTCTCAAGAAAAACAAAAACCAATACCAAACTAACAAAAAAAAACAGGCTCAGGCCAAGAGATTGGCTCTTGAGCCATAGTTTGTCACCTTGGTCTAAAAAAATAAGGTAAACTCCTTTTAATAACATATTTTAAAAACTATTCTGATGTTTATATATCTTTAGGAGAAGATATTCTTGAGCTAGCAATTATGACTATACTGAAAAGAATCAGATAACCATCATATAATGGGTACAAAGAACTCTTAAGTATTAGTGCTAGGAGCTGGGCATAGTTGCTCACATCTGTAATACCAGCACTTTGGAAGGCCAAGGCAGGAGTATTACTTGAGCCCAGGAGTTCAAGACCAGCCTGGGCAGTATAGTGAGACCCTGTCACTACAAAAAAATTAAAAAATTAGCTTGCATGATGGTGCACACCTCTGTCCCAGCTACACAGGAGGCTAAGGCAGAAGGACTGCCTGAGCCCCAGGAGGTTGAGGTTGCAATGAGCCACGATTGTGCTGCTACTGCACTCTACCTAGGGGACAGAGCAAGACCCTGTCTCAAAAAAAAAAGAAAAAGAAAAATAGTTTTAGTGCTAGGGAACAGCAGATATTACTTAGAAGGATACTGATAATGTAGATCAATTTTCAGCTCTGATATTTAGTAACTGAATGAGCTTAAGTAAGTCAACCTTTGTTCCTTCGTTTGTAAAAGTGGAGATTATAGTACTTATAAATTTCCCATGAAGATTAAAATAAATGATTTGTTTATAAAATAAACTTATTGTATGCTATTCATGTATCATGCACTGTGATAGGCTCTAGGAACTGGGAAATTAAGTAAGAAATAGTCCTTTTACCTCAAGAAATTTGTAGTTTAGTAAAAGAAACAGAACCAGAAACAAGCAGCTTTCATGTGATGTGATTAATACTATACCTGAGACATACAAAGTTCAGTGGAGTAGAAAGGGATAGAGCTTGCCATTATATGAAAATGGAGCATGGTGTCCTGTCATAGTGAATTAAACATAAGTTTCATCATTGCTACCACCTCAGAGTATAAAAAAGAATATATAAAAAGAGCATGCAAAGCTTTTGTTTCTCAAAAACTATGTCTCTGGATTCTAATCTTTCCTCAGCAATCTTCTGCACTATCTGTTTATGATCATATTCCCCCATTCAGAAAGAGCCTGCTGTAGTACACTTTAAGTGACACTTAGAAGGAAATGAAAGGGGTGAAATAATTTTTAATCCACTGTATTGACACACAGTTTACATGGAATAAAATGCACCCAGTTTAAGTGTATGGTTTGATGAGTTTTGACAAATGTATACTCCTATTTACCCATTACCCTTATGGCAAGAAAGAGAAACAGAACATTTCTATCACATTAGAACATTCTTTTCTGACCCATTGCAGTTAATACTGACACCTACCCTGGCCTCCAGGCCACCACTGATCTACTTTCTATAATTATAGATTAGTTTGTCTGCTCTGGAATTTTATATAAAAGAAATTATACCATATGTACTCTTTTGTAACTGGATTCTTTTATTCAGTATAATATTTTTTGAGGGCACTAATTTGCCAATTACTTTTGATGAATATATTCATGTATGTTGTTACATATATCATTAGTAGTATTCCATTTTATACTGTTTACCAATGTTGAACATTAAGGTTATTGCCAGTTTGGGGCTACTATGAATAAAGGGACCATGGACATCTGTTAACAAGTCTTTGTATGGATATATGACTTCATTTCTCTTGGGTATATACCTAGAAGTGGAATTTCTATGTTGTATGGTAAGTATATGTTTTACTTTATAGGAAACTGCCAAACTGTTTTTCAATTTAGTTGCACCTTATTATTGTTCTACTGGCAATATATGAAACTTCCATTTGCTCCATATACTTGCCAAGACTTGGTATTATCAGTCTTTTTTATTTTAGTCATTCTAGTGAGTATGATATACTATCTCTGTGGTGTTTTAATTTGTATTTTCTTAGTGACTAATGATGTGCATCTTTTTTTATTCTAATTGTCCATTTGTATGTGTTATATTAAGAACTATCTATTCAATCTATTCAAACCTTTTTCCTTTTTTTTTTTTTTTTTGAGACAGAGTCTCGCTCTGTCGCCACTCTGGAGTGCAGTGGTGCGATCTCGGCTCACTGCAACCTCTGCCTCCCGGGTTCAAGTGATTCTCCTGCCTCAGCCTCCCAAGTAGCTGGGACTACAGGCACCCGCCACCACCTCCAGCTAATTTTTGTATTTTTAGTAGAGATGGGGTTTCACCATGTTGGCCAGGATGGTCTCGATCTCTTGACCTTGTGATCCGCCTGCCTTGGCCTCCCAAAGTGCTGGGATTACAGGCATGAGCCACTGTACCCAGCCCCCATTTTTATAAAATAGCTTTTTTTCTTTTTGAATTGTAAAAATTCTTTATCTATTTTGGGTTCAAGTCCTGTCAGATATTTGTATTTTAAATATTTTTCCAGTCTGTGAATTGTCTTTTCATTTAATGTCTCTTGAAGAACAGAAGTTTTAAATTGTTATAAAATCCAATTTATTTTTTAAATGTTCATGAATAGTGTTTTTGTGTCATAAGAGATCTTTGCCTTCCCAGGATCAAAAATATTTTGTTTGTTTATTTTTTCTAGAAGTCTTATAACTTTATTTTACATTTAGGTCCATGATCTATTTTGAGTTAGTTTTGTCAAAGATCATGTTTTCCTTACCAGTATCTAGTTGTTCCAGAACCATCTTTTGAGATTATTCTTTCTGCATTAAATTATCTTGACTTTTTTCTCAATTCTGTTTTATTGATCACTGCGTGTATCCTCATACTGTCTAGTTACTGTAGCTTTATTGTAAATCTTGAAGTCAGTTAGAATAAGTCCTTCACTTTTGTTCTTTTTCAGTATAGCTTTGGAAATTTTAGTTCCTTTGCATTTCCACATAAATTTTAGAGTCAGCTTGTCAATTTTTACAAAATAGCCTGCTGGAAGATTGACTGTAATTTCTTCGACTCTATAGACCAGTTTGAGGAAAGTTAATATCTTAACATTACTAAGTCTCCCAAACCATGAATGTGGTTCTTTAATTTATCCAAGTGACTTTTTGTGATTTTAAGTGAATTGATCTTTGTTAAATTTAGCCCTATGTTTTTCATGGTTAGGATGCTATTTTCAATAGTATTGCTTTTTTTTCTTTTTTGACATGGGGTCTGGCTCTCACCCAGGCTGGAGGGCATTGGCACGATCTTGGCTCACTGCAATCTCCTCATCCCAGGCTCAAGCCATCCTCCTACTTAGCCTCTCAAGTAGCTGCGACTACAAGTGCGCTCCACCATGCCCAGCTAATTTTTGAATTTTTGTAGAGACGAGATTTTGCCATGTTGCCCAAGCTGGTCTCGAACTCCTGACCTCAAGCAATCTTCCTGCCTCAGCCTCCCAAAGTGCTGGAATTACAGGCGTAAGCCACTGCACTTGACCACAGTATTGCTTTTTAAAAGCTTTATATTCCAATTGTTCATAGCCAGCATTTAGAAATATAAGTGATTTTTGTATATTGACCTTTTATCTTATCACTTTGATAACTTATTCATTTTTCTGTTGATTCCTTAGGATATTCTTTGAACATATCAAATATGTGAAGCAGTCTAGACCTCTAATGATTTTTTTTTTTTTTGAGACAGTCTCACACTGTCGCCCAGGCTGGAGTGCAATGGCGCAATCTTGGCTCACTGCAACCTCTGCCTCCCGGATTCACGCGATTCTCCTGCCTCAGCCTCCCGAGTAGCTGGGATTACAGGCATACACCTGCAACGACTAATTTTTTTGTATTTTTAGTAGAGATGGGGTTTCACTGTGTTGGCCAGACTGGTCTCGAACTCCTGACCTTGTGATCTACCCACCTCGGCCTCCCAAAGTGCTGGGATTACAGGCGTGAGCCACCGCACCTGGGCTCTAATGATTTTTAAATCTGTCTTGCCTTCTGTGTGCTTGTTCATTTGTGAAACATGTACTGGAAAACCTCCTTTATTTTAGGCATGATCCTAGGCTCTGTAGATACAGAATCAGGAACTCATTGTCTGAGGAAGGGGACAGATAAGAAAGTGACTATATGTAATAAAGTGAAATAACCATGGTAATAAATACAAGCCAGGCCTCCTAAAGACCTTTGGTTTCTTAACAGATAACTTGCTTTTGAATTTGGAATAATAGAGTTTAAAAGTAAAAACTAATATTTCACCTAATATTTTCATCATTGTCCAAGTCACAAAATTTAAAGGTAAAAGAGATCTTAGAAAGTGCCTCTTCTAACCACCTTTCCTTACAAATAAGAAAATAAGAGTTGGTCCAATTCCCACAGCCAGTTAGTAAACTGAGAGAACACTCTTGCTGCCTATACCAAGTCACAGTCCTCAAAGGTTGGATTGGATACTCACTGATGGCCAATTGTCTGTTCATATTTGCTTATTTACCGGATACCTCCTATGTGTTCAGCATTATCTTTGTGCTAGTTATATGAAAAAAATAAAATTTATTCCTGCACACAAGGAATTCACAGGCTAGTTGAGGAGATAGATAAGGGAAGAGACAATTATAATAGACTACTATTTTCTCCAATAATATTCCTTAGGAATCATTAGTTGCAAGATATAGAAACCTATTCAAGCTAGCTTGAATTAGGAGAGATTATTTATTTACTGTAAGGATATGAGGAAATTATATCCTTATTTATTACATCCTTATTTATTGTAAGGATGTGAGGAAATTATGTGGAACCCAATAGCAGGAAGTACAGCCCCACCTTACTAGAACTGGAAGGACAGGTTCTTCCCCCTTCCCTCTTTTTGCCATTCCTTCCTCTCCACATGGCTTCGCCTCTTTGTATCTGCTATATTTTTCTCTCCCTGCAGATTACTTCTGCTCATTCATCTACTTCTTCATTCAATTTGGCTGCCCCCAAATATCAGCCTCAGACCTTGAGTCCATATGACTTTGACTCTCTATACCTCTTTTTTGGAGACAGGGTCTTGCTCTGTCATCCAGGCTGGACCCTCTATCTCCCAGGCTCAAGCTCTCCTCCCACCTTAGCCTCCCGAGTAGCTGGGACTACAGGTGTACACCACCATGCCCACTAATTATTTTATTTTTTGTGGAGACAGGGTCTCAATTTGTTACCCAGGCTGGTCTCGAAATCCTGCACTCAAGTGATCCTCCTGCACTGGCCACCGCGCCCAGCTAACTCTCTATACTGAATTGATTCAGTCTCTCTCTCCCAAACTCCAGACTCTCAGGCAAGAGCCTTTCATTGTCCCAGTTTAAGTCACGTGTCTACTCCTAGTCCTTCCAGCCTCTTAGAGGATAATAGGCAGTGCAGGTTTTCTCTATGAGTGGAAAGAAATGATGGATATCACTTATCATCGAGAGATATAGGCAAGTGGTAAAGCAGCATTCTATTTATGTTCCTACTTATATATTCTTTTAAAAGTTTCTTTCTCTCTTTTTTTCAAGGTTTGAATGTTTCAAGATCAAGAACTCAGTAAACTACCATCTGCTTTTTACCTTAGTTCTATTCAGTTTAATAGTAACCACAGTAAGTCATATTTTGTTTCTAACAGATTAAGCATGTAAATTCACCATTTATGGAGTTTGACATATTTTACTTCCAGTATTTGCTTCATGCTGTCAAACTGAAATCTTTCTACACAAAACAAGAATATCACACTGACAAATATTGCTCCCTTGTTCTCTGTTCAAATGTTACTTCTCACTGTAATTGAAATACTTTTAAAAATCTGTTTAGTTTTTAAAGGGAAAAAGCAAAAAAGCAAATATTTAGTAGCAATAATTGGGAAAAATTAATTTTTCTCATAGATGGACATATTAG
This sequence comes from Homo sapiens, assembly GCF_000001405.40. NCBI lineage: Eukaryota > Metazoa > Chordata > Mammalia > Primates > Hominidae > Homo > Homo sapiens. The sequence goes on from NC_000011.10 coordinate 76,986,019, forward strand.
CTCCTATTTGTTAAAAATGAGAGATTGGCTCTGCTCCATTGGTCCAAATGTGACTGTTGTAATGGTTAACTTTTCTCTAGTAAGTTGAGATAGCTAGTCACTTCTAATTCTACATTAATGCTTTTTTTCTCAAGTAAATTGCATTTTATATTATGAAAATATTTATTGCAGAAAACATTTATTGAAAACTTACCATGTCAGGCACTAGAAATACAGAGATGATTAAAAAGCAGTTGCTATCTGTGAGGAGCTCATTCTGTTAGAGATTTTAGACATGTACACAAAGAATTGCATCAAAAGATAATAATTGCAATAATAGGGGTAAAAACTACTTATATGGTGATGAGATAAAGGAGGTTCAATCAAGGCTTCATGCATGAGTCAAGGAAAGCTTCTGAGATGAGGCACTTGCACTAGAATTTAACTGATGATTAGGAGTTCATCAGACCCCTGGGCAAGAGTGCAGTGAAGAATTTGTAGATAGCACTATTGTTTTTTCATAGGCAGAGAACTTTGAAACAACATAGTGAACTACCATTTTCAATCACTTACTATATGCCAGATATTGTAACTATGTACTTTACCTTCATTGTCTCATTAAATCATCACCACTGGTAGAATTGGGCAAGATTTAATATGGCTGGAACATATGGTAATTGAAGAGCAGTGAATGAGTCTAGTGAATTAGACAAATGTCAAATTATAAATACCCCTCTATGCCTTGTTTGAGAGTTCAAATATTTATCCTCGAAGAAGTGTGGAGCAGTTAGGCGCAGTGGCCCACTCCTGTAATCCCAGCACTTTGGGAGGCTGAGGCTGGTGGATCACCTTGAGGTCAGGAGTTCATGACCAGCCTGGCCAACATGGTGAAACCCTGTCTCTACTAAAAATGGAAAAATTAGCTGGGTGTGGTGGCACTCCCCTGTAATCGCAGCTACTCAGGAGGCTGAGGTGGGAGAATTGCTTGAACCCCGGAGGCGGAGGCTGCAGTGAGCTGAGATCGTGCCACTCCACTCCAGCCTAGGCAACAGAGTGAGACTCCGTCTCAAAAAGAAAAAAAAGAAAAGAAAAAGGTAGTGTGGAGCCAATAACTGGTTTAAAGGAAAGATGTAATCAGATACGTGTTTTAGAAAGATTGCTCTGGTTATGAGGCTGGATTACAGGAGTATGAGACTAGACCCAGGGACTTCTGTATTTGCTTTAGTAAGATATGAGACTCAGGTGAAAGTAATATAGCTGTGGGGTTGAAAAGAAACGGTCATAAGTAACAAACTGCAGGATATGTGACCCACTTCATAGTAGAGGGGGTGGAAGTAGAGTAAAAAGGAGTTGTCTAGAATGACTCCTGGCCTGGTTGTCAGGATAGATAGTATGTCCTTAATCAAAACAGGAAACTTGGAGGATGAACAGCTTTTGCAGGATAGATAATGAGTAGGTTTGTGCCATGGGGTAGGGGTAGAGATAAATTCAATATGAAATGTGTTAAGATTGAGGTGCCTGACATTAATTACATCTGAGGCTTTACAGTTAGGCTGGCCTAAAGATGTAGATTTAGGAATTGTCAGGGTATAGATAGTACAAAAATATGAGAATAGATGACCTGAAAAAGTAGCATAGGCCGTTAAGATGACTAAAGGGGCCAGGCACAGTGGCTCACACCTGTAATCCCAGCACTTTGGGAGGCCACGATGGGAGGACTACTTGAGCCCAGGAGTTCAAGACCAGCTGGGCAACATAGTGAGACCTCGTCTCTACAAAACATTTTTTAAAAATTAGCTGGATGTGGTGGCATGCACCTGTAGTCCCAGCTACTCAGGAAGCTGAGGTGAGAGGATTGCTTGAGCCCGAGAGGTCAAGGCTTCAGTGAGCCATGATTGTGCCACTGCACTCTGGCCTGGGTGACAGAGTGAGGCCCTGTCTCAAAACAAACAAAGACTAAAAGTACAACCTAATGAAATACTTACATTTGAGGACTAGGTGGAAGAAATGGAGCTAGCAAAAGAGACTGAGAACAAGTAATTAGGGATGTAAGAAAGCTAGGAGAGCCTGATGTCATGGAGTACAAAGATTTCTAGAAGTGAAAAATGGAAGAACAGTTGCCTCTGAAAGGATGAGTACAATGAATATTGAGAGCTAATAGAAATTTTCAGTTGGAAGACCAGGTAACCTTAATGAGGATGCTGTCAGTAGTGAATTGATGGAGGCAAAAGCCAGATTTCAGTTAGTTGAGATGTTGAATAGGAGGTTGAGAGGGCACATATGCACTATTTACTTGTTTCCACATTACTTTGCCTAAACTACTGTATTAGTCCCTTCTCATGCTGCTATAAAGAAATACCCAAGACTGGGTAATTTATAAAGGAAAGAAGTTTAATTGACTCACAGTTCCGCATGGCTGGGGAGGCCTCTGGAAACTTAACAAATCATCGTGGAAGGTGAAGCAAACACATCCTTCTTCACATGGTGGCAGGAGAAAGAAGTGCAGAGCGAAGGGGGAAGAAGCTCCTTATAAAACCATCAGATCTCATGAGAACTCACTCACTATGATGAGAAAAGCATGAGGGAACCACCCCCATGATCTGTTCACCTCCCACAAAGTCCCTTCCCCAACACATAGGGATTACGATTCAGATTACAATTCAAGATGAGATTTTGGGTGGGCATACAACCAAACCATATCAACTACATATTGGTTAATCGTGAAAGAATTGTAGAATTTCAGAGGTGAAATGAAGTCTTGTTATGATATGAAAGAAGAGAATCAAGTCTAGAGATTGTCAGTGACTTGCCTGGCCAATCAAGTGTATATAGACAATTGGTGGGAGAGACAGACTTTGAAGTCAGATTTAAGTTTGGATCCAGGCTACTTAAAAACTTTGGGACCTTGCAAATTACTTAATCTCTCTCAGCCTTAGTTTCCTTTATCTGTTAAATGAAGAAAATAATAGTATATATTTTATGTTAGTTGTGAAAATTAATACCTAACACATAGGAAGGACTCCATAATTATTTGCTTTAAAAAATGTCTTTAAGAGATATGTCGTTTTGCATTTCTTTTATTAGTAACAATGGGAATCTGATAGCATTACCTATATAAATGGAAATTAGTATTTTGAAATAAGAAATTTCAGAGATTAAAAGCATTCTCCCTTACTGGGTTTAGAGTTACAGATATACAATATCTCATACACATCATACTTTTAAAGCTCACAATGCTTAAAGGAAATAATCTGGGTTTGGTTTTTTTTTTTTGTACTGAGGGTAGAAACTTCTTTAGCCAAATAATAAAATTATATAAAATTTTATGGGATTGCTACATTAAATGAGGATATAGAAATATCTAAATCCAGTACTTAATATCAAAGATATTATAGTCTTGTAGGGAGAGAAACAAACCATTAAATGCCACAAAGTTTATACATGAAGAGTAATGGTAGAAAGGAGTGTGACTGGTTGCTTCCGCTGTATAGAGAAAGGATCAGAAAAGGCTTCAAGAAGGAGGTATAGTTTGAGTTGAATCCTAAAAGATAAGTAATGAATAGAGGAGGATTTCTGAACAAAGTAAAGAGCAGCATGTTTAAAAATACAGAAGCGTGAAACTAGCACATTTGAGGAAGCACAGTACTTTCTGGAGACTTGGATGAGGAGGAAACAAGAAGACAATAGTGAGACCAAATAGAAAGGAAGGAATCATGGAAGGATTTGAATGTTAGGTTAAGAAATTTGAACTTTGTCTTACAAGTGATGAGAGTCATGGCAGGGTCATGACTTGAATTTTGATTCCCCTGTACCATGTCATTTAAAAACTGTACTCCTGTAGGGCAATACATGCATGTTAAATCTTAACTAGGCATTGAGCTTAATCATCCACATGACATTGGAACCTACAACTAGGGTTTGTGTAACTGCGAATGCATCTAGAAGGTGAGTTAGAGATTTCTGGAAGCATAAGAAAGCATAAGAAATTTGTTTTAAATGTCTTCACTTACTGAGTGCCTACTGTATGCTAGACACTTTCAGGTATTTTAGCTTATCATTCCTCATCACTATTATTGTTCATTATCCAGATGAGGAAGGATGCGTCTTCTAGTTAAATTACTTATCCAAGGCATGTAGCAAGTAAGTGGCAGAAGTTGAAATTTACTCCTATCTCTAAGTCCGGTGTTCTCTCTGTTGTAGAACAGATCTGCTTTGGGGATTGTCAACATAACCTCTTCACTCCTCATGAGAATCCATATATCCTTATCTCTCCTTGATACTGATGCAGAGTTTGGAGTGGTCCACAACAGATCTAAAACATTCGACTCACCATAACAGGGCTAGCACTGAGGAAATCCTCCTGTAGATACTAGCTCTCCTGTGGCATGCCACTTGATCTGATTGCTTTTACATGGCTAGATTCAAGTCTGAGTAAGATGGGGGAAGCAGGAGAGGTTTGGGATTTGCAGAGTAATTGGAGTCGGTTTTTCCCCCCTTCATAATGTACTTCATTCACATGTGTTTTTTCTAATATTTTGCAGGTTTACCTTAAGGTAAAAGAGCCGATATTCCATCAGGTAATTTTTTGTAAATTATTACACATTAGATTGTTTACGATACATGGCTGCTTTGTGATTTCCTTGTCTAAGAAATGATATGCAGATAAAAATTTTTTTAATGAAATGGTAGATGTTCTAAGGAAGTTCAGTGTTTAAAAGGGAGGTTGTAAACTCAAATGCTTACAGGAGTCAAGTGTAGGTAACAGGAATATACCTGGGATAGCCAATGCGCAGGTCCAGCTGGCTGTTGGTATTCAGTAATACAGGTGCAACATTGCTATTATAAGCAGAAAGAACCAGGAAGCATTATGCACATACACATAAAGTCTTTTTATGACATCTAGAAAAGACAGACTGAAAATTCCTTGAGTATTTTCCCTCTAATATATTTTAACACATTTTTTGACATGGGAGGTGATGTACATTGAAGGAAGCAGACACAGGAAACTTTATTGTAGGAAATGGTGATTTAAGTGCATGCCATCATGACACCAGAGTGAAATAAAGAAGTAAGCCTTTGAGTGTTGCCATGTGCCTGGTACTATGCTCACTACTACACAGACTTCTAATCTCACCAACAGTCCTACTAATTGGGAATTATTATATACATTTCAAGGAAAATGAGCTCAGAAATATTAAGTAATTTGCCCTAGGGTGACACAGTTATTAAGGGGGAGAGCCAGGATTATAACCTAGATTTGTCTGACTCCTTTTCACCATTCTTTTAACAAACTAGCAAACAAAAATGAATAAATAAGCACGCTTTTCAGAAGTGCCAGAGTTTTAAAATATTTTGTGCTTATATAAACATTTACTAATGTTCTTGTAACTTTTACAATTCAAGCTATACAATAATCATCTAACTGGAATATGGCTTTTGAAATATATTCTATAACCACATTATTATGCCTTGCTTTTCTCCAGGTCAGCTGCAGGTAGATGAACTAAAGTAAATGGTACAGAAAAGACATCCTCACGGCCGGGCGTGGTGGCTCACACCTGTAATCCTAGCACTTTGGGAGGCCGAGGCGGGTGGATCACTTGAGGTCAGGTGTTCGAGATCAGCCTGGCCAACATGGTGAAACCCCATCTCTACTAAAAATACAAAAATTAGCTGGGCATGGTGGCGTGCACCTGTAATCCCAACTACTTGGGAGGCTGAGGCAGGAGAATCGCTTGAACCCACGAGGCAGAGGTTGCAGTGAGCCGGGATTGCACCACTGCACTCTAGCCTGGGTGACAGAATGAAACTCTGTCTCAAAAAAAAAAAAAAAAAGAAAGAAAAGAAAAGACATCCTCACTTTCTTGTTTATTGTAACTTGAAATGATGCCATTATGTAATTACTATTTTATTTAGAAAGTTTTATTAACAGTATAAAAAACAAAGTTGGCCAGGCACAGCGGCTTATGCCTATAATCTCAGTCCTTTGGGAGGCTGAGGTGGGAGGATTGCTTGAAGCCAGGAGTTCGAGACTAACCTGGGAAACATAGCAAAAAAAGAAAAAAAAAATCGGGCATGGTGGAACATGCCTGTATTCCTAGTTACTTGGGAAGCTGAGGCAGGAGGATCCCTTGAGCCCAGGAGGATCCCTTGAGCCCAGGAGTTTGAGGCTGCAGTGAACTATGATTGTGCCACTGCACTCCAGCCCAGGCAACATATCTCTTAAAATAATAATAAATAAATGAAGTTAATTTGTATAAATACCTCAGTTTTTATAAACTTGTTTGCCTTTACTAAGAAAGAAAAATAATGACCACAAAAATATAAAATTTGGAAATTCTGGGTTAATTTTTACAAGTTTTATGACCATCTGTTTTTCATTTTGTGCTTTAGAACTATTTGACACTATGTAATAAAAAACAACTCTTACTAAGTAACTACCCCGGTGCAATATCCATGTGTTTTTCCACTAATGAAGATTTTCTTCCCTATGTATAGCAGTAATATTTATTGATAAGAAGAGAAGCAGGATGAAAGCTAGGTCTATCCATGCCCACTGTGGCTTGTGTCCTAGGCCTAGAGATTAAAAATCAGGATAGAGAAATGAAGAAATAAGGGAATGCTAGAGTGAAGCAAATAAGTAATCTAAAGGTAAAAGACATTCTTTCATTCAACAGATGTCTACTGTCTGCCTTCTCTGTACCAAATTCTGAGCTGGAATTTGGAGACAGGCAGCAAAGCAAAGACTTTATGATCTACATACAGTCAAGCAGACCTGGATTTAAAATCTGTCTCCTCCACTTACTAACTGTACACCCTGGACAAGTTAGTTAACCTCTCTGAGCTGGCTTCCTCGTTGTTCAACAATCTCCCCACCTTTTTTTTTTTTGAAATAGAGCCTCGCCCTGTCACCCAGGCTGGAGTGCAGTGGCTCAATCACAGCTCACTACAGCCTTGACCTCCTGGGCTCAAGCAGTCCTCCCACCTCAGCCTCCCAAGTAGCTGGGATTACAGGCACACACCACTACAACAGGCTGTTTTGCATCTTTTGTAGAGATGGGTTTTACCGTGTTGCCCGGCAGGTCTCAAAACTCCTGAGCTCAAGCAGTCTGCTCACCTCAGCCCCTGCCTTGGTGAAGCTCAGGCAGGGTTACAGGTGTGAGCCACTGTGCCCAGCCTGAACAAACCCTTTTTAAGTGCCTTCAATGTTCCAGACACTGTACTAGGCACAAGAGATACATATACTAGTGAATAAAATAACAAGCCCTGCCCTCAAGGACCTTACACCCTATCTCTATAGTAACCTCCTAAGTTTGAGGATTGAATGAAATAATGTGTATAAAACCCTTGTCACATAGTAAACACTCAATAAATGTTAACTAACATTAATATACACAGGCAAATAAGATATGGCCACTAATCTCAAGAAGATCATTGTCTAATCAGTAATACAGACTTGTAAAAATTAATTGCAGTATATAAGTCTTGCGATAAATATGTAAAAGCAGTGGTAATATAGACAAGGGTAAGCTCTGTCTACTTAGATGACTCATAGAGGGGCTTCAGGAGAGTCTTGAAGATGAACAAGATGTCACAGGTAGAGAAGTAAAGGCTATTCCATCTATAGAGAAGCATGTGTTAAGGCAGCAGTCCCCAACCTTTTTGGCACCAGAGACCGGTTTTGTGGAAGACAATTTTTCCATGGACAGCCAGGGGATGGTTTTGGGATTCCACCTCATATCATCAGGCATTAGATTCTCATAAAGAGCACACAACCTAGATCCCTTATATGTGCAGTTCACAATAGTGTTTGCGCTCCTATGAGAATCTAATGCCACTGCTGATTTGATAAGAGGCAGAGCTCAGGCGATAATGCTCACTTGCCTGCAGCTCACCTCCTGCTGTGCAGCCCAGTTCCTAAAAGGCTGCAGACCTGTACCAGTCTGGGGGATGGGGACCCCTGTGTTAAGGTACAGAAGTGTGAATTGGTAACTCTTGCACATGAAACAGGAGTACAAGTTCACCCAGGGATTTGTGGTAGTGTGCTGAAGCGTTTACAGAATCAGTGACTGCATCTGAACATTCCTATTTTCCTATAACATTTATTTTATTCAACTATATTGTAGGGATTAAACTTTCTTTTTTTTTTTTTGATAAGGAGTCTCACTCTGTCACCCCGGCTGAAGTGCAATGGCACAATCTCGGCTCATTGGAACCTCCACCTCCCAGGTTCGTTATTCTTATGCCTCAGCCACCCAGGTAGCTGGGACTACAGGCGTGTACCATCACGCCAGGCTAATTTTTGTATTTTTAGTAGAAACGGGGTATCGCCATGTTGGCCAGGCTGGTCTTGAATTCCTGGCCTCAAGTGATCTGCCCGCCTTGGCCTCCCAAAGTGCTGGGATTACAGGCGTGAGCCACCGCACCTGGCCTAATTTTCATATTTTCAGTACAGACAGGGTTTTTTCGTGTTGGCCAGGCTGGTCTCAAACTTCTGACCTCAAGTGATCCGCCTGCCTTGGCATCCCAAAGTGCTGGGATTACAGGCATGTGCCATCATGCCCAGCTGGGATTAAACTTTTTAAAGTTAAAACAAATATAAATATGTTACAGAACTGAGTACAATGACCACATGAATTTTTAGGATGAAATAACAAACTTCAAAGAAGTTTGTGTTTTCAATGTGCCTCTCCCGTCTCTGTCCATCAGGAATAAGTCACCCTTCCTTTGCTATTAGGAATATTTTGTAGAAAAGTTTTAAAAGCATCGGTATACTATAAATATTTGGTATGGCTGGCCCTAGCTATAGGAGATGGGTTTGGATTACTGGTGAGGTGGTTAGGTCATGAGGAGCCCTTTATACTATGCTTAAAGTTATAAGCAGTCAGGAGCCATTAAAGGGTTTTAAGCTGCAGTATGACCAAATCAGATTCTCATTTTAGACAGATCATTGAAAGGCTACCTAGGGGCTGGAGGAAGGAAGTAAAAGGCCAAGGAAAGAGAAAAGTTTGATTTCTGTTGCCCTAGTCCACTGAGAAAGGATTTTTTTAAAAACTAGTGCTATAGGATGATATGAAACAATACACTATAGATATAATAAGTAAATTTATATAGTATACATACATGCTAGAAGGTGATAACTGCTATAAAAAAGAAAAATATGTTAGGTTGGGGGATGTCCTTCCACTTGCCCCTCCTTCACTCTCTCCAGTCACACTGAGTCTTGCTTTATATTTCAAACACAACAAGCATGTTTCTACTTTAGGACTTTGGCACTCACTATTGCCACTGCCTAGGATACTAGTACCCCAGCTATCTACATGGTTTATATCCTCACTTCATTCAGGTCTCTGCTTAAATGTTAACTTAGCAGAGAGGCCTTACCTAACAACTCTGTCTAAAATTACAGCCCATCCTTCTCTGTGTTATCCTGATTTAACTTTTATTAGTTGCTTTAGTAGAGAGAAAACACTAATAATATTTTTATAGCCTTTGGAGTTTGGAGACTGAAAACAACTATTAAATATAGAAAGATAAAATTTCACTATAAAAATATACATATTGTTAGATAAAAATTATAAGGAGCAGAAAAGTATACATTCTGTCATCTTTTTATTAAAAAAAAAAACCTCTATAAGTTTAGAAATCAAACTTATATAGCTGAACATGCTGCCAGCCAGATAAAATCAGTTTCTATATAGTCGGAAGGAGACAATGAATACTAGGTAGGCCACTAGCAGTGGGGAGCATCAAAAGTATGGGGTAGGTTGCTCTGGAGAGAAGAAAGTTAATTTGAAAAAGTCCCATGATGTTGCCAAGGCATAGGTTCTTTCCTAATCCATCATTTCGTATGCTCAACATATTCCCTGGGAAATTCATTCCCTTTGACTCCTATATGCTGACAGTTCTGTTTCTTCAGCTGTGATTTTTCTTTTAAACTATAGACCTAGGAATCCAACTTCTGCTAGAGGTCTCTACTTAGATATCTCACTGGCACATCAAACTGAACGTATATGCAGAAGTGAACTCACTACTTTTCTCCCTAGTCTTTCTTCTCTTCATATATTCTCTAATCCAATAATTAATTTTGCCATGCACCTAACTGTCCATGCCACAAACCAGGCCATCATCCTTGTCTTTCCCCCTGTCTAACTTCCATTCAAATTGATGATTAGTCTGAACCCTAAATCTCTCTCTAATCTGGCCACTTCTCTGCATCTCCCCTGATATTACCCTAGTTCAGGTCTCTATCTCTCACTTAGATTACTGCAACACGTTATCATTGGTCTGTTTCCTGTCAGTCTCACCTCCCTCTCTTTCTCCACTCAGCACAACAGGGACATCTTTCTAATACATGAGTCTGACCATGTTATCTATTGGTGAAACCTTCATTGGCTTTCCATTATTATTATTATTATTATTATTATTATTATTTTTTGAGACAGAGTCTTGCTCTTGTTGCCCAGGCTGGAGTGCAATAGCACGATCTTGGCTCACTGCAACCTCTGCCTCTCGGGTTCAAGCAATTCTCCTGCCTCAGCCTCTAAGTAGCTGGGATTACTGGCACCCACCACCACACTCAGCTAATTTTTTGTATTTTTTAGTAAAGATGGGGTTTCACCATGTTGGCCAGTCTGGTCTCAAACTCCTAACCTCAGGTGATCCACCCACCTCGGCCTCCCAAAGTGCTGGGATTACAGGCATGAGCCACCCCACCCAGCCTTTTTTTTTTTTTTTTTTTTTTCTGAGACAGAGTCTTGCTCTGTCGCCCAGGCTAGAGTGCAGTGGTGCAATCTTAGCTCACTGCAACCTCTGCCTCCTGGATTCAAGCAATTCTCGTGCCTCAGCCTCCCCTGTAGCTGGGATTACAAGCATCTGCCACCACACCTGGCTAATTTTTGCATTTTTAGTAGAGATGGGGTTTCACCATGTTGGTCAGGCTAATCTCGAACTCCTGACCTCAAGTGATCCGCCTGCCTTGGGCTCCCAAAGTGCTGGGATTACAGGCGTGAGCCACCACACCCGGCCTCTGTTACTGTTATATGAAGTCCAGCTCCTTAACATGACTTGAAAGGCCAGATTTGACCTCTGGTCTCTGACTCCATTTTTCCTATTCTATATTCCAACAATATACTATAAGGATCTTTTTTTCCTCCTTGTCTCTAGAATATAAGATATCACAATAATTCTCTTCCACTTTCTTTTAAGGTAACTGCTACGTGAGCTTCAGGTATAAAATTTTAAACACCGTATCCTCCAGAAAGACTTTCTACTGTGTAAGTCTGGATTAGGTGGCCTTCCTATGTGTTTATAAAGTACTCTGTACAGTTCCTACCATAGAGTTATAATACTATATTATAATTGCCTGGTTATTTATCTCTCCCTTTACTAGATTGTGATTGCTGTGAGTATAGGGATTATGCCTTTCTTGTTCACCATTTGTAGCAGTATAGCTATGGTTATGGATTTAAGCTGGCACTGAGACCCTAATAAGCTTTAATCTAATACTATGTTTACTCAGCTTTATAGAAGGATACAGGGTGAGAGTTATAGCAGATGTAGCCTCTTCATCTCATCAGAAGACCCAGAGCTATTCATATACATAGCTTCTTTTGTACCCTCATCCACATAAGATTCAGACTAGCCTGGGCAACATAGTGAGACCTTGTCTATACTAAAAAGAAAAAAAATTAGCCAGGATGTGGTTACGCACACCTCTAGTCCCAGCTACTTGAGAGGCTGAGGCAAGAGGATGGCTTGAGCCTGTGAGATCAAGCCTGCAATGAGCTATGATCATGCCACTGCACTCCAGCCTAGACAACAAAAGACCCTGCCTCAAAAGAAATAAGAATAACAAAATAAAACTTAATGAAAATTCTATTATAACTCAAAAGCAAACAGTATTATTATTACTTAGGAATGCATTTGTAGATGACTAGTTTAAGTTAGTAATTATATAAAGAAAAGCAAAACAATGTTTATAATACAAGTCAGGAGAGTGGTTTCCTCTAAGAAGGAAGGGAGAGGGTTGGACTGGGAAGACACACATGCAGCACTTCTTGGGGGTTAACAAGGATTTACTTCTTGACCTGGGTGGTGCTTTCTCAACTATTGGCTTTATATGTATTTGCTAACTCATATTTTCCCACCTGGTTCAATTTTCCAGGTACTAATACACATCTAATACTCAATACAGAAAAGAAAGAAGAGCCAACGCTAGGAAGATGTGAGAACATATAGAATAAAGAACACAGGAAAATGGATTAACCTTAGTCAAGAAGTGGGCACCTTTTTTGGAGACTAGGGATGAGAAAGAATGCCAGGGGAGGATGCATATAAATGCAGAGGCATTTAGAAGAGTTAAAAGAATTCAGGTTTATACTATTGTAAAATGGGAAGCACAATTACTGTATTTGCTGAAAGCAAAGCTAAAGAGAAGAGAGGAGCTAAAGATTATGAGGCAAAATTACAGCATTTGTTCAGGTTTCAGCAGATATTTAAAATTTCAAGGATCCATTCAGAATTAAAATTGATATAGGACTTCTGATACTGGTTATTTAATAAAGTTAAGCAGACTCTTAACTTTTCCTCAGAAGTTAGCATGATTTAGTGATTTAACACATTTTTTAACATTCTATTCTTTAAAATGTAGTGAAGGATAATAAATATTTACATTTAATTGGGAAGGCTATTTTGGTAGGCAAAATAGACTTCCTTTGCCAAACAATAATGATTGTACTAACCTCATTTTCCGTTCCTATTTAGGTCATGTATGGAATGTTGGTCTTTACATTAGTACTTCGATCTATTTATATTGTTACATGGTAAGTAGTTTGGATCATCTGCACCATGACTGAAGTATATTCAGACCTATAACAGTAAATCTATAGCCTAAATCAAAATAACACATAAAAGCTCACTTCAGTAGAGATGTTGGAAGAAAACTATAACCCAACATTTATTGTTATATTATAAGGAATACTGGGTCTTCAGACAAGTTGTTAATGGGCATCATGTGAAAACTAGGGTTCCAAAATTAAAGACATGGGAAAATTAAAGAGAGCTGTCGACGATGGCCTTGTTTTGAATATTTATAAAATTCATTAGATATTAGAGACCTTAAAAATCCTATAGTTAAAAAAAAATTGTTTTTGTCTTTCTTAAACCTACTTGACTAGGGAATTCCTTTTACATAGTACCTCCAAGGAAGGCTGTTAATGTCACAAAGAATTAGTATTTCATGAAAGATTATTTGGGAAATGGGTATAATCTTTAGGCATTCATGAAAATTAAATAAGAAATAACATTCATGAGATTACCTTAAATAGGGCCTGGCCACACAACAGGTGTTCAATAAATAAGTAGTATGATTTGTGGGTTTGTTTTTTTTTTCTTTTTTATTAAACTTTTAGTATCTAGATAACTGTAAAAATGCATACATTTGTAAAAAATAATAGATCCCAGTATCCTTTACCAATCTCCTCCATTTGTAACATCTTACAAAACTATATTACAATATCAAAACCAAGGCTTGATATGAATACAGTCAAGATACAAAACATTTCCATCATCAGAAGGATGTCTATGTTGCCCTTTTATAACCAGACCTACTTCCCTCCTGCCCCACCTCACTCCTCACTCCCTGTCCTTAACCTCTGGTGATCACTTAATCTGTTCTGCATTTCTGTTTTTGTCATTTCAAGAATGTTATATAAATGGTATCAGATATATAACCTTTGAGACTGGCTTTTTGAACTCAGCATAATTATCCAAGTTGTTCAGTGTGTCAATAATTCATTCCTTTCTATTGCTGAGTAGTATTCCATGGTATAGATGTACCACAGTTTAACCATTCATCTGTTGAGTAACATCTGGGTTGTTTCCAGTTTGAGGCAATCATGAATAAAGCTGCTATGAACAATTGTAATGCAGGTTTTTATGGGAACACAAGTTTTCACTTCTCCGGAATAAATGCCCAGAGTGAAATTGCTAGGTTTTGTAGTAATTTATGTTTAGTTTTTCTCAAAACTGCTGAATTGCTTTTCAGAGTAGCTCCACCATTTTTACATTCCCACCAGCAATATATGTGTGATCCAGTTTCTTTGCATCCTCACCAGAATTTGGTAGTGTCACTATTTTTAATGAAGTTTTTTATAATTTGCATTTCCCTAATGGCTAATCACGTTGAACATACCTTCCATGTGCTTATTTGCCATATGTATATGTATTCTCCCTGGTAAAATTTCTGCTCATGTCTTTGCCTGGTTTCTCTTTTTTTATAAGAGATAATAAGGACAGTTGCTATTGTTTTTACAGTTGAGTTGTGAGATTCTAATTCTTTATTAAATATGTGATTTGTGAATTCTTTCTCCCAATCTATAACTTTTCATCCTCTCTTTCAATGAGCAAACATTTTTAATTTCAATGAGGTCAAATTTATCAGTTTTATGGATTGTGTTTTTGGTGTCAAGTCTAAGAACTCTATACCTACCTATAGATCCCAAAGATTTGTTCTTATTTTTTTTCTAAAAGACTGTATAGTTTTACATTTTACATTTAAGTCTGTGGTTTATTTTCAGTTCATTTTGTATAAGGTGTGAGGCATAGGGTGAGGTTCTGTTTTTTCCATGTGGATGTCCAACTGTTCTAAGACCCATTAGTGGAAAAGACTATCCTTTCTCCATTGAATTGCCTTTGCACTTTTGTCAAAAATTATTTGGGTAGATTTGTGTGGGTCTGTTTTAGGGATCTCAGTTATGTTCCATTGATTGATGTGTCTCCCCCTCCACCAATACCACACAGTCTTGATTACTGTGGCCATATAAGTCTTCAAATCATACAGACTGATTCCTCCCACTTCATTCTTTTTTTTCAAAATTGCTCTAGCTATTCAGGTTCCTTTGCCTTTCCATATAAAGTTTAGAATAATATTGTCTAAATTTAAAATCTTGTTGAGATTTTAGGAATTATAGGAATTATATTAAATATGCATATCAATTTGCAGAGCTGACATCTTTACTATGTTGAGTCTTCCAGTCCATGAACACAGTATGTCTCTTGATTTATTTAGATCTTTAATTTATTTCATCAGCATTTTGTAGTTTTCAATTTTTTAAGCAGTTGTGATATTGTATTTTTAAATTTTAGTGTCCACATGTTCATTGCTATTATATAGATACACAATTGATTATCTTTTATTCTGCCACCTTGTTGAAGTCAGTTCTAGGAGAGTTTTCTTGTAGATTTTTTTGTTTTGTTTTGTTTTTTGCTTTTTTTGAGACAGAGTCTCGCACTGTCTCCCGGGCTGGAGTGCGATGGCATGATCTCGGCTCGCTGCAGCCTCTGCCTCCCAGCTTCAAGTGATTCTCCTGCCTCAGCCTCCCCAGTAGCTGGGATTACAGGCGCCCACCACCATGCCCAGCTAATTTTTCTGTATTTTTAGTAGAGACGGAGTTTCACTATGTTGGCTAGGCTGGTTTCAAACTCCTGACCATGTGATCTGCCTGTCTCGGCCTCCCAAAGTGCTGGGATTACAGGTGTGAGACAACACGCTCGGCCCTGTAGATTTGTTTTTAAGATTTGCTGCAAATAGAAATAGTGTATATCCTCGTTCCTGATGTGTGTGCTTTTTAGTTCCTTTTTGCCTTATTGACCTGACTAGAACTTCCAAGACTATGTTGAGTAAGAGCAGTGACAGCAGATCTCCTTGCCTTGTTCCCAATTCTAGGGGAAAAGCATTTAACCTTTCATCATTAAGTTAAATGTTAGCTGTAAGTTTTTTATAGACGTTCTTTATTAGGTTGAGGAATTTGCCCTCTATACTAGTTTGATAGGGCTGCCACATATAATAAAATATCATTAGATTGGGTGGCTTAACCAACAAACTTATTTTCTCACAGTTCTGGAGGCTAGAAGTCTGAGACTAGGGTGTCAGCAGGTCTGATGTCTTCTGACACCCCTCTCTTTGGCATGCAATTGGCCACACAGAGAACACAGAGAGAAGGTGTTCATTTGGTCTTTTCTCTGTGCATGCCTGGGTCTGATTTCTCTGTGTGTTTGTGTCCTAATCTCCTTTTCTGATAAAGGACACCAGTTATATTAGATTAGGGCCTGCCCTAATGACCCCATTTTAACTTAATTATCTCTTTAAAGAACCTATCTCTAAAATAGTCACACTCTAAAGTACAGGGGGTTAGGACTTTAACATATGAATATCAGAGGAAACACACTATATCCTCTATTCTTTATTTTTATCATAACTTTTGTTATCATAAATGGACCTATAATACACTCTATTACTAATTTTCTTTATCATGAATGGGTGTTGGATTTTGTCAAATGCTTTTTCAGTATTAACTGATTTTATCATACTGTTTTATTCTGTAGTCTGTTAATAAGGTGGATTATATTAATTGATATGGGAATATTGATCCAGCCTTGTATCCTGGGATAAACCTTACTTATGTAATTCTTTTTATATATTCTGAATTCTTCACTTGTTAATATTTTGTTAAGGATTTTTGTATCTGTATTCATGGAGGATATTGGTTTGTAGTTTTTATTTTTTGTCCTGTCTTTTTCTGGTTTTGGCATCAGGATACTATACATTTCATTAAATGATTTGGGAAATGTTGCTCCCTTCTATTTTCTGGAATAAATTGTGTACAATCAGTGTTAACTCTTCTTTAAATGTTTGGTAGAATTCTCTAGTGAAACCATCTGGGCCTGGAAATCTGTTTTTTGGGGCATTTTAAAATTACACATTTTAAAAATAAAGGAAAATCTGACACCTGTTACAACAGGGATGCACCTATAAGACATTAGGCTAAGTGAAATAAGCCAGTCACAAGAGGACAAATACTACGAGTCCATTTATATGAGGTTCCTAGAGTAGTCAACTTCATAGAGACACAAATAAAATGGTGATCAGGGCCTGGTGGGGAGTAGGATGAGGGGGTTCCCTGGGGAAGGCATTGGAGAGTTATCGTTTTATGGGTACAAAGTGCAGTTTGGGAAGATAGAAAAAGTTCTGGAGATAGACAGTGGTAAGGTTTGCACAACAATGTGAATGTACTTAATGCTACAGATCTATATACTTTAAAAGGGTTAAAAAGTTAAACTTTATGAATATTTTAACATAATAAAATGTTTACATTAAACATATGCAGAAAAATAAAATTACAGGTTCAGCTTCTTTAATAGTCATGCCGTTATTCACTTTTTTCTTTTTTCTTCCACTCTTGTTGAAGACTTGCAGCTATTCAAATGATTGATTTTGGGTGAACTGTGGTAGTTTGTGTTTCTTGAGGCATTGGTTCATTTCATCTAAGTCATCAAAATTTATGTGTGTAGCATTGGTTACAATATTCCCTTGTTTTCCTCTTGATGTTGAGAGGGCTTGCAGTGATAATCTGTTTCATTCCTAATATTGGTAATGTGTTAGTCTTCTCTCTTTCTTTTTTGGTCAGCCTTGTTAGAAGTATCTCAAATTTTATTGATCTTTTTAAAAACCAGACTTTTGTTTGATTTTCTCCATTTTTCATTTTTCAGTTTCATTGATTTCTGTTCTTTATATTTTCTTCCTTTTGCTTGTTGTGGGTTTATTTTCATTTCTTTTTCAAGGTTCTTGAGATGGAAGCTTAAATTTTTATTTCAGACTTTCCTATTTCCTAATGAGCATTTAGTGCTATAAATTTTCCTCTCAGCACTGCTTTAGCAGTGTCCCACAGCTTTTTATATGTTGTATTTCATTTTTATTCAGTTCAATGTACTTTTTAAAATTTCTCTTGAGACTTCCTCTTTGACCCATGGATTATTTAGGTGTATGTTGTTTCACATTCAAGAGTTTGGAGATTTTCCTATTGTCATTCTTGATTTCTTGTTTGATTTCATTGTGGTCAGAGAACACACTCTGCATGATTTCATTTTTCTTAAATTTGTTGAGGTTTGTATTATGGATCAGGTTATACCAAGGATATTTATGCCAAGGATATCTTGGCATATATTCCATGTTTGTTTGAAAAGAATATGTATTCTGCTATTGTTTGATAAAATCTTCTACATATGTCAATTAGATCCTGTTGGTTGGTGGTTGTGTCAGTGTTCCCCATGACTACCCTCAGGTCTGATGATTCACTAGGACTCACAGAACTCAGCAAAGCTGTTATACTCATAGTTAAGGTTTGTTACCTAAAGGTCAAACTGATACAGCATGGCCCAAGACCCCAGGCAAATAAAAATAGGTGTTTCCTATAAATCACGTTAGTTGCATAAGCTATCTGGCATGGCCCAAAGTGTCGAGTATACAAAGACACTCTTATTGGGCAGGATTTTCTAAAGTCTCAGAAGTTATCTCCCAGGAGCCAGTCAAGAGCCAGTCCTTTCTTTGAAATGTGCAGTGTTTGTGCCCCAAGTCCACCGACTTAGCTATTTAATGCTCAATGGTATTTTTTAGTTATTCTGTATCATTGTTGATTCTCTATCTAGTTGTTCTATCAGTTGATGACAGAAAAATACTGAAGTCTCCAAACATGATTTTGGACTTGACTATTTCTCCTTCATTCTATCAGTTTTTGCTCCTCACATTTTGCAAGTCTATTTTGATGCACAGACATTTAGAACTGCTGTATCTTCTTGGCAGATTGGCCTTTTTGTCATTATGTAATGTTCCTCTCTGACTCTGATAATCTTCTTTGCTCTGAAGTCTAATTTATCTGATTAATATATCCATATTAGCATAGCATTGTTTCGATTAATGTTTGTGTGGCATATCTTTTTTCATCCTTTTAGTTTCAACCTGATCATACTGTTATATTTGAAATGCATTTCCTTTAGACATTATATAGTTGAATCAGTTTGAGTCATGTTTTTAATCCACTCTTCCAATTTCTTTTAATTGGTGTATTTAGATCATTTATATGAATACAATTATTAATATATAAGAACTTAACTGCCATTTTATTTTTTGTTTTCTATTTGTTCTCTCTGGTTTTTTGCTTTTATATGCTTTTTCCTGCCTGTGAGTTACTTAAACTTTTTCTTTTTTTTTTTTTTTTTTTGAGACGGAGTCTCACTCTATCGTCCAGGCTGGAGAGCAGTGGCGCGATCTCAGCTCACTGCAAACTCCGCCTCCCGGGTTCACGCCATTCTCCTGCCTCAGCCTCCTGAGTAGCTGGGACTACAGTGCCTGCCACCGCACCCGGCTAATTTTTTGTATTTTTAGTAGAGACGGGTTTCACCGTGTTAGCCAGGATGGTCTCGATCTCCTGACCTTGTGATCCGCTGGCCGTTAGTGTGTCTATAGTGCTTATGTTTCTCTTTGTATTGCTTTTTAGTGGCTGCTCTCAGTATTACTTTATATATGCATACCCTATCAGAGTCTAATGTTAATCAGCATTTTACCAGTTCCAGTAAACTACAGAAAACTTACCTCCCTTTCATGGGTCTGTATTCGATTCCTAGGGCCACCATGACAAAGTCCACAAGCTACGTGGCTTTAAATAACTAAAATTTATTGTATCACAGTTCTAGAGGCTAGAAGTCCCAGATGAAAATGTCTCAGGGCCATGCTCCCTCTGAGACCAGTTGGGAAATTCTTTCTTACCTCTCTTCCTAGCTTCTAGTAGTTTGGTGGCAAGCTTTGGTATTCCTTGACTTATAGCTGCATCAGTCCAGTCTTTGCCTTGTCACATGGCATTCTCCCCATGTCTCTGTGTCTTCACATAGCTATCTTCTTATAAGGACACCAGTCATATTGGAGTAGGGCCCACCCTACTCTAATATAAACCCATCTTAAATAATTATATCTGCAAGGACTTTATTTCCAAATTAGGTAACATTCTGAGTGAGGTACTAGAGTTATGACTTCAACATATCTTTTTTAGAGGTGAAAAATTCAACTCATAAGAATGCCTTTATCCTGACCCATTTAAAATATAATTGGTATATAATATATATGTATATTATATATATATACATATATATATATATATATATTTTTTTTTTTTTTTGAGCCAGAGTTTCACTCTTGTTGCCCAGGCTGGAGTGCAGTGGCGCGATCTTGGCTCACTGCAACCTCTGCCTCTCGGGTTCAAGCAATTCTTCTGCCTCAGCCTCCCAAGTAGCTGGGATTACAGGCGCTGCCTCCATGCCTGGCTAATTTTCATATTTTTAGTAGAGACAAGATTTCACCATGTTGGCCAGGCGGGTCTCAAACTCCTGACCTCAGGTGATCCACCCACCTCAGCCTCCCAAAGTGCTGGGATTACAGGCGTGAGCCACCGCGCCTGGCTGTCTTTAATATTTTGTCTCCATGCATTTAGAACCATATCAGACAGTGTTATGATTTTTGTCTTAATCATAATACATAGCTTAGAAAACTCGAGAAGGAAAATGTGTTGTGTCCTCCCACATTTATACTCATTTCCATTGCTCTTTCTTCCTTCCTGATGTTCCATGATCCCTTTTTTCATCATTTCCTTTCTGTTTAGAGAACTTCCTTTAGCCATTTTTTAGGGTAGGTCTCCTGGAAATGTAGTCTCTTAGGTTTCCTTCACCTAAGAATGTCTTGATATTTATTTTGTTCCTAAAGGATATATTTACTATATATAAAATTCTAGGTTGACAATTATTTTTTTTCAGAATTTGAAAAATGTCATGCCACTTCCTCTGCCCTTCACATTTTTTTTAATGAAAAATCCTTTATCATTTGAATTGTTTTCCCCCATAGGTAAGATGTTGTTTGTCTCTCACTACTTCAAGATTTTCCTAAGTCTTTAGTTTTCAGAAGTTTGGCTATAGTTTGTCTTAATGTGAATTTCTTTGGGTCTAACATGTTTGAGCAGGGCTCATGCCTGTAATCCCAGATACATGGGAGGTTGAGGTGGGAGGATCGCTTGAGGCCAGGAGTTCAAGACCAGACTGGGTATCATAGAGATACCCCATCTGTAAAAAATAAATATAAAAATTATCCAGGCATTGTGATATATACCTGTAGTCCCAGCTGCTCAGGAGATTGAGGCAGGAGGATTGTTTGAACCCAGGAGTTCGAGGCTGCAGTGAGCTAGGATTGTGCCACTGCACTCCAGCCTGGGCAACAGAGCAAGACCCTGTCTCTTGAAAAAAAAAAAAAACTTTAAAAAAATCACATGTTTTGAGGTTGGCTCAGCTTCTTGAATCTGTGTGTTTGTTGTTTTTAGTTAGGGAATTGTTGAGTTTTTTGTTTTTATTTTTATTTTTTTAACAAATTTAGAAGTTTTTTGCCATTATTTTATGAAGTACTTTTCAGCCCTGCTCTCTTCCTCCTCTCCTTCTGGGGGACACCAATAACAAGACACTTAGATCTTTTGTTATAGTCCCACAGGTCCCTTAGCACCACCTCATTACTGCCAGGTACTCGTAGAAGTCTAGGTTCCTCTTTGGCCTCTGTTGGCAAGCCAGGGGGAGAAGAGGCTCTTGATTAACTGCTGGGCTGAGTTGGGAGCTCCCTCTCCCTACTAGGCCACTGCTTTGTCTGAGAGGGGAAGGATTGCTTTATTATTTCTTACCATCTGGTTTCCACTGACACCCAAGTGGTGTGGCCATGGTATCTCTGGCCAGTGGTGAAAATTCTGACTCTGCAGTAGGTCTCTGACACTATCCCACTAGGGAGGGAAAACAGTGTCTCATCATTGCCACGGGAAGATAGATATCCAAGCTCCTCACATGGTCTCTAAGGGAATAAGGAACTAATTACTGTGGGTGGGGATGAGAGTCCCAAGCCCTCACTACTTGGCCTTCTTAACCTGGCATGGGGTTGAAGCACCTTCTAATACCCTGATGAGCATGGAAGTCTAGGCTCCCCATTCAGCCTTTGTTGCATGAGTCGGAAATCTATTGCATGGCAGGGTGACTATAATGTATTATATATTTCAAAATAGCTAAGATAGCAAATTTCAAATTTCTCACCACAAAAAAATAAGTGATGGGTATGTTAATTAGCTTGATTTAATCATTCCACATTGTATACATATGTCAAAACATCACATTGTTCTCCATAAATGTATATAATTATGATTTATCAATTTAAAATAATATTAATTTTTTAAAAAGAAAAGACATGGAACTCACCACTGTATCATTTCTCAGGTCCCAAAATCCCTAGTTAGTCTGCTTCTTCTCAACACCTTTCAGGGTCTTCTTATGTTTGTCTTATATATAATGCCCAGCAGTTTTAGTTTTACTTAGTGGAACGAATATGAAAAAGTATATCCACTTCATCTTCCCAGAAGCCCAAGTCCCAGTTTATTCTGTTTTTAATGTAGACCCCTTAGGTAAATATAAAGAAGCATAAAATACAGTCCTTGACTTAAATCAAGTCTGATAGACAGGGTACCAATACTTTTAGAAACACAAATGACAGACCTTTAAAAAGCACTTAACAGTGGCAATCCTATGAAATAAAAGCAACTTTCTTCCATCTGTCTTGCCACAACTTCTTTCCTATATGTCCATTTGTTGATCATTTCATTTAGCACTGGTCATTATTTCCTTATCTGTCTGCTCAACTAGACTGTGAGCTTCTTAAAGTCTTAGTTATCTTGGTAATCCCTGGATCCCAGGATAGTGCTTACCCATAAATGTTTTTAAAATCAAATTGAAACTCTTAAAACTTTTGTTACTTTTGTCTGATGAAACATCTGAAAATTCCTCCTGTAACAAAACACCTAGAAATTCTAAATATAATATAACAAACATCCTTTAAATGCCCAGATGAGTTCACAAGAACATAAAATTCCAGGCTGGGCATGGTGACTCATCCCTATAATTCCAGCACTTAGGGAGGCCAAGGCAGGAGGATTACTTGAGCCCAGGAGTTTGAGACCAGGCTGGGCAATAATAGGGAGACCTAGTCTATACAAAAAGAAATTTAAAAATTAGCCAGGTGTGGTGATGCATGCCTATAGTCCTAGCTACTTGGGAGGCTGAGATGGGAGAATCACTTGATCCCAGGACACTGAGGCTGCATTGAGCCATGATTGTACCACTGCACTCCAGCCTGAACAACAGAGCAAGACCCTGTCTCCAAATAATAGCAATCCAAAGTATCTGTATTAAGCCATCATTGCACTGCTATAAAGAAATACTGGAGACTAGGTAACTTATAAAGAAAAGAAGTTTAATTGGCTGACAGTTTTTTAGGCTTTACAGAAAGCATGGTGTGGCATCTGCTTGGCTTCTGGGGAGGCCTCAGGAAGCTTACAATCATGGCGGAAGGCAAAGGGGAGCAGACACGCCACATGGCAAAAGCAGAAGCAAGAGAGAGTAGGGGAGGTGCCGTACACTTTAACCAACCATATCTCTTGAGAACTCACTCACTACCGCAAGGACAGAACCAAGCCATGAGAGTGCCCCCATGACTCAAACACCTCCCACCAGGCCCCACTTAGAACACTGGGGATTACATCTCAACATGAGATCTGGAGGGAGCATCAAATCCAAAGAAGGAGCTGCAAACTACAGTGACAAATGAGTACTTAGATCATGGTCAACTGGCCAGGCACAGTGGCTCACACAAGTAATCCTAATACTTTGGGAGACTACAGTGGGAGGACTGCTTGAGCCCAGGCATTCAAGACCAACCTGGCAAAGAAGTAAGAACCCACTTCTACAAAAAAAATTAATAAATTAGGTAGGTGTGGTGGCACATACCTTTAGTCCCAGCTACTCAGCAGGCTGAGGCAGGAGGATTGATTGAGCCCAGGGAGCCAAGGCTGCAGTGAGTCATTATCACACCACTGCACTCCAGCCTGGGCAACAGAGTGAGACCCTGTCTCAATAAAAAGAAAGAGAGAGAGAGAGAGATTGTGGTAAACTTCAAGGCATTTGAAGATACCATGAAACCAGAGCCTTAGGTTTGAAGCCACAAAACAGAAGGCAAAGTTCTTGGTATGTTTCAGACTGGCAATTGGAACTATTTCCTCATCACCATACACACACATATACAAATAAAGCCAGGACCATTAAAGAGGTATATTGTCAGTGAAGAGCTGGGCTAGAAAAAATTTGCCCTCCAATAGAAAGAACTGACAAGGCAACTTGTCTTTCAGCCTCAGTTTTAGGTAGGAAAAATGACTCCCCTAAGAATTTGTAAAGAAATGTATTCTTGTGAGACCCTGTCTCTACCAGAAATAATAATAATAATAATAATAATAATAATAATAACTAGTTTGGCATGGTGGCATGCTCTTGTAGTCCTAACTACTCGAGAGGCTGAGGTGGGAGGATTACTTGAGCCCTGGAGCTTGAGGTTACAGTGAGCTATGATCGCACCACTGCACTCTAGCCTGGGCAACAAAGCAAGACTTTCTGTCTAATTTTTTTAAAAATTATAAAATGAAAAGCTGAATTGAAGTGTTTAAAAGATACAGTTAAAGAAGCCACTCTGAGTATAGGACAAAAAAAAAAAAAAGACATGGCAGATAGAATAGACTCAATAGAAATATTACTGAATAGATAATGTTGAGCCAGAATAGAAGGGAACCAACATCAAAAAGGAGACAGAGGCAGAGAATAGAGAAAATGGAAGAGAGGCAATTACCAAAATAATTCAAGAAAACATTATATAATTGATGGGCATGAGTTATTAGACTGAAAAAGCCCACTGGATACCCAGCACAATGGATGGAGATGTGCTCCATCCTTGTTCTAGACCTATGCCAGTTTCAGAGTTCTAGAACAAGGAAGGATTCCAGAAGTATATAAGTTGAGAGGCAGGAATATATACAAAGGATCAGGAATCAGAATGGCTTTGGGCTTGCCAAAGCAACATTGAAACTAGAAGACCAATGCCTTCAAATTTCTAAAGGAAAATTATTTCTAAGCTAGAATTCTACAGGCAGCCAAACTATCAGTAAAATACAGAGAAAAATATGTTTTCATACATTCCAAGATCTCAAAAAAACTTACATCCCATTAAATATTGCTCAAGAACCTACTGAAAGACGTGCTTCGCCAAAATGAGAGTACTACAAAAAGGACGAGTGCGTGGGATACAAGACAGGAGATCCAATGAAAGAGAGAGGTGAAGGCAGTTCCTAAGGTGCAGGTGATGGAAAGGGATTTCTCAGATGACAGCTGTATGCTAGACAGGCAGGCAGTCCAGAATAAAGCAGTGTGATAGAGAGAGATACAGAGAGACATATGTTGAGTGCCTTCTGTATTCTACACTCTTGCACCTGATACTATATGAGTAGTAAGTCCCCTTAGCCTTGCATGGACCATGTGCTGATGTTCTTGCTCTCCCCTTCCCGCCCTGCTACCTGGATAACCAAAGACATTCATTTTACCCCACAGAAGAGTATTGCTTTGAACTGCCCCTGAGAGCTGAAGATTGGCCATGGTAAGTAAGTTTAGAAGCAGAAAACAGATAGCACCCTACCCCCACTGATCATATTCCTGTCATATTTCAGTACCTGGCCCACACTGCCAGAAGCCTTCACTGTGTTGAGGCCTATGTTTCTTGGGACTCATTCTTGCCTTCCTCAAATGGGGGCTATGATAAACTCTGAAAAGCTGAAGCCAGACTGTGACTCTTTTAAGCTCATCTTCTCTTGAGAACCCTCATCAAACAGTGGTAATAATGCCTTTTCCATACATTGCCAGGTTTGTGCTTTCCTGATCATTTTTAAACGAATCACCTTTTACGTTCACTTATATGCCAATACTTACAGTTAAGTAAAAAAAAAAATTGAAAAATTTATTATTGCCATTCACCATATTTAAAAAATAAAGAACAGAGGCAGACCAGTCTTTAGAAAATTAAAATTAAATATTAAAAGGAGAAAAATTACATGATATCAAGATTTAGACTAAAGCATTCTGTAAAATTCAACACCTATTTATGTTCTAAAACAAAACAAAACCCTTTACAAACTAGTAATAGAAGGGAACTTTCTTAACCTATCAATTCTATAGCATATAAAACACCTAGTCATGACATGTATTTTTTTTAATCCCTTTAAAAATCAAGAATAAAACTAGAATATATAATTACTTCTATTCAACATTATACTGGTGGAAATCCTACCCAACATTTTACTTGCAAATGACATGATCATGTATAGAAAATATCACAGGACATGTACAAAAAAAGCCGTTAGAGAGCCAGGCGCGGTGGCTCATGCATGAAATCCCAGCACTTTGGCAGGCCGAGGTGGGTGGATCACGAGGTCAAGAGATCGAGACCATCCTGGCCAACACAGTGAAACCCCATCTCTACTAAAAATACAAAAATTAGCTAGGCATGGTGGCGCACGCCTGTAGTCCCAGCTACTTGGGAGGCTGAGGCAGGAGAATCACTTGAACCTGGGAGGCAGAGGTTGCAGTGAACCAAGATTGAGCCACTGTACTCCAGCCTGGCAATAGAGCAAGACTCCATCTCAAAAAAAAAAAAAAAAAAAAAAAAAGCTGTTAGAAGCAATAAGTGAAATTTAGCAGAGTCACAAGATTCTAGTCCATATTCAAAATCATATTTCTCTGTTCTAGCAGTGAACTATTAGTAAGATTTTGTAAAGTATAATTTACAATAACATTAAAATACCTTAAATGTTTAAGGATTAAATTTAACAAAATATGCAAGACCTGTACATTGAAAACTACACTGTACAGTTTTTTTGTTGAGAGAAATTGAAGAGCTAGACAAATAGACAGATACACCATTTAATGGATTATAAACTTCAATATTGTTAAGATGCCAGTTCTCCAATCCTGATTTGTAGGTTCTGCAGGCTTTTTAGTAAAAATGGAGAAACTGATTCTGACATTAACATGGGCATGCAAAAGACTGCGAATAGCCAAAACAGTTTTTGAAAAGGAACAAAGTTAGAGGGCTTGCATGACTTGACTTACTCTATGCTGCTACTAAGACAATGTTGTATTGGTGGTAATAATGAAATATAAATCAATAGAACATCCAAAAATAGACCCACACACCCATACTGACCTGATTTTCAACAAATATGTCAAGGTAATTCAGTGGAGAAAGATAATCTTTTCAACAAATTGTGCTGGAACAAATGAATATTCTTAGGACCAAAAAAAATGAATTTCAACCTCACACCAATATAAAAATTTAATAGAAGTGAGTTCTATTTCCAAATGTAAATTATATCTCAAAATGTAAAAACTAAGATTATAGAACTTCTAAAAGAAAATATAGGAGATATTTTTGGTTCGGCAAAGATTTATTAATAAAAAGCACAAACTATAGAAAAAAATTGACAAACTGAACTTCATCAAAATTTCAAACTTTGTTCTTCAAAATATAGTATTCAGAAAATAAAAGGCAAGCCACAGACTTGGAGAAACTACTTGCAAAATATATATCCAACAAAGTACCTACATGTAAAATATAGAAAGAATTCTTAAAACTGAATAATAAGAAGGCAAACAATAATGTATCAAAGAAGATGTATGGGTAGTAAATAACTACGTGAAAGATGCTCAAAAACATTAGTCATTAGGGAAATGCAAATTAAAACCACAATGAGATACCACTACATACCTACTAAAACAGCTAAAATGAAAAAGACTGACTTCAAACCAAGTGCTGATGAAGATGTGGAACATCTGGAACACTTATACATGCCTGGTGGGAATGTAAAATGGTACAGTCACTTAGGAAAACAGTGTAGCAGTATCTTGAAAAATTAAATATTCACCTGCCATACAATACAGCCATTCTTCTCCTAGCTATTTACCCAAGAAAAATTAAAACATATGTCTATATAAAGTGTTATTTGTGAATGTTCATAGCTGCTTTATTTGTAACAGTCAAAAACTGGAAACCCGCATTTGGACAGAGAAACAAATTGTGCTGTGACCATACAATGGAGTACCTACTCAACAATAAAGGGAAATGAAGTATTGATAACATAGTAACATAGATGAATCTCAAAGAATTATGTCAAATGAAAGAAGCTATACAATCAGGGGTATATATGGTATGATTCCATTTATATAGCATTCTAAAAAATGCAAATTGAGCTTTTGGAGGTGGTGGATATCTTGATTGTGGTGGTGGTTTCATGGGTATGTACAGATGTACTGATCAGATAGACAATTTAAATATATTTAATAGTTTAAATGTAAGTCAGTTATACCTCATTGAAGCTATAAAACATAGGTAAGCTGATACTATTTTCAGTACCTCACCAAGCTTCAATTTTCTCATCAGTGAAGTAAAAATAATAATACCTGCCTCACAGGGATTTTTTTAACATTTTGTGTGTGGTATGTGTGTGCATGCGCACCCATCCACAATACCTCCGTATCACTCCTTATCAGGCCTTATTTTTCTTCAAAGCAATTATAATTATGTATTTAATTGTTTACCTCCCCCAACTATACTGTAAATTCTTTGAGAACAAAAACTTTACCTATTGACCACTACCTTCCCAAATGCTTACAACAATGCCTGGTACACAGTAAGTACTCCATATGTATTAAGTGATTTAATGAATGAATGTGTGTGTGTGTATGTGTAACTACATTGCCTTACATGGAGCATATGACTCAACCTACATTGATAGCTAATCCACTATCACCCTGCCTTTTCCATGGGACCAAAAAAGTTATCAGGTACTTTCCCAATACATTTATTAAAGTCTGGTGGCTTATTTCTCAGCACCTTTTATTGGCTACATATAGTAGGCAAATTATTAGAAAATTTGATAGGTCTGCTTTTACTATAAACAAAAACTGTTCCTTCTCATGAAAGTGATGTCTTCTAGCCAGGCATGGTAGCACATGTCTATTTTCCCAGCTATTTGGGAGACTGAGATGGGAGGATACCCTTGAGCACAGGAATTCGAGGCTGGAATGTACAATGATCACATCTGTGAATAGCCACTGCACTCCAGCCTGGGCAACATAGTGAGATCCCAGCCCTTATAAAAAAGGAAGAAAGTGATGGCTTCAATTTCTGATCGTGACATGACTTGAGAAAATTTTATTTTGCTTTTCTGTTTTCCCCCCCACAGGGTTTATCCATGGCTTAGAGGACTGGGTTATACATCATTGGGTATATTTTTATTGGGATTTTTATTTTGGAATATAGATAACATATTTTGTGAGTCACTGAGGTAAGATATATTTTCATTCCTTCAGAAATATTTTTGGAAGCATTTTATTAAGTAGAGAATTTTATAAACATATAGAAATAGTAGTGCCCTGAAATGAATTTTTACTATTGTTGACATTTAAAAGATATATACAGTATAATAAAGTTAGACTATTAGAATACCTGTTTAAATTACCTAAAATTTTGGACCTGAGACTATTTCATAACCTCTGTAGGGTTTGGGTTTTGTGTGTGTGGGCATCAAAGAACTATATAGTTAATCAAATGTTGACTATTCCTTTGAAACATGCCTGATCTGTTTCATTGAATAAAGAAGACTGATTTGTAATAAGCATATGAAATATATGTATATAAATATACACTTTCATATGCTTAATGTTATTTTCTAAAAAAGCAAGTGTTCCTTTTACCATCTTGTCAGCAATCATATATTGACAGGAGTTTGAATCTTAGACTTAGGTCTCTGGATTCTAGTCTGTCATTAAGACACTGTCTTTCTGGCCCTCTTTTCCATGAAATGAGCATGCTGAACAGGTTAAACAGGTGGGTCATTCCAACTCTAAATCCTGTGAACTAACAATTTTGCATAAACAGAGAAGAGAGGAGGGTACTGAACAGTACTACAGGAAGGCAATCAACAAAATTCAGACTGTGAGAAATCTACAGAATGAATGACCTGGTCTCTTCGACAAATAAATTGCAGAGGCACAGCCAGGCGTGGTGACTCATGCCTGTAATCTTAGCACTCTGGGAGGCCGAGGGGGCGGATCACTTGAGGTCAGGAGTTCAAGACCAGCCAGGCCAACATGGTGAAACCCTGTCTTTACTAAAAATACAAAAATTAGCTGGGCCTGGTGACGTGTGCCTGTAATCCCAGCTACTTGGGAGGCTGAGGCAGGAGAATCGCTTGAACTGGGGAGGCGGAGGTTGCAGTGAGCCGAGATCGTGCTACTGTACTCCAGCCTGGGCGACAGAGCAAGACTCCGTCTCAGGGAAAAAAAAAAAAAAAAAAATTTGCAGAGGCAGGAAAAAAGAGGGAAGAGGAACCTATAGATTAAGAGCCTTAGATATATCCAACCAGATACAATGTGTTGGCCTTTTTTGGATTCTGATTCAAACAAACCAACTATTTAAAAAAATAAAGTATGAGAAATTTGGAACTTCAATCAGTAACCGAATCTTTTATGATATTAAGGGAGTATTATTATTATCTTTAGGTGTGAAAATGTGGTTATGTTTTAGGGAGGTTTTCATATTTTAGAAATACATACTAAATATTTATAAATAAAATGACATAGTATCTGGGATTTGCTTCAAAAAGATATGAGAGAGAGAAGTGGCTGAGGGTTTAGATGACACAGATTGACCATAAATTATCATTGTTGAATACTGTTCCTCAGAATGTACTTTGGATAACAATGTGGCAGACTACAGGAAACTTAAGGCAATTAAATAACTGCTGTTTTGAGAATGATATTTCAAAATGCTCTAAGACTATCAGCGTTAGTCGCTAAATATTTTAAAAATTTAACGTGATTTTCTCCCTCTCTCCACACAGGAACTTTCGAAAGAAGGTACCACCTATCATAGGTATTACCACACAATTTCATGCATGGTGGCATATTTTAACTGGCCTTGGTTCCTATCTTCACATCCTTTTCAGGTAGGAAATAGAGACTTTTTTAGCCTCGTACTAGAGTTTGTTGTTTTTTTTTTTCTTTACTCTTTAAATAGGATGTAAATATTTTTAAAACACTAGAAAATTCACAAACATGAAAATTAAATAGTACACTCTTGAACAACCGCTGGGTCAAAGAAGAAGTCAAAAAATTAGAAAATACCTTGAGACAAGTGAAAACAAAAATACAACATACCAAACTTATGACATGCAGCAAAAGCAATACTAAGAGAAGTTCACAGAAATTAATGTCACATTTAAAAGGAAGAGAGATCTCAATGAAACTTTACACCTCAAAGAACAAGGAAAAGAACAAATTAAGCCCAAATTTGGCAGAAGGAAAGAAATAACATGGAGCAGAAATAAACAAAATAGAAAAATTTTTAAAAATCTGTGAAACTAAGAGTTGGGGTACTGAAAGATCACCAGAATTGACAAACCTTAGCAAGACTAACAAAAAAAGAGAGAGAAGACTCAAATACATAAAATCAGAAATAAAAGAAGAGACATTACAATGCTGCCACAGAGATAAGAAGAATCCCACAATTATATGCCAACCAATTGGATGACTTAAAAGAAATGGACAATATCCTAGAAACAGAACCTACCAAGAGTGAGTTGTGAAGAAATAGAACAGACCTCTAACTAGGTCAAAACATTCATAAAAGAAATTAAGCAAAACGCAAACAAATGAAAAGACATCCTGTATTCATGGATTAAAAGACAAAGCTGTTAAAATGTTCATACTACCCAAAGCCATCCACAGATCCAATGCAATCTCATTTAGAATTCCAAAGGCATTTTTTTACAGAAATAGAAAAAATAATTCCAACATTCATATGCAACCACAAAAGGCCACAGGTAGCCAGATCAATCTTGAAAAAGAGCAGACATGAAACATCACACTTCTTGATTTCAAAATAAACAAGCATGCATAACTTTTTCTTTTGTTTGTACTTTTCAGGTATTGTGTTTTTTACAAGTAGAAAGTTTGTGGCAGTCCTGCATTAAGCAAGTTTATAGGTGACATTTTTCCAGCAGCATGTGCTCACTTCATGTTTCTGTGTCTTATTTTTGTAATTCTGACAATATTTCAAACTTTATTATTATTATTATATCTGTTATGGTGATCTGTGATCAGTGATCTTTTTTTTTTTTTTTTTTTTTTGGGAGACAGAGTCTCCCCCAAGCTGGAGTGCAGTGGCACTATCTTGGCTCACTGCAACCTCCATCTCCTGGGTTCAAGTGATTCTCCTGCCTCAGCCTCCCAAGTAGCCAGGATCACAGGCAATGCGCCACCCTGCCTGGCTAATTTTTGTGCTTTTAGTAGAGACAGGCTTTCACCATGTTGGTCATACTGGTCCCAAACTCCTGACCTCAAGTGATCATCCCACCTCAGCCTCCCAAAGTGCTGGGATTACAGTTGTGAGCCAAGGTGCCTGGCCTGTGATCAGTGATCTTTGATGTTACTATTGTAATTGTTTTGAGGCACCACAAACCATGCACATAGAAGACGGTGAACTTAATAAATGTATGTTTTGACTGCTCCACCAATTGGCCATTCCCCAGTCTCTTTCCTTCTCCTCCAGCCTCCCTAATTCCCTAAGAGAAAGCAAAATTAAAAATAGGCCAATTAATAACCCTACAGTGGCCTCTAAGTGTTCAAGTGAAAGGAAGAGTTACACATCTCTCACTTTAAACCAAAAGCTAGAAATGATTAAGCTTAGTGAGGAACGTATGTTGAAAGCTGAGATAGGCCAAAAGGTAGGCCTCTTGTGCCAAACAGTTGGCCAAGTTGTGAAGGCAAAGGAAAGTTCTTGAAGGAAATTAAAAGTGCTACTCCAGAGAACACACGAATAGTGAAAGTGACACAGCCTTATTTCTGATGTGTAGAAATTTCTAGTAGTCTGGATAAAAGATCAGACCAACCACAACATTGCCTTAAGCCAAGGCCTAATCCAGATCAAGGCCCCAACTCACTTCAGTTCTGTGAAGGCTGACAGAAGTGAGGAAGCTGCAGAAGAAAAGTTTGAAGCTAGCAGAGGTTGGTTCATGAGGCTTAAGGAAAAAAGCCATCTCCATAACATAAAAGTGCAAGGTGAAGCTGCAGCAAGTTATCCAGAAGATCTAGCTGAGATTATTGATGAAAGTGGTTACACTAAACAACAGAGTTTCAGTGTAGATGAAACAGCCTTCTATTGGAAGAAGATACCATCTAGGATTTTCATAGCTAGAGAAGAGAAGTCAATGCGTGGCTTCAAAGCTTCAAAGGACAGGTTGTGACGCTCTTGTTTGGAGTTAATGTAGCTGATGACCTTAAGTTGAAGTCAGTGCTCATTTTCTATTTTGAAAGTCCTATGGCCCTTAAGAATTATGCTAAATGTGGCCGGGCGCGGTGGCTCACGCCTGTAATCCCAGCACTTTGGGAGGCCGAGGCGGGTGGATCACAAGGTCTGGGGTTCGAGACCAGCCTGACCAACATGGTGAAACCCCGTCTCTATTAAAAATACAAAAATTATCTGGGCGTTGTGGCAGGCGCCTGTAATCCCAGGTACTCAGGAGGCTGAGGCAGGAGAATTGCTTGAACCTGGGAGGCGGAGGTTGCAGTGAGCCGAGATTGCGCCACTGCACTCCAGCCTGGGTGACAGAGCAAGACTCCATCTCAAAAAAAAAGAATTATGCTAAATATACTCTGCTTGTGCTCTATAAAATGGAACAACAAAGCCTAGATTACAGCACATCCATTTACAGCATGGTTTACTGAATATTTTGAGTAGATGCTCAAAAAAAAAACAGTTGCTGAACAAATGAAGCATATACTCATGTTGTTTTTGCTTCGTACATGCAGAAGCACTATGGTTACGTTTGTCAGTACGCCAGTTTGCATGAATTCAAAATGAATCTGAAAAGCTTTCCCCCTCCCACTTTTCTTTCAGTTTGTATACAAGAACACTTTACCTGAGATATAGGCCAAAAGTGAAGGTAAGTCCACTTCCTAGGTCCTGTGTGTGTGTTGGGGGTATGGTACTGGGAGTATAGGATGGAGGTGGAAGAAGAAAGGGGAGTTTGGAGAGGTAGTGGAGCAAACACAGGCTTTGGAACCAAAGGCTGTGAATCTTTCATTTACTACTGCATGTTCTTGGACAAATCTCTTTAAGCCTTAGTTTCTTCAACAATAAAATTAAGCTGCTAATAACTACATTGCAGAGTTATTTTAAAGATCAGAGATAATTTATATGCCCAGCTCCATGCTTGACAAAGTCAAAGCTTAATAAATGTAAATAAACTCAATAAAAATACTCTCTGATATCTGGTCCAAGTCTAGAAGGAATAAACTGTGCTCAGGCTGCTAATACCAGGACAATCACTAGCAAACCTACGTATAGTCATAGCCCCATGGATTCTTTCTCATTCTTTTTCAGGGATAACATGGAACAATTCTGTCTTTTCTCATTTTGTCCTAATTTGTCCCCAAACAGTTTCTCTTTGGAATCTGGCCAGTGATCCTGTTTGAGCCTCTCAGGAAGCATTGATGAATCATTCCACCAAGAAAACAAACAAGCACCTACCATAGACCTGGCAGAATAAATAAGGAAATCCTTAAAGATCTACAAGTTCAAATATGTCATGACCATCACAGCAGAGGAGTGACTTTCTGACTAATGCTGCCACCCACACAGAGAATAAGGAGTAGGGCCTGCTGGGTGTTTAGCTCATGGCTTTATCTTATTTGTCCCCCTCCTCCTTTCACGCTCCAGTTTATAAAGAAACAGAGATGATGTGTGTGTATGCCTCAAATGCAGAAACAGTTGGGCTTTTCTTAACAGGTTAACAGTTTGTGCTGGTTATAAGAAATTAACCTTCTTTTCTTTTTGCCAAGGGTTGCATGTGAATTATACCTTTCTTAATATTTGATTAAATAATGCAGTCAGCTAAGAGCCAACAAAACCCCATATCCAGATAGTTAGCTGTGAGCCAGCACTCAGCTGTGTCAGATTTGATTAATATTGTATTAATCTCATGGATGGTTCTCAAAGGTAAAAAAAGAGAGAGAAAGAGAGAGAGCTAGCTGTGGGATTCTGTGTAGTTCTTCACTATCTGTTCCAGGGCTAGTCGGAGGATCATAAGCAAGCTCAGACCTGCCCCCAGTTCAGTACTTGACCACATCCCAGGATTTATGGTGTCTGTCTATGGCCACAGCCAACCAGAATGAGTGGGTCATCTTATAACCTTTCTGAAGCTCCATGAGGACATGTATAGAATGCTGCACCTTCAGCCAGCTCTGCTCTGATCTTTGCAGATCTTTAAGTTGTCACTGTTTCTACGGCTAGACAAATATGACTGGTGGTCTAGACTACCCATAGTTCATCCTCCTCACATAACTTATTTGAAGTTGTCAGGGAATGTCATTACACTCTGATTTTTAAAATTATGCAGTATTTTCCAGTTCTCAGAGAGGTCATGGTTGTGCCCAGGGAAGTGTGTTGCATTAACTAAAGCTAAAATTATCAGAATCCTATTTACATAAAGCATATTAAAATATCTGCTCCTTAATTTTCTGAAGGAAATAGATGTAAGTTTCTGCTACTTGAAACCTACAGAACCGACAAAAATTAGGGTGCTAAAAAAATGACAGTGAAATCTCATCGTAAGGCAGCTAGTTCTAATTTGCATTTGAATGTATAACAAATTGCATCACTTTTCACAAACTTAACACCTGCCTGGAGTAAAAATCTGATTTGACCCCTCTGCTCATGTTTCATCATATTTGTAGCTCTGCATCATTTAGCATTTTTATGACTTTTTTTGCTTTATATAAATTATTGTAAAATCCAGATTGTTTTTACCACATGATGACGTGACTCAGGATTAAATCCTGAGCTACAGTTTCAAAAGGAAAATCATTTTTTTCTTATGCAAAGATGGTAAAACACTGTTGTCATTTTTTCCAGTATTCAATAAGTAGCCTTTGTACAAATTTAAAACCAAAAACTATTCTGTTGTTTTTCTTCACCTACTAGCCTTAGTTTTTAACCAAGTATCCAAGGATGTCAACTTGACATCCTTCCCTTAGCATGCCAACAAGCCATTAGACTGATTCTTCCACCTATTTTTATGAACCTCCAGGAAGAAAAACACTTGCCAAAACATTAAGAGAACTTTGATTCTGCCTTAAGAGGGTATAAAACTAAACCATTTGAAGGCACAGCCCATAAGACTATACTTGATTTTGCCCCAAGATTCTGACTTCTGGCTACATTTCACCTGCAGTTACCTGGGCTATCGGCCGTGATACATTTTTTAATTCATTTGTTTTCCACCATTATATTTTTATACTTTTCAGTTAGATATACTTCTGCATAAAGAGTATATATACAGTGTAGGATAAAGGCATATCGTACATGGCAATGCTGTTAAACATGGTAAGACTGAGGTTCTGCAGGATTAAAGTCAGATTAAGGGTACAGAAAGCACACCTTGATACTGAGGCCATTTAGAGCAATTTGTTTAATGAGTGGTTCAGCCATCACCACCAGTGGCCACCTGTTCAATAAAATTGCCTAGCACCACAGTGGAGAGTCATCTACACCCCAAGGTGAGCTGTAAGACTGGCCAATTCTTTGAAGACCTTTTTTTCTGTTGGGAGAATGGAAAGCAGAAAGGGAAGCCAGGCTCTTTAATGTTCCAAGTCAGCTGTGCCTCACACAAGGCTCTCTTTTTAGCTACTAAGTAACATACTCAAGACTTTGTATCTGTGCAGCATTTTATGGAAATCACTGGTGACCTATAGGATATTACTAAATTATTTCAATAGCTTTATTTTTTTCCTACTTGGATTCTAGGTGGACATTACAGAGTTGAATTCCTCACTACCCCCTCCCGCTGTCATTTGTTTTATTGGAAAACTTCATGTTAACTAGAGTGTACAAAAAGTCTGTTTCCTGCTGAGCCAATAGTGATTTGTTTGCATATCACCTAATGTGAAAAGTGCTCATCTGTGAACTCTACAGCAAATTATATTTTAGAAAATACTTTGTGAGGCCGGGCATGGTGGCAGAGCGAGACTCCGTCTCAAAAAAAAAAAAAAAAAAAAAAAAGAAAAGAAAAGAAAATATAAGGATGTAAAAGAAGCAATTTGCTTGCACATCTGAATATCCTTCTTGTGCCTCCATTTTCACTCTTGAAAACTGAAAGCAATTTGACTTTTATTTTTGTTTTTCTAAAGAACAGCTAGGTGAAAGGAGGTTAAGCTGATTGTCACTCTGCCTGCCCACTACCTACTCCCCACCATGGTGTTTCATGAAACATCCCCACCACCTGAAGTGATCTTTTTAATCCTTGTGATAGTAAATGCATTGATAATTAACAGGAAAAACATGTTTTTAAATAATCTACAAATGAGAACCCAAATAGTAGTGTTTTGTTTGACAGAAGTAAATCAAATATTATGGTTTAAATATAATGCAAAATTTCAGGACAGTTAATTTGGACTTCCCTTACCCTAAGAGGGTTTTTCTTATAATAAGGAGAAGAGGTGTGGTTCAAAGAAAATTAAGAGACAAAACCTTCAGGTACATAATGCATGAAAATCTTTAAATGCCTGCAAAAATTAAGTTCTGTTATAATACCAGCCAATTCTGAATTAGCCAATGCCCTAAAAGCATCTAACAATTTAAGGTTATCTTATGAGTCCTATGAAAACAATTATTTGTTGCTAAATTTGAGTTTTAGCTACCAACGCCATGTTTACGTGACAAGAAATTGTTTTGGCCCTGTGGTTTATGACGTGCTGCTGGATAAGCATTTATGTAAAACTGAGTATTTCAAAGAGAACCATTTACAATTGGAATTTCCACCTGTGTGGCTGTTTGCAGACCTACCTCTGTCTTCCATTTTGCATCCTGTCAGTGCTATAATTAGTTTGATCACTTTGTCTTGTTTTTCAGTGTCTACAATTATAGCTTATTCACTATGTTCTAACTATTTAAAAATAATGGGCCGGGCGCGGTGGCTCATGCCTGTAATCCCAGCACTTTGGGAGGCCGAGGTGAGCAGATCACAAGGTCAGGAGATCGAGACCATCCTGGCTAACACAGTGAAACCCCGTCTCTACTAAAAATACAAAAAAATTAGTCGGGCATGGTGGCGGGCGCCTGTAGTCCCAGCTACTCGGGAGGCTGAGGCAGGAGAATGGCGTGAACCTGGGAGGCAGAGCTTGCAGTGAGCCAAGATTGTGCCACTGCACTCCAGCCTGGGCAACAGAGCGAGACTCTGTCTCAAAAAAAAAAAAAAAAAAAAAAAAAAAAGACTAAAATTTGATTTAAAGTAGTTAAACCCCTTTATGGAAGGAGCTGCAAAATGAAAAAAAAAAAAAAAAGGAATCATGTCATCTTGACCCAGCTGACTGGAAATTTTCAATACTGTCTTTTAACTGTTGTACTCCAGCCAGCCTGGGCAACAGAGTGAGACCCTGTCTCAAAAAAAAAAAAAAAAAAAAAAAAAAAAAGAATTAGGAAATACTTGTTAAAATATCTAACTACGTAATTGCTACATGGGGGAGCTGCTGGTGTTGTTGAGGTCCTTGGGAGCATTCCACTGGACTTCACCATTTCTCCAAAATTATCAGCCCAGTCAGCTTCATATACCCAGATATGGACACTTCTACACGTGAAATTCAAACTGAAGATAAAACTCTGACTTTGGAGTATAAACTTTTGCCTTGAGTATGAAACCTTGACATTGCTGAAAGAAAAGTGGAAACTGTAAGGGACAACAAGTTTCACCAAGGCACAGTCTTCTCTGATAGGCCAGCAGAGCAGCTAAGGAGAAGACAGATCATTCAAGAACTTAAGTCGTTTGTTAGCTACAGCATTTCCATTGCTGTGATACACATTCAGCCATTTTGGAGGAAAGCTAAGCAGGTTCTGACCACCCATTTTCATGTACTTTAAATAACAAATATTATTTCTCAAGGTCTTCATTTTATCATTAAATTCAGCTAATTACTACCTGATTTCAAAGGCAGCTAGTGTAGAAGACTGGTCACAAGAATTTTTTTTTAAATAGAAAACCCTAAAATGCAAATCAAGAAATTCAGTTACAGGCTGCAAGTGACCTAAAATTCCCCTACTCTAGCTCAGCAGCCATCAGTCAGTATAGCATCAGCCACAGGTCACTGCTCTGCATACAGTTCCTTTTCAACCCTTACAAGACCTGCTTCATTGCTTTAAAAATGTAGTGTTGATACTTGAACTGAATTTAGTCATTGGTAACTTAAATATTCACAAAATTGTCATAAAGCTTCTGAAACATCTGGCAATGCCAGATCTGTAATCATCACTTTTAAATTGAATTTGCAGAATTAACTCTAAAGTTGCAGCAACCATATTTATTAGAGAAATCTTTAAGCATATACATATGGTTCCCTATAAGCATTCATTCAGAGATCATCTGTGCCTAAAAGAAAATGATAAAAATGTGTCATAATATCAAAGGGGTCTAGATCAGGGGTTGGTAAACTACAACCCATGGGCCAAATTCAGGCTGCGTTGTATGGCCTGCAAGGTAAGAATGGTTATTTTATTTTATTTTATTCTTTATATATATATATATATATTTATTTATTTTTTTGAGACAGAGTCTCTCTCTGTCACCCACGCTGGAGTGCAGTGGCAGGATCTCAACTCATTGCAACCTCCGCCTCCCAAGGTTCAAGCGATTCTCCTGCCTCAGCCTCCCGAGTAGCTGGGACTACAGGCACATGCCACCATGCCACCATGCCTGGCTGATTTTTGTATTTTTAGTAGAGCTGGGTTGGCCAGGCTGGTCTTGAACTCCTGACCTCAAGTGATTCACCTGCCTTGGCCTCCCAAAGTCCTGGAATTACAGGCGTGAGCTACCGTGCCCAGCTGGTTTTTACATTTTAAAAACGTTTAGAGAAAGAAGAATATGCAACAGAAACTGTATGTAGCCTGCAAAGCCTAAAATGTTTACTCTCTGGCTTGGGAGTTTGTCTCCCCTGCTCTAGACTGTCAGCAAGTGGTACAGTGGTACAGTACAGTGGTACTGCCCAACTGCACTTCTCTGCAAGGTGATTCTAGTGTGCACTTGTCAGAATGAAAATATGTTATTCATTTAAGACATCTCATGTCTTTGAATGTAATCACATGATTTGTATTTAATATTTACATGACCTAATTATTTTTTCACGTCAGTTTTTCTAGATTGGCAATAGCCTGTTGCAAAGTGCCTAAACCTTTGAGAAAAATTACTATGAGCAAGGTCCATGATTTAGTTTTCAATATAAAGGGAATTCCATTCTATACTGTAAAATCCAAAAATGC
This sequence comes from Homo sapiens, assembly GCF_000001405.40. Lineage (NCBI taxonomy): Eukaryota > Metazoa > Chordata > Mammalia > Primates > Hominidae > Homo > Homo sapiens. The sequence continues at coordinate 77,026,139 of NC_000011.10, forward strand.
TAGTTGCCCTCAGCTTTTGAGTTGACTTCCAGAAAGTTGAGATCTTTTGACCATTTTTTCTCATGTCATATAAAATGTGCCACATGGTAGTTGTCAAGCTGTGGTAGTCATGTACACTTTTTTTCTTTTTTTTAACTTTCTAAAAGGAAAAGTTCAAAGTCCTTTCCACAGTTAGTCTTCGCTTCTTTTGGATTTTTCTTTTTAGAGCTAAATTATTCATACCAATGAATAAGTGAGTCTGTTCTAAGATATAGGGGCCATTATCTATTTTTGCTTAATGGACTCATGTGGCATTGTTCACTATCATGCCTTTCCATACTTGTAATATTTCTGAGTCACTTATTAATGTGACCAACAGATAAACTGTTCAAGCTAATACAGCATTTCCTAACTTCATAGTTGTCGCAGATGTTTGTTCTAGTAGCGATTATTTAATAAACATACATTGTACTGAATCTTACTAGCAACTAACTATTTTCAGGTAATCTCAGTCTGCTTATTCACTTTTTCCATTTGATTTGCTAATGCCACAATCATTTTTCTAGAAAATAGTAGGATAATGTATTTTTTCCTGTCTGCTATAATGGAGACTATATTTCTGCATTCATTACCTCTCATAGGTGAAAATATTAAATTAAATAATATTGTTTTGAATAAGACTACTGGTAGTGTTTCATCCCTGATTTATATTTTTAAAATCTATACATTCATATAAAGGCAGGGCTACCGTGTGTAATTATAGAGTTTACGTACTACACAAAGGCACCCAGTTGAGAGAGGAAGGAGGGTGAATGAGAGGCTGAAATCTAGCCTGTGCTCAGCCTGCCAAAGATAGGGTTACATCTCAGAGGACACATCTTTTCCCAGTTTGCTTAAGCTGGCAGTATAGGCCAGCAGCAAGCCTCTTCATGGAAATGACATCCAGTCATTATCCTGGGAATTCTTTGTCACTGGGCTCCTAACACTGTACTGCAGTACCTTTCTACTCCAAACCTGAGTATGTTACAAGGTTAAAAGCTAATAATTTTTTAATTAAACATTTATATCTTTAAATACTCAGTATCTTCAACTTTAGGAGCTGTGAAGTAAACACGAACCATCCAGCTTCACACAATGAAGAGGGACAGATCAGGAACAGAAAAAATGGTCCTGCATAAGCCATGTGTGTCTGTGGTTTATAACTTTTAACTGAAGTACCATCTACAAGATATAAAACAAATTAGAATTTCCCATAACTCACCTAGTTCCTCAAACCACAGCTTTTCAAATATTAGCTTTCTTAGCCAAGCCTGCTGGAATGGGTGGTTTTAGTCATTGCTGACCATATGGTTGATTCTTCAGCTAGTCCCTCCTTTGTGTGTCAGGGTGGGGCAGCCTTGCCTGGATGAACAGATGGATGCTAGCAAGAGGCGAAACAGGAATCTTTACCTGACAAAACACAGACATGAGTGTGCAAAGCCATTTGGGCTGTGCTTTGTGAAGGGAATGGCTGAAAAGGAGTTTGGATGGCTTTATTTCACCCTGAACAGTACACACCCGCCTAAGAAAGGCATCTGTCATTTGATTTAGCAAATTTTATGAACTTACTCTGGGCTTCTCTCTAGTGCAGTTCTGGGGTGGCCTTTTCAGCTCTTTTTTTCTTTCTTTCGCCCTGGACTGGAATGCAGTCTAACTCAAGTGGGTCTTCTTAGGTGACAGAGAAAACACGACCTGTCTCACTTGACAGGGTGGCCTAGTCCCAAAGTAAGGCTTGATTCTCAAAGGAAATGAGAAAGCAGAAAATGGGGGGATCCATTTATTGAGCCCTACTATGTGCCATCCATTCAATAAACTGGAAGGTCTGTTTTAGGTGCTAGGAGTACAATGAAAAATAAGACAGATACCTGCCCTCATGGCACTTAGTGTCTCAAAAGTAATTTTGCCAATTACATTTGGGATGAGTGTCATGAGGAAGGGTATAGAGAGTTCTCGGAGGGAATACGAGGGAGCTGGAGTAGGGAAGACATCCCTGAAGATGAATATCTACACCAAGAACTGAAGAACGAGAGGTATTAAGGAAAGTAGGGGAAAGGCCCTTTACAGCACAGGGAGCCAGAGGTGAGTTTCTGGAGAGATGGACTGGAATGACATCACATAGGGCTTTGAAAGCCATCTTACAAATTTGAATTTGGTTGTCCTGGTGCGGTGGCTCATGCCTGTAATCCCAACACTTTGGAAGACCAAGGTGGGAGGACTGCTTGAGGCCAGGAGTTCAAGACCAGCCTGGGCAACACAACGAGACCCCATCTCTACAAAAAAAATTTAAGTAGCCAGGTGTGGTGGCACTCACCTGTAGTTCCAGCTACTCAGGAGGCTGAGGTGGGAGGATCGCTTGAATCCAGGAGTTCCAGGCTGCAGTGAGCTTAAATCAACTGCACTCCAGCCTGGACAATAGAAACATCACCTTTGAAAGAAAAAAAAAGAATTTGAATTTGGAAAGCTCTGGAAAAGATGGAGGATGGATTAAAGGGAGCCAGTATGGATGTAGGGATACTAGATAGAGGAAGAATGGTGGATAGTGGCAGTGGAGATACGAACTCCAATATATCAGAGGTACATGGGAAGAAGGTTTAGGGTATTATAGAGTACACTTGGGATTTGCAGAGTTTGTAGACTGTGTGAGACATCCTGGCAGAGAGCTTAAAGATAATAAATGTCGATCTGGAGCTCAGCTGAGAGATCTGGGCTGAAGATGTAAATTTAAGAATGATGGGTCCGGGCACGGTGGCTCACGCCTGCAATCCCGGCACTTTGAGAGGCCAAGGTGGGTGGATCACGAGGTCAGGAGTTCGAGACCAGCCTGACCAACATGGCGAAACCCCGTCTCTACTAAAAAAAAAATACAAAAATTAGCCAGGCATGGTGGCACGCGCCTATAATCCCAGCTACTCGGGAGGCTGAGGAAGGAGAATCGCTTGAACCCCAGAGGTGGAGGTTGCAGTGAGCTATCATGCCACTGTACTCCAGCTTGGGCAACAGAGCAAGACTCCATCTCAAAAAAAAAAAAAAAAAAAGAATCATGGACACACATATTAATTGAAATGGAAATGGATGAGATCAGGGAAGAAAAGAGGGTCTCAGACTGAGTCCTAGAGGGTCTCAGACTGAGTCCTAGAAACCAAACCATTTAAGGATTAGGTAGAGGAATTTTTAAAGACAGAGCATCTCAAACCAAAGAGAATCACCAGACACTTGGAAAGGAAGCCTATTTGAAGGCCTGGGTTCTAGTTCCTCAAAGTCTGGATGTCCATGGCTGGGCTGGAGGCACAGTGGCTGTCAGCAGAGAGAGCTACATGGCTGAGGGGTAGAAGGCAATAACTCTCACAAGACACTGCATTGAAACAGCAGGCTCCAAGCTGGAGCCCACTGGCATTAACCCTGAGAGGGTACTTACTGTTAGAAAAGTTATCTCCTTTTGGGGCATCTGAAGACCTAGCTTAGGATCCTGGTCCTCCACTGAAAAGCTGTGTTGTTGTGGCCAAGTCACAACTAAATTTTGGGTTCTATATCTGTTAAATGCAGGATTGTCTTAGGGGTTAGCACCACGGTGTAGTATGAATCTAATCATAACAGTTTCTGAATGGTATCTTTCCTATAAGATTGCTTGGCCTGGGCTTGTAGGGGTACCTCAAAACTGGACAGACGAGAGGAGTCAACCCCTCTTCCCTCTCTCACTGACCAGTGCAACCTGGAACAAGGGACTATCCGGCCTTCTCCCCTTCCTGGTCATCAGGTGCTGGCCTGTGCTCACAGAACCTGTTTGCCTTCGAGGTGGAGATGGGTTTTTCTGCCTTATCCCGCCCCTGTTTTTCAGACTAGGGTGTGGCAGAACATGCACTGGACTGAGACTTTTTCTGCTGATTAAAACACCCACCCATTGTAAACGGGAAGGCTGAAAAGGCGTCAGAAGTGCGTTAATTCCGTCTCTGAACAGCACATACCTTTCCAAAGCCACCCTTGGCACTCACACCCACTACATATGTCTCACTAAGTTCCTCCCTGGCCATTCCAGAAACCTCCTGGAGAGGTCAGAGCTGTTTGTCTTAAAGTCTGTTCATTTTATTCCAATAATCTTACCCCCATTTAACTTTCTCTCCACTTCAAATCTTTCCCAAATTTCCCGAAAGATGTATCTGCCAAGGAGAAAAGATAAGTTTTTAGGGGGCTTGAAGAAAAGTTAACAAAATTCATTTAGTCATTCAGTCCACCTGCTCTGGACTCTCATGAGTGGGGCACAGACAGGGAGGAAAGTGGTCATGTCCCTCCCTGGGGCTGCTCTCTTGCCCTCATTTGTTCTCAGATTTAATTAGTACCCCCAGCTCCTTATTTAGTCCTTCTCCCACCATGAAGTTGCCTGTGAGTCTTAGGGCTTTCCTAATCCTCTAGCTGTATCTCACCATCCCCATCAGAAACCTGCACTCGGTCCCTCCCCTTCTCTCTCTCTTCCTCCCACCTCTTTCCCCCTTCATTCTTCTCATCCAGGCACCTCCCCCAGGTAAATTAGTAAGAGGGACGAGGAGCCTGAGAGATGAGAGATGAACATTCTCACAGAATGTCCACTAAGTCACCAAGCTATGAGGATGCTGTTTGGAATGAAACTATTCACGTTTCTCTATTACCGTTAAGGTAGCTACTGTCTCCAGCAGGTTCCATGGCAAGGAAGGTGTGTTTCCCTTCCACCTCAGCCTCCCTTCCTGAGATTACGAGGATCCTAAACAGTTGACCACTCTTTGGGGGTGTGTTGCCCCTTGAGCCAGGCATGCTGTCCCTGTGACCTGGGGTCTTAGTAGTGGTCAGGACTGTATCGGCTATAAATGACGAAGTCCTGGTGTCCAGCCAGAGTGAGGCAGCCAGGACAGTGTAGCTCTACCTCCATCTCACTACTGAGAGACATGAGCTATCACGCTCTAGGACAGCAGCATTCCTCCCGAGTAACAGTCAGAAAGGGGTGATCCGACATTGGGCTCTCTGTGTCAGTGAGTGGAGACAGGGGAAAGGATCTAACTGTCCAGCCCTAGCCGCTGGTGGAGTCACTTCACCGGAGTCCCACAGCGCCTCCCAAGAGTCAGGGCTGCTGCCGCCAGCACCTCCTTTGCTGCATTCCTTGCTGTGGTCGCTCCTGGTCCCCATCCCGACCCCTCAGATGTCAATTAGGGCACCCTGGAAAGAGAAGCAGCTGCCTGTGAATCCAGTATGCTGGAGGTCACTCCCAAAGTTTTTCCAGTAACAATTTGTAAGGTCAAAACAATAGGGGGCTACTTGATACCACCAAGAGTTTGTCAGGCAAACATTGAGAAAGAGAGAGAGAAGAGAGAGAGAGAGAGAGATCTTCCTATTTAGATACCTAGAAATGCTAGCCATTCTAAAATTTTTACTTAAAAGGAGAAAAAATGGACTGGTTATTTGGCAGTCGGGGCCATCCCAGAGAGCGCCTCCTTCCTAGAGACAGTGGGTCCCTTTCCTCCTTCCTCTTATCAACCAGAGGCTGAAATTAACACCCACAGCTTCTGCTGGCTAAAAGCCTCAAAAACAACAACAACAAAAATCAAACAAGAGAGACTAATGCTTTAGGCAGCTACAACTCCAAGAAAAGCAGAGAAACCTTATTTATTTATTTATTTATTTATTTATTTATTTATTTAACTCTGTTGACCAGGCCGGAGTGCAGTGGTGCTATCGTGGCTCACTGCAGCCTCAATCTTCCAGAATCAAGCAACCCTCCCACCTCAGCCTCCCAAATAGCTGGGACTGCAGGTGTGCATCACAACACCTGACTGATTTTTTTTTTTTTTTTTTTTTTTTTTGGTAGAGAAGAGGTTTTACTATGTTGCCCAGGCTGGTTGCAAACTACTGGGCTCAAGCAATTCACCCACTTGAGCTTCCTAAAGTGCTGGGATTATAGGTGTGAGCCACCATGACCAGCCTAGAACTTTAAACTTTAGGTACTGAGCAAACACCAAATCTAGGAAACATAATGCTAGCCTTAGATTACTTATTGATTTATGAACAAACCCCTAGATACAGAGGAAAATAAAAGGTATGTATAAATTATATATAAATAAATGTATATAATTTAAATATAAACTACATATAAAATAATGTATGTAAATAAATTATATACATATTTTAAAATAAATATAATAAATAGGCTGGGTGTGGGGGCTCACACCTGTAATCCCAACACTTTGGGAGGCTGAGGTGGGTGGATCACCTGAGGTCATGAGATTGAGACTGGCCTGGCCAACATGGAGAAACCCCATCTCTGCTAAAAATACAAAAATATTAGCTGGGTGTGGTGGTACATGCTTGTAATCCCAGCTACTCAGGAGGCTGAGGCAGGAGAATGGCTTGAACCCAGGAGGCGGAAGTTGCAGTGAGCCAAGATCAAGCCACTGCACTCCAGCCTGGGTGACAGAGCAAGACTCCGTCTCAAATAAATAAATAAATAAATATACATACATACATATATATATATATATATATATATATATATATATATATACACATACATACATACATATATATATATACATACATACATACATATATATATATACATACATACATACATATATATATATATGGCAAGCTGAATATATGCTATATTTTCCACAATTTGATTTAATTGGAAATTCAAGATTCCTAATTTATATACTAAAGAAGTTGTGTAACAAAAAGATTAAAAACAGCACTGATTGGTTTTTGCGCCTCTACAACATAGGTTCTAACTTAACATTTGTGAAAATGTACTAATTGTCAAAAATTCATGAACTTAATATTGGGGGTCAAAATATAATTATACCTGGGGATCCCACTAATTTACACACTCTGACCCTATAATCTTGAGAGGGTAACGACATATAACAGTTTTTAAATGCGTATGCCTCAATTTAAGTGTAGCCTTGCCTAAATTTCCCATGCTCATATACCCACTGCTATAAAATGTTTTCTATTGGACATAGATGCTTTGACAAAATAAATAATAAATTAGATTGGGCATGGTGGCTCATGCCTGTAATCCCAGCACTTAGGGAGACCAAGGCAGGAAGATCTCTTGAGCCCAGGAGTTCAAGACCAACCGGGGCAAAATGGCAAAACCCCATCTCAACAAAAAATACAAAAATTAACCATGTGTGATGATGTGTGCCTATAGTCCCAGCTACTCGGGAGGCTAAGATGGGAGGATCACCTGAGCCCAGGAGACTGAGGCTGCAGTGAGCCCTGATAGTGCCCCTGCACTCCAGCCTGGGAGACACAGTAAGACCCTGTTTCAATATTAATAATAATAATAAATTAAAGTGTCTCTTTGTCATTGGCTTGATAAAATGGGACCCCATGAGCCCCCATTTTATAGTTAATATGGCCCAATGTAAGTAGAAGCAGGCCCTTCAAGGATTAAAACTCATTATAAAAAACCTTAGTTTTAAAAAGGGTGATTATCCCCTACTACTTCTCCATTTAGCAGCCCAATTTTGCCTATGCTCAAATCTGGAAATATATATATATATATTTATGTATATACATTTTAATATAGATTTATATTTTTGAATATATTTATATATTTTAATATATAAATGTAATATAGATTTTATCTCTATTTTAAATATATAAATGTGTATATATGGTACCCTGTGATGGATCACTACAACTTAACATTGTGATCCCATCCATTAGGGCCCCATACCTAATATTAAAATTAAACTGATTTTATTCAATCAACAACAATAAATACTTTACTCTTACAGATGCGGCCAACCTGTTATTTCTGTGCCTATTTCCACAGCCCTTCAGGCAGTTTGCCTCTGCCTCTGAAGGCACACAATACACTTTTCCAGGCAACTTGCAGGGGGCCTCCACATGAGGGCCGTCATCACACACTGTCTTTACAGACAAGATGCACCTTCTCCAGGAGCACAGGTACGATACTGCACCTGGATTCCAGTGATTCTCCTGCCTCAGCCTCCCGAGTAGCTGGGATTACAGGCACCCACCACCATGCTCAGCTAATTTTTATATTTTTAGTAGAGAATCTCCTCCAAGGATATTCACTGGACCCACACTCTAAGGACATTTGAGCTTAAAGAGGAAGCAGGCAGTCACTGGTGGCTAAGGAAGCCTGTAGCTGCCCTCCCCCTCTTCACCTTACCCCTAAGGAGGAGGGGTGATGTCATGGATTGGTCAGATTCAAGAGAACTGAACCACAGGCCTGCGTGGAACCTCAGTGTGTGAAGTAAAGGGATTAAAGGCTAGTCTCAGGCTGGGGATGGCTCCTGTCTATTTCTTCTCTCTCAGAGACTGCAGGTAAGCTGGGGGCCTGGGCTTCTTCCTATTGGGAAGGAGGTACATTTTTCCTTCTTCGCATTCCCCTCTAATCAGAGTGCCAAGCAAGAAACAGGGGGAGGCCAAGGGGAGAGGAATGAGGACAGAATTGCCCCTATTGCACAGGTCCAGTGCAGACCCCAGGGCTCAGGGATTCATGCTGGGGGTTGGGGCCAAGGCCCTAATAGCTAATAAAAGGTTTCTTTGCCTTTTCTGCTATATGAATATTCTGCTATACGAATATTCCTCCAGGAATACCCTGGGATAGTATGGAATGGGTGGGTGGCCCAGGAATCTGTGTTCCAGCTAGCTATCTCAGCATCAAACCAGAGGAGGGAATGACCAAAGTAGTTCCTGGGAAAAGAAGAGGGACAATTCCTGGCCAGGCGAGATGGCTCATGCCTGTAATCCCAGCACTTTGGGAGGCCATGGCGGGTGGCTCACCTGAGGTCAGGAGTTCGAGACCAGCCTCGCAAACATGGTAAAACCTCATCTCTACTAAAAATATAAAAATTACCTGGGCATGGGGGTGGACGCCTGTAATCCCAGCTACTAGAGAGGCTGAGGCAGGAGAATCACTTGAACCCGGGAGCCTGAGGTTGCACTGAGTCGAGAAAAAGAAAAAGAAAGGGGAATTCTAGGCAGAGTGAATAGCATTGCAAAGGCAAGCAATAAATGGATGTGTTAATATGTGTGGGGCAATAAACAGAGTGAGAAATGCCTGCAGTTAGAGGATCACAGAGGAACTTTATAAAGCTTATAAAGAGGAACTTTATACCATACTGTGTGAGAAGGCTAGACTTCATCCATAAAAAGATGGTCTCCTGTGTTAGCCAACTGCTAATGTTATTCTGGTGCCTACTACATGCCAGGCATGGCTCTGAATGCCTTACATGAATTAACTCATATAATTCTGAGACACTGAGATAAAGGAGTTGCCCAAAGTCTCACAAACAAGGAACCTGAGGTTCAAAGGGATGGAGTAAGTGGCAGATTTGTCCTCTTTACCAAACTTGCTACTCAACAGCCATGACATCAACAAGGAGACAGGTTATGTTGACCTGGACTTACCGTGAGGTGAGCTGGAGGAGGTGGTATTTGAGCTGTGTCCTGAGAGACAAGGGATCAGGGCCAGCAGAGGCTGGCAAAGTTTAAGGTGCATGGGCTCCAGGATGCCTGATGAAAAAGAACCATAGAGAGAAATGCCCAATACTTCACAGCAAGTCAAAGCCCTCAGGCTGCACAGTGTGGCATCCAAGAACAGAGGTGAGCGAGCCAGCACCGCCCTTGGGAACAGGGCCTTGCCCAACACCTTTTCCTTTACATCAGAAGTTGGCTGTGATCCAAGATCTTCTATCCGTTTTATCAGAGTAAACGCAAACTTCTTTGAAACAAGATTTATTGTTACATTAAGAAGATTATTTTTCTTTCCAGAAATGATGGGGGATGCTTAACTTTTTTAACTAGTATTTGTGTAGCACGTTAACATAAACAGGATTCTCTCCTTATTTCATTGAAAAATGAATGTTAACTTTCTCAATTTTTCAAATGAGGATATTGAAACCTAGGAGATTAACTCAGGAAAGAAGCTGGGGCTCAAACTCAGTTATTCAGACTCCAAATTCTGTTTTCATTCATTTTTTTATTCTTTCATTCATTGAAAAAAAAATATTGCATTCCCCAAATGTGCCAGGCACAGGACTGCGCACTGAGTAGACAGTTGACGGTAAAAGAGACATAGCTTATCTCGCAAGCCCTCTTCTCACAGTGCCTCTAACACAGAAGCAGGAATAAGTGAAGAGCAATATACTATATAATACTCTAGTATTTCTTATCAGCACTCAGTGATTACATCCACACTTTTGCAGGGTTCTCACACTTGCATTTGTAGTTCACTGCTCCCATTCTTTCACTGAATGCCTGCTTTGTGCTAGACATTGTGTATGGACTGTAATACACAAGCAATAGGGTTCGGTGCAATAACACCTATGTGCAAAATACCTGGAAGTATTTATTGAGCACACACTCTTCGAAAAGCAGTCTTTCAGCAAATATTTATCGGCACCTTGATAATCCTAACAGCTAATATTTACTGAATACTATGTGCCAAGGACCATAGTAAATTCTTTACACACATTATCATTTGGTCTTCACAGTAACTCTTCAGAGGCAGGTATTTGAGAGCTTAAGTCAACGTGCTCAAAATCACAACACTAGAAAGCAGTGGCAGTGGAATTTGAATCCAGGCAGCCAGCATTTCCTACTACTCGGCTGTCCTAACCTCCCACCCTATGCAGGGTGCTGGTAATACAACGGTGAAGACTGGTGTGATCCCTATCCTTAAAATGCTTACAGCCTAGGAGGGAAGATAATCTTTAAACAAATCACATGCTGAGAATGTCTAACAGGGTACCTGGTCTCCTTTGGGCTTCATTCAAGCTTCCCCAAGAATATGCCTTGTCAAGTGGACCCAGAGACTGAGTTCTTAAGTAGACAGAGCAGGGAGAGAGACATCAATCCAGGCAGGGGGACAGCACAAGGAAAAGCTCTGAGGTAGCAAGAGGTCTGGCAGTCTGAGGCTGTCACTGGGCTGAGGGCAAGGCCAGGTGGATCACAGGGAAGCTAAGGAAAAGAGCATGAGAAGCGGCATAAATCTACGTAATTCAAAGGTTTTTCCAGCTGCGGGAGGGGAGAGGTCGGCCGAGAGCAAGATGGTGTGTAGAGACACCAAGCAGGACGCTACTTCATGTGAGGCGGGAATGTTAGTTTGGATCAACCTGTTGATAGAGGGAATGAAAGCAGGTAGGTTGATGAAAAATGCAGAAGAGAGAATCAACGGGGCTTGGGTGGGGAAACGAGGGGAAGGAGGGAGTCAAGCAAGGTTTTGGGCTTGAACAACCCAGGGGATGGCAGCACTCCGGGACAGCTTGGGGGAGGAAGATGAGAGTTCAAGTAGCATCCAAGGTGGCTGTGGACAGCCATATGGAGCTGTTAAGTCAGGCGGCTGGATGGACATGTGGCTCTGGAGCTCGGAGGTCCTAACAGTGAAGGAGACCATCTTGGACAAAGGTGAAATGAGTGTCTAAGTCAGAGCCCTAGAGGCCTTCCACTATTAAAGGTTATTATTAGAGAGGTCAGGTGCGGTGGCTCACACCTGTAATCCCAGCACTTTGGGAAGCCAAGGCGGGAGGATCACTTGAGCCCAAGAGTTTGAGCTCAAGCCTGGACAATATGGCAAGACACTGTCTCTACAAAAAATAGAAAAAATTAGCCAAGCACTGTGGCACATGCCTGTGGTCCCAGCTATTTGGGAGGCTGAGGTGGGAGGATCACCTGAGCCTGGGAAGTGCGGACTGCAGTGAGCCACGATCACACCACTGCATTCCAGCCTAGGTGACAGAGTCTGACCCTGTCTCAAAAAAAAAGAAGAAGGAGAAAGGAAGAAAGAAGAAGAAGAAGAAGAAGAGGAGGGGGGAAGGGGAGGGGGAAGAGGGAGGAGGAGGGGGAGGAGGGGGATATGGGAGGAGGGGGAGGAGAGGGATAGGATGGGAGGGGAATGAGTGGGAGGGGATGAGGGGGAGGGGATGAGGGGGAGGAGGAGGGGGAGGGAGAGAAGGGAGGATAGAGGAGGGAGGAGGGGGAGGAGGAGGGGAGGGGGAGGGGGAAGAGGAGGAGGAGGTTATTAGAGAGGGGGAACTGAGCAAAGGGAACTGAGAAACATGGTCAAAAAGAAAGGAGGAAAGGCAGGAGAGCGTAGAGTCTGTTTTAAGGAGGGAGAAGGAACGGGGCACAGTGGCTCATGCCTGTAATCCCAGCACTTTTCGGGGCTGAGGTGGGAGGATCACTTGAACCCAGGAGTTCAAGACCAGACTGGGCAATATAGTGGGAACCCGTCTCTACAGAAAAAAAAAAAAAAAAAAATTTAATGACCCAGGTGTGGTGGCACGCTCCTGTAGAGCGCCTCAACTACTCCAAAAGCTGAAGTGGGAGGACTGCTTGAGCCTAGGTGGTCAAGACTGCAGTGAGTCATGATGGTGTCACTGCACTCCAGCCTGGGTGACACAGCAAGACCCTGTCTCAAATAAATAAATAGCCAACGGTCTGAGATGCAGAACCTGATGTGACTGAATTTTTAGCAGGGCACAGTTAAATACGGGAAAGGTTGTTCTGACCTGGGATTCGTCCTGGGGGTCTTCATAAAAGCCAGGCCTGAGGTGCACCTGGGCAGGCTACATGCAGGAGAGGGCCTGAAGGTGAATGTTTGGGAACAGCAAATAATACCAGCAGGTAGAATGAGGAGGCAGAGCTAGAGGATGCCGTGGAGATCATCTCACCCATAAGGTCATATCACCCGTGTCACCCAGTCACTGGCCACTTCATACTCATTTCATGCTCACAACAGCCCTGCAGTAGGAATTCACTAACCCTTCGTCACAGATGAGAACACTCAGACCCAGCCATCGGAACTGACTGTTCAGACGGTGCAGATGGGGAAGTGGGGATGGCAGAATTCGGCTCTGGGTCTGAGTTCAGTGCTATCACCTCATGCTTCCTCGACTCGGGAGGCAACGAGGGGAAGTGATTAGAGATGATCCGAGCTGGACAGAGGCGGAGAGGAGGGAATAAATGAGAGGGATGTAGGGCGCAGAATCAACAGGATGCGGAGAGCAGGTAGCAGCTGAGAAGGACAAGGAAGAAGGCTGGGGCTTCTGGCTGGAGTAGTCAGGTGAACGGAGGTGGGAACAGCAGGGTATGGGTTCAGGGGAAGATGGAGACTCAGACGATGAGTCCACTGGGCCTATGTGACGGGTTGTGGGGCGGTGTTGTCAGGAGGCAAAGAGAGACTCAAATCTGAAGGTCAGAGGAACGGTCCGGAGTGTGGGAGACCAGAGACCGTCAGTGTAATCTTGGATTTTGATTCCTTTTTACCACTTAACAGCAGAGTTGAGAAGGGGCTGGAGCTGGGTTCTGGGAGAGAAGTGACGGGGTACGGGTGGTGTCCTGCCGGTGTCAAAGACGACTTCCGGCTCACCTCTGACTCGGTTTCCCCCACAGATGGCTTTTCCCTGCCGCAGGTCCCTGACTGCCAAGACTCTGGCCTGCCTCCTGGTGGGCGTGAGTTTCTTAGCACTGCAGCAGTGGTTCCTCCAGGCGCCAAGGTCCCCGCGGGAGGAGAGGTCCCCGCAGGAGGAGACGCCAGAGGGTCCCACCGACGCTCCCGCGGCTGACGAGCCGCCCTCGGAGCTCGTCCCCGGGCCCCCGTGCGTGGCGAACGCCTCGGCGAACGCCACGGCCGACTTCGAGCAGCTGCCCGCGCGCATCCAGGACTTCCTGCGGTACCGCCACTGCCGCCACTTCCCGCTGCTTTGGGACGCACCGGCCAAGTGCGCCGGCGGCCGAGGCGTGTTCCTGCTCCTGGCGGTGAAGTCGGCGCCTGAGCACTACGAGCGACGCGAGCTCATCCGGCGCACGTGGGGGCAAGAGCGCAGCTACGGCGGGCGGCCAGTGCGCCGCCTCTTTCTATTGGGCACCCCGGGCCCCGAGGACGAGGCGCGCGCGGAGCGGCTGGCGGAGCTGGTGGCGCTGGAGGCGCGCGAGCACGGCGACGTGCTGCAGTGGGCCTTCGCGGACACCTTCCTCAACCTCACGCTCAAGCACCTGCACTTGCTCGACTGGCTGGCTGCACGCTGCCCGCACGCGCGCTTTCTGCTCAGCGGCGACGACGACGTGTTCGTGCACACCGCCAACGTAGTCCGCTTCCTGCAGGCGCAGCCACCCGGCCGCCACCTGTTCTCCGGCCAGCTCATGGAGGGCTCCGTGCCCATCCGCGACAGCTGGAGCAAGTACTTCGTGCCGCCGCAGCTCTTCCCCGGGTCCGCTTACCCGGTGTACTGCAGCGGCGGCGGCTTCCTCCTGTCCGGCCCCACGGCCCGGGCCCTGCGCGCGGCCGCCCGCCACACCCCGCTCTTCCCCATCGACGACGCCTACATGGGCATGTGTCTGGAGCGCGCCGGCCTGGCGCCCAGCGGCCACGAGGGCATCCGACCCTTCGGCGTGCAGCTGCCTGGCGCACAGCAGTCCTCCTTCGACCCCTGCATGTACCGCGAGTTGCTGCTAGTGCACCGCTTCGCGCCCTACGAGATGCTGCTCATGTGGAAGGCGCTGCACAGCCCCGCGCTCAGCTGTGACCGGGGACACCGGGTCTCCTGAGGCCAGTTGGGCGGCTTCAGCCCCGGGCCTCCAACCATGTCCATGCTGAGAAGGCAGCTTTCCCGCTCTGGGTACCTTACGTCCTGCCCAGCTCTGTGCACCTGAACCCCAGCTGCGCACTGAAATCAGCTGGGGTGGGGGGTGTGGAAAATGCCTACATCCTGGCTCCATCTCCCGAAGTTTCGATTTGATTAGTCTGGGGTGGACCCAGACATGTTAAGTATTTTTTAAGTTCCTCCAGTGATGCGAATGTGCAGCTAGGCCTGAGGACCACTCGGCTAGACTATCTCTTCATCCTCGCAAAGCCAGCTCCACCGCCCTCTCTGCAAGAATTCCGGGCCCCTCGCTCCCACACTCGGGTCCTCTTGAGCAGTGGAGCAAGGGAGACCTGGGAGCGTGGGAGCCAGGATCAGCGCCCCCTGCCATGTGCCTACAAATGTCAGTTGTGATTTCCACTGTTTACAAGTGAGTGGAGCTGGAGCTGGGCTGACAGTATCAGGTGGATCCCGCTTCCCCCTCCCCCAAGAAGTCAGCCAACACGCAGCTGAGGCGCATGTGGTGGCCTTCTTCCCACCACTACCCCAGTACACCGTGAGGTAGAAATCTTCACCGTGCAAAGTGGAAACCAGAGGCCCGGTCAGACAGTGACTAATCCAGGGCCGTGGCATTCCCAGACAGCACACCACTGTGGTCCCCTCCACACTCACCCCAACCAAAGCTAATGGCCTAGTTGGGTCCTGCCCGCCAATAATCACCCCCACGGGTCAGAGACAGGCTCCTTGCCGGGGTCTGGGCCTCAGGCTCAGTGGGCCTTGGACAACCCAGCAGGGAGTTCCGGGGAGTCCGAAGTGGAGAAAGGCTGGTGGGAACATGGAGGCCAGTGTTGGGGAGCCTGTGGAGGCAGGTGTGTAGAATTGTGTTCGGGAGGTGGGGGATCTGAGACCGAAGTGGACAGTGGTTAAGATTGTGGGGCCGGGCGAGGTGGCTCACGCCTGTAATCCCAGCACTTTGGGAGGCTGAGGAGGTCGGATCATGAGGTCAAGAGTTCGAGACCAGCCTGGCCAATATGGTGAAACCCCGTCTCTATTGGGAGTACAAAAATTAGCCGGCCATAGTGGCTCGTGCCTGTAATCTCAGCTATTTGGGAGGCTGAGGCAGGAGAATCACTTGAACCTGGGAGGCGGAGGTTGCAGTGAGCCGAGATCGTGCCACTGCACTCCAGCCTGGGCGACAGAGCAAGACTGCATCTCAAAAAAAAAAAAAAAAAGGAGAGTTTGCAAGGGTGGGTGGGAACTTGGTGCCTGGGGCTCTGAGAACCAGGCTGTGGTCCTGACCTCCAGCAGCTGCCAGTCATCTTGGCAACATAGAAAATCAAGGAAACGGCCTAAAGGCAGGCAGAAGTGTGTGTCAGCAAGGTCCCAACTATGTAAGATGGACACGAGGGACTCACCTTCAGGGAGGAAAGAGCCGGGGCAGAACGTCAGGAGACTGGCCAAAGGTCCTTCCCTGCCTTCAGGACGAAGACTAGACTCCTCAGTCCTGCATTTCAGGCTCCTGCCACCCGCCTGCTGCTCACTGATCCCTCCCTCCCACTGTCAGCCTCCATCCAGGTGGCAGTGCCTGCGCTTTGTCAGGCTCTCTCTTGTCTCTGCATTTTGCACAAGCTCTGACCTAGTTACCGAAATGTCCTCCAACCACCTCCATCCTGCATGTCTCTTGCACCAGTTAGGACGCCTGTCGGGGAAGCTGCCAGCTGCCCACCTGAGTCGGCTGTTCCCTTCCTCCTGGGCACTCACCTAGACTCCATTTCCCAGCACTCCGTCCCCTGAAGTTAGATGTGGCCCTGTGACTAGGCCCTCATGGATGGACGGGAGTGGATGAGGATCACTGTGGCACCTGGGCCTGCTTATGCTCTCTTCCTCCTTCCCATTCGCTGGAACATGGATGGGCCTGGGACCCAGCTCTGACTTTGCAAGTGAGGACAATGCTTCAGGCCCAAGTGGAAGTTTCTCAACTACTGACATTTGGGGCAGGACGGTTCTTTGTTGTGGGGGGCAGTCCCGTGCATTGTAAAACATTCAGCAGCATCCATGTCCTCCACTCACTAGATACCAGTATCACAGCCCAAGTCATGACACCCAAAGTATCTCCAGACGTTGCCAAACATACCCTGGTGGGAAAATTCACCCTAGCAGAGAACCGCTGGCCTAGAGGAAGGCAGAGAAACGAGGATTCCTGAGTTCCTGCACGGAGCAGAGCAGCCCGGGGACCAACCTGGAATACTCAGTTCAGACTACTGAGGAAGACAAAATAAACTTTTATGCTTTTAAAAAAAATTATGGACAGAACAATATAGACAAAAACTTTTATGATTTTTCAGCTTCTGGGGTTTGTCTACTGTTACAGCAGCCTTGCCCTGCTAGTGTTTTAGTCTGTTCAGGCTGCTGTAACAAAAATACCATAAACTGGGTGTCTTACAAACATTTCTGAAAGTTCTGGAGGCTGGGAAGTCTAAGGTCAAGGTCCCAGCAGGTTTGGTGTCTGGCGAGGGCCCATTCCTCACTGCCTTCTTGCTGTGTCACTGCATGGTGGGAGGGGCAAGCAAGCTCCCACGGCCTCTTTTACAGCGGCCCAGATTCCATTGGTGAGGGTTCTGCCATCATCACATCATCACCACGTCACCTTCAGGGCTAGGATTTCAACGTAAGAATTCCGGGGGGCCGGGTGTGGTGACTCACGCCTGTAATCCCAGCACTTTGGGAGGCTGAGGCGGGCAGATCACGAGGTCAGGAGATAGAGACCATCCTGGCTAACACAGTGAAACCCCGTCTCTACTAAAAATACAAAAAAATTAACCGGGCATGGTGGCAGGCACCTGTAGTCCCAGCTACTCGGGAGGCTGAGGCAGGAGAATGGCGTGAACCTGGGAGGCGGAGCTTCCAGTGAGCCAAGATCACGCCACTGCACTCCAGCCTGGGCGACAGAGCAAGACTCTGTCTCAAAAAAAAAAAAAAAAAAAAGAATTCCGGGGAAACATAAACATTCCAACCATAGCACTTAAGTCACCTGCTGTGTCCCCTTTCATCCCTTGTTTTTCACCAAGTAGACTGGCTGCTCCCAGAGGGAGAGGCCATGTCTGATTTACATCAGGGCTGTCACAGATTTACACAGAGGGAATCCGTGGCAAGTCCCATCACTCCCACTCCTGGAACTTGAGTAGGTCATCTCACCTCTCTGAGCCGCTCTTTCTGATAAGATTTGGCTCTGTTTCCCCACCCAAATCTCATCTTGAATTGTAATTCCCACATGTCAGGGGAGGGACACGTAGGACTGGACAGGCGGGAGGTGATTGGATCACGGGGTCGGATTCCCTCACGTTCTTGTCGTGATAGTGAGTTCTCGCGAGAGGTGATGGTTTTAAAGCGCGGCACTTCCTCATTCTCGCACACACGCCCTCCTGCTGCCCATGAAGAAGGTGTCTGCTTTCCCTTCGCCTTCCGCCATGATTGTAAGTTTCCTGAGGCCTCCTAGCCATGCTTCCTGTTAAATCTGCAGAACTGTGAGTCAATTAAACCTCTTTCTTTTATAATTACACAGTCTCAGGTAGTATTCTTTATAGGAGTGTGAAAATGGACTAATACACTTTCCACAGTGATGTTCCATGCCAGGGCCATGTAAATCCTCTGTAAACCACATAGGAGGGTACTGTCATTCTGCAGGCTTACTGGCAGCTCTGAGAGGTTGAAGGAAGCAGGAGGAGGTGGCACTTCTGTGACCTTTCTGCAGCCCTTGCCGTGGGCCTTCAGTAGCCACAGCCACTTGTCACTTGCTGATCTATTTTCTGAGCAGGCCATAACAAATACTCCTACATGCTTTTGGGGTGAATGGATGAGTGGATGAGTGCCATCTGTCCCAGTGATGTGGACTGTATCTGTTAGGACAGCAGTCCCCAACCTTTTTGGCACCAAGGACTGGTTTTGTGGAAGACAATATTTCCACAGACCAACGTGGGGGATGGTTTGGGGAAGATTCAAGTGCATTACATTTATTGTGCACTTTATTTCTATTATTATTACATGGTAATATATAATGAAATAATTATACAACTCACCATAATGTAAAATCAGTGGAAACCCTGAGCTTGTTTTCCTGCAACTAGACAGTCCCATCGGGGGTGATAGGAGACAGTGATAGATTATCAGGCAGTAGATTCTCATAAGGAGCAGGCGACCTAGATCCCTCACATGCGCAGTTCACAATAGGGTTCATGCTACTATGAGAATCTAATGCTGTCGTTGATCTGACAGGAGGCGGAGCTGAGGTGGTAATGCACGCGATAGGGAGCAACTATAAATTACAAATGAAGCTTTGCTCACCTGCCGCTGTGCAGCCCGGTTCCTAACAGGCCACAACCAATACCGGTCATTGGCCCAGGGATTGGGGACCCCTGTGTTAGGATACTGTACTAGTTCCCTATTGCTGCTGTAACAAATTCCCACAAGCTTGGCTTAAAAGCACACTCATCTGTTACCCTACAGCTCTACCCACCAACTGCACTCCTTACTGGAGGTGCTAGGGAAGGATCCATTTCTTTGCCTTTTCCAGCTTGCAGAGACCTCCTTCCTCCATCTCCAAAACCGACCATGTGGCGGCTCTTGGTGCGTTGCTTCCACAGCCACATCACTCTCTGACTTTCCTGCCTTCTCCTTCCACTTCCAAGGACCCTGTAACTACACTGGGCCTACCTAGATAACCTGGGATTCTTTTCCTATCTTAAAGTCAGCTGATGAGCAACCTTCATTCTACCTCCAACCTTACTTCTCTTTGCCATGTAACATGGTGACATGCCACATGTAACATTCTTATGTAACATGCATCAGTCACAGGTTCCAGGTATTCAGTAGGGTATGGGCAACTTTTTGGGCGGCCGTTATTATGCCCACCACAGTGCCCAGTCAATATTTGTGGAATAAATCAACAGTAATGAAATAATGCACAAAAATGAATCAAACAAGGGTGCTTCTTCCACACAGACCTCCATGATGCGAGCTCTCATTCTGGACTACTGAGTGACATTAATTCTGAATTCCCTGCCCCTAGCTGCCATTTGTCAAGGGCTTGCAAGAAACAGGAAAACAAGAATGCTGAGGCCAGAATGCGGACAGGTCCTCTGGAAGGTCCGAATTGTGCTTTGACACAAAATCACACAAAAAATGCTTTTACAGCCTCCTCCCATTTCCCTGACAGACAGGCGGATTATCCCCATTCTATTCCTAGAGATGAAGATTCAGGACCTTGCCGGCCCCGAGACTCAAGAAGCCGCCGTTATGGGTCGGCTGGGTGACTCTGGGTCCTGGCCACCCGGTCTCTGAAGCTGGGTTGCACGCGTGTCCAGGTCCACGGAAGGCTGCAGTACCCGCGCAGCCCCGGCATCACCTGGCGTCACCCGGCGCCACCTGGCGCATCGCTCCCCACGGCACTGGCCCGGCGCTCCCCGCTCCGCTCGTTCGGCTCATGCGGCCCGCGGCCGCCAGGGGGCACGCCCCGCACCCCGCACCCCGCATCCCGCACACACGCGCACTCAGCGAAGCAACCCCGGAGCGCGATCCCCCAACGCCCCTTGTGAGACCAGCATGACTTTGACACTCAAACCCCTCAAGGATCCCATGAGCAGGGAAGATGATGCGCCTGTCTCAGGAACCTAGATGGAAACAAAAATCTTACACAAAATGCTAGCAGGCGAAATGCGATGACATGTGAAAAGGAGATCTATCAGGACGGAGGTGTGTTTATACTAGAAATTCCAGAGGGGCTTAGCATTAGAAAAACAGCCAAACTACATAAATAAGACAGGAAGATCCGTCAATGAGGTACATTATATCAAGAGAAATATGAGCATTTCAGAGGCAATGTGAAAGACGTTTATTAAAATTCAACATCCATTAGTGATTTTAAAGAAAATCTTAGTAAGAGGTGAAAGCATTTGACAGCATTTTGCTTAAAGTTAGGAGCAAATGAGATATACCCATCATCACTACTTCTGTTCAGAATTGTCCAGAACTTGAGAGAACACCAAGACAAAAAAAGATACAGAAATATAATAATTGGAACTAGAGGAAGAACTTTTTCAAAATCTCAGAAGTTTAGAACCCTATCAGATCCAACTTCCCTTTCTGTAACAAATGAATGCCACTCTCTCCATCCTGAAATGAAATACTTAGATAATATAACACTTCCACACACATATTTTCAAAAAGCCAATACAATGCTTTTATTGTAAATTATGTAAATATGAGGTAAATAAAAGAAAAATACTTTAAAATAAAATGTTATTTTGATGTGTGAATTCTTGGGCCCAACAACAAAAAATAAAACTCCCCTGCAAATTTCCAAATCTCTCCCTAGAGGGCAGTACACCTCTTCAAGAACTATTAGTCTACATAGAAAAACCACCAAAAAAAACCACACACGCGCACAAACCCTCCAGATATTTCATTAGATTACTAAGAAAAGGTAGCAACTTCTCCAGATAAAAAATCAATATACAAAAATCTAGGCCGAGGTGGGTGGATCTCTTGAGCCCAGGAGTTTGCAACCAGCCTGGGCAACATGGGGAAACCCCATCCCTACAAAGAATACGAAGATTAGCAGGGAGTGGTGGTGTCACCTGTAATCCCAGCTACTCGGGAGGCAGAGGTGGGAGGACCGCTTGAGTCCGGGAGGTCGAGGCTGCCGTGAGCCCTGATCGTGCCACTGCACTCCAGCCTTGGTGACCCTGTCTCAAAAAGAAAAAGACCAAAAGAATCTATTTAATTCCTATATAGTAGCAACAAGCTATGAGGAAAAGTCTTTTTTTTTTTTTTTTTTTAGAGTGAAAGCAAGTTTACTAGAGAAGTAAATAAACAAAAGAATGGCTACTACATAGGCAGGGCAGCAATGCAGGCTACTTGACTGAGTATACCTATATGCTAAACAAGGGGTGGATTATTCATGAGGTTTCGGTAAAGGGGGGACAATTTCCGGAAATAAAGGTCCCTCCTCTTAAAACCATATAGGGTAACTTCCGGTCGTTGCCATGGCATTTGTAAACTGTCATGGCGCTGGTGAGAGTATTTTTTACCATGCTAATGCATTATAATTAGCATGTAATGAGCAGTGAGGACCACCAGAGGTCACTATCATTGCCATCTTGGTTTTGGTAGGTTTCAGCTAGCTTCTTTTTTTTTTTTTTTTTTTTTTTTTTTGCTTTTTTTTTTTCATTATGCTTTTAAGTTCTAGGATACATGGGCACAACGTGCAGGTTTGTTGCATAGGTATACATGTGCCATGTTGGTTTGCTGCACCCATCAACTCGTCATTTACGTTAGGTATTTCTCCTAATGCTATCCCTCCCCAAAATCCCCACCCTCCGACAGGCCCCTGTGTGTTATGTTCCCCACCCTGTGTCCATGTGTTCTCGTTATTCAACTCCCACCTATGAGTGAGAACATGCGGTGTTTGGTTTTCTGTCCTTGTGATAGTTTGCTTAGAATGATGGTTTCCAGCTTCATCCGTGTCCCTGCAAAGGACATGAACTCATCCTTTTTTATGGCTGCATAGTATTCCATGGTGCATATATGCCAGGAAAAGTCATTTTTTAAAGTGTCAATAGAAACAAAATTATACTCAGGGCTAAATCTAAAAGAAGATATGCAAGAAAATAATTAAAAATTATGTTAAGATATATGTATCTTACATTTCTTATATGTATAAATATTATGTATCTTTATGTCTTATAGCTATGTCTCCCAGGCCGGAGTGCTGGAGTGCAGTGGTGCGATAGATCACAACTCACTGATCACTAATGGCTCACTAACCGTGTATTGGTCAAGCTGGTTTCGAACTCCTGGGCTCAAGCAATCCTCCTACCTCAGCCTCCCAACGTCCTGGGATGACAGGCATGAGCCACCACGCCTGGCTGTATTAAGATTTTTTTTTAAATACACAAAGTAATGTAGAGAGACATCATGTTATAAAGTACCTCTAAGCCCCTGATTTCCTTGTGTCCTCACCGCAACCAGAAAACAGGATTATCATCCCTACTTGAAAGATGTGGAGGCTGAGGCCTGGGTAGAGAAGAGACCTGCCCAAGATCAATGGAGCCTGCTGGGCATCGAGGACTAAGGGCCTGGGCCTCCTGCCTGCTGTTCCTGGGCCCTAATCACCACCCCAGCCACCATGCCTTGGGCCCACTACTCCCAGAGTCCACAGGCTAGAGCTGCACAAGGCCAGAGGCCGGGTCTCCAAGCTTCAGAGAAAGGAGGCAGACAGTAATCTGGCCGTCTAGTCACTGGGGCACCTGGGAGTGTTCTATCTCACACAATATACCCGAATCTACATTTCAATTAAAACTTACTGAAAATAGAACACACACCAGCGAGGAAAAAATAAACCAGCCATAGCATTGTTCACACTTTCAGTGGCAGGAAAACGTCCCAGCCCCTGCCACCTCAGACGCATGCAGAGCTGGGCAGGGTGGAGGGCAGAGCTCAAAGGCAAGGCCCCACCTCGGTTCCTCCACCCCAATGCCACACCTACTCACTCCCCTAAACCCTGAAGAAAGAGCAAATAAAAATGATAGAGAGACAGGAAGTCCAAGCCTGAAAGGTTTTGAGAAATGCCTTCCCTGACCAGCTCCTGTGCATGGGAAAGAGGGCCCTGAGAGAAGTGGTGGCCAGCCTAGCGTCCCACAGCCGATCTGCGGCAGGGCAGGGAGCCCAGGTGTGACCCTCGCTCAGAATCCAGCCCTGGGGAGGGCGATCTGTGAGGGGCTTGAATGACACAAATACTATGAATGTTTGCTGGCCCCTGGACCTCTGCATTCAGTCAGCCAGGGCTACAGCAGCCTGCCGGAGGAAGGCATGGAGCACAGCCAGGGCCTATAACTGGGTGTACTGCCTGCGGGAGCCCAGACCACAGGTCCCCAGTCTTCAGCAGTAGTTTTCAAACCATGAACTGAGGCCCATATGTGGGTCCTGAAATCAATTCAGCGTCTGAAACCCACATATAAAAAAATTAAAAAGAATAAAATAGAAATATGAAGTGAATTACAGAGACTAAAGATACAGGATCATGATATAAAATGTAATTCTAATTGTGGTTGTAGTTTAAAAACAAACAAAAAAATGTTTTGGCCGGGTGCGGTGGCTCACACCTGTAATCCCAACACTTTGGGAGGCCATGGCAGGAGGATCACCTGAGGTCAGGAGTTCGAGACCAGCGTGACCAACACGTTGAAACTCCATCTCTACTAAACATTTTTTAAAAAATAGCCGGGCGTGGCGGTGGGCGCCTGTAATCCCAGCTACTCAAGAGGCTGAGGCAGGAGAATTGCTTGAACCCTGAAGGCGGAGGTTGTATTGAGCCAAGGTCACGCCACTGTACTCCAGCCTGGGCAACAAGAGCAAAACTCTGTCTCAAAAAAATAAATAAATAAAGGAAAAAAAAATGTTTTGCCTTGTAACAACAAAATTGCCAGATTCAAGGTCAACATAAAACACCAACAGCATTTCTCTATACCAGGCATAATCAACTAGAAAAATTTAAAAAATATGTATACCATTCATGATGTCTGGAACTTTCCCATGGTTCAGAAAAAAAGAATGAATGTTTGTAAGCGAGCATAAAGCATAAAGTAAATACAGCAAAACATTAGCAATTCATGAGTCCAAGTGAAGGACATAAGAATGGTCATTGTTCTAGTCTTTCAACTTTTCTATAGGTTGATTTTTCTTTCTTTCTTTCTTTCTTTTTTTTTTTTTTTTTTTTTGAGACAGGGTCTCACTGTGTCACCCAGGCTGGAGTGCAATGGTGCAATCACGGCTCACTGCAAGCTCGACCTCCTGAGCTCAAGCAGATCCTCCCACCTCAGCCTCCTGAGTAGCTGGAACTACAGGTGTGCACCACTAGGCCCAGATAATTTTTTAATTTTCAGTTTTTTGCAGAGATAGGGTCTCCCTATGTTACCAGGGCTGGTCTTGACCTCCTGGGCTCAAGCCATCCTCCCACCTCCGCATCCCAAAGTGCTGGGATTACAGGCGTGAACCACTGTCCCCGGCCTAGATTGACATTGTAAAGAGTAAATAAAAAGTTGGGAGAAAATACCAACCACAATAACAACAAAAATTAGAAAGCATCTAGGAATTAAGTGACTGTATAAGTCCTTACAGGTGTGAGCCACTGCGCCTGGCCTTTTTTTTTTTCTGAGATGGAGTCTTGCTCTGTTGCCCAGGCTGGAGTGCAGTGGCACGATCTCAGCTCACTGCAACCTCCGCCTCCTGGGTTCAAGCGATTCTTCTGCTTCGGCCTCCTGAGTGGCTGGGACTGCAGGCGTGCGCCACCACGCCTGGCTGATGCCTGTAATACCAGCTACTTGGTAGGCTGAGGCAGGAGAATCGCTTGAACCCAGGAGGTGTAGGTTGCAGTGAGCCAAGATTGCACCATCGTACTCCAGCCTGGGCAATAAGAGCGAAACTCCGTCTCAAAAAAATAAAAGTTAATTAGCTCCAATGAGCCATTCCATAATGTATACATATTTCAAAACGTCATGTTACACATGGTAAATATGTACAGTTTTATTTGTCACTTTAAATCCATAAATAAAAATGTAAAAATAAACTATGTAATATTATAAAGAGATCAATTTTTCCCAAATTTATCTTTAAATTCAAAGCAACCCTAATAAAAAAATCCATTTGGATTTTTTTTAGGAACTCGATAAACTTACTCTAAAATGTAAATAAATAGCAAAATTAATCTTAAAATATAGGAGTTAAATTTGCCTTACTAGATATCACAAATAGCACCACAAAGCTGTGGTGATACAAACAGCATGGTACAGATAAAAGAACAGCCCAATGAACAAAGGAGTGAACTCGGAGGTAGATGCTGCCTCTGTGGGAATGGAGCATGCAGGGAGACATCTCTGTAGTAGATGCTGTGAGGAAAACTGGCTCACTCTACAGAAAATATGAATCAGGATTATTGCCCAATGCTTCATTCAAGGATGAACTCTAGCTGAGTTAAAGACCTAAATTTGATATGTGAAACTCTAGGGATAGTGGAAGAAACTATCAGAGACTATCTTGTGGCCTAGGTGTGGGAAAGGGCTTTTCAAACAAAATTTCAAAGCCGTAAACCATAAGATTTGTTTTTGAGACGGTCTTGCTCTGTAACCCAGGCTAGAGTGCAGTGGCATGATCACAGCTCCCTGTAGCCTCCATCTCTTGGGCTCAAAGGATCGTACTGCCTCAGCCTCTCAAGCAGCTGAGGCTCCAGACATGCACCACCATGCCTGGCTAATTTTTGTATTTTTAGTAGAGACGAGGTCTCACCATATTGCCCAGGCTGGTTTTGAACTCCTGAGCTCAAGTGATCCTCCCACCTTGGCTTCCCAAAGTGCTGGGATTGCAGGCTTCAGCCATCACTCCTGGCCTGAAGTTTGAATGTGAATATATCAAGATTAAAGATTTCTGTTCAATGACACACAAGGACAAAGATAATAGAGGCTGACAGTGGGAGAGACACGTACACTGTCTAAACTCCACAAGGCATCAATATCTAGAATATACAAACCAAAACCCCAACAGAAGTGTGGGCAAAAGAGGCCAACATCACACTATATTTATTTACAGAAGAGGAAATGCCCCACTTTCACAGCACGTGAGAAGATCCTCAAAATTGTGAATGACTGGAATAAACGGCAAATTAAAACAATGAGATGTCTGCACTTATGGATGAGCAAAAATTAGAAAGACCTAAAAATGCCAAGTGTTGGCAAGGATGTGCGGATATGGGTCAGTGAGGAATGGGGGGGCGGGGTGGGGGTGGCGTTCTGAATAATATCTTGTCTTTGTTGTTAAATTAGGTGGCCCATGTGTCTCATGCCACCCAACAGCAGGACTCTGAGGTAGGCATTCCAAAGAAGAGCTCATAAGCCGCATGTGGGAGGACGTTCATTGCAGAGTGATTCCAGGTGGCAGGGAGCTGGTGGCCACCTGGGTGTCCACCCCCCGAGGAGTAGGCAGTAAGCTGTGGGGGAGACGCCATGGCAAAATACTGCACTGTCATTAGAGCCAACAATACATTATGCATAGCAGCAAGGAGGGATCTTAAAAACAGTGCTCAGTGCAAAAAGTAAGAAACAGAAGGAGATAAAATTATATTTTTGTAAATAAACAAGACACATTACCCAAGCACACCTGCAAAAAGATACACATTAACCACCTTAGATCAGTTGGCTCTGGCAGGGGTGGAATGGGAATGGGGATAGAGGGAATAAAGTGATCAAACCATGATGGTGATGTTATGCCAAGGACCAAGGAGTGGGCACGTCAGCCTCTGTACCGGGGCCAAACAAGCCTGGGAAGCTCCATGTGGAGAAGGCCAGCAGGAGACTCTTTCTCTAAGCCTAGACTAGATGAGTAAGCTGGGGGAGAGGGGACGGAGCAGGGACATGTTCAAAGGTTCCCAAAAGAGAGTGCATGGGGAAGGGAGAGAAAGACGGGCTCCCACAGCATTGCTGGACAAACAGGGCCCAGGAAGCGAAGGCACTGGGAGGCCCTAGCCGGCCAGCCTGCTGCAGGCCCACAGAGCTCGACCCAGAGCTGAGACACCCAAGGGCACTCGGATCACCTCCCCACCACACTTAGCAGCCACATCCCCCAGGTGGGGCGCAGAAGCCCATTCTCCAGGTCTCTCTGTCAGAGGCGTTAGAACCAGAGCAACTCCATTTTGAACACGGGCTGGGTAAAACGAGGCTGAGACCTGCTGGGCTGCATCCACAGGAGCTTAGGCATTCTCAGTCACAGGATGAGATAGGAGATCAGTGTCTTGGGTAGTGATTATCTGGGGCCGGTGTCGAGTGGGCAGTAAAAAGAATTTACCAAGACAATTGTAGATAAAGAAAGGCAGATTTATTTGAGAAAGTAGGAAAATACATTACAAAAAAGCAATGGGCAGGCAGGCAAGAGCGGAGCTGACTGTAAGGAGACAAAGGCTTGCTTGGGATTTTATTGCATGATGCTTGTGCTGTCTGCTGGAGAGGTCTTTGTGCAGTACTGATAATGGCAGGGTTGCAGTGAGATAACTTGTATTTTCTATCAGGGTCTGGTGATAGCTGGGCACAGGAAGATTGTGAGTTATTTGTGAAGGAGGGCTACGTGTCCTGGACCATGAGGAAAGGCGGATTTATAGCTTATCTGCTTTCTCTTTTTGCTTTCCCTTGGTCCCTCCAGCCTGACTCCCCCTCCCTAATTAGGATTTCACAGTCAGTACAAGATACAGGTCATAAAGACCCCTCTGATAAAACAGGATGCAGTAAAGAAGCTAGCCAAAACCTGCCAAAGCCAAGATGGCAATGAAAAGGACCTCTGATCACCCTCACTGCTCATTATACACTAATTATAAACATTAGCATCCTAAAAGACACTCCCACCAGCGCCATGACAGTTTACAGATGCCATGGCAAGGTCAGGAAGTTACCCTATATGGTCTAAAAGAAAGAGGAGCCCTCAGTTCTGGGAAACCCTGACCCCTTTCCTGGAAAACTCATGAATAATTCATCCCTTGTTTGGCATATAATCAAGAAATAACCATAAAAATAGCCAACCCTAGGCAGGGGCATGGTGGCTCATGCCTGTAATCCCATCCCAGCACTTTGGGAGGCCTAGGAGGGCAGATCACCTGAGTTCAGGAGTTTGAGACCAGCCTGGCCAACATGGTGAAACCCCATCTCTACTAAAAATACAAAAATTAGCCAGGTGTGGTGGCAGGCACCTGTAATCCCAGCTACGCGAGAGGCTGAGGCAGAAGAATTGCTTGAACCCTGGAGGTGAAGGTTGCAGTGAACCGAGATCACACCATCGCACTCTAGCCTGGCGGACAAGAGTGAGACTTAGTCTCAGAAAAAAAAAAAAAAAAATAGCCAACCTTGGAGCTGCTCTTCCGCCTGTGGAGTAGCCATTCTTTTGTTTCTTTACTTTTCTAATAAACTGGCTTTCACTTCACTGTGTGGACTCACAGTGAATTCTTTCTTGCTTGAGATCTAATAGCTCTCTTTTGGGGTCTGGATTGGGAGTCCTTTGCAGTAACATCTCCACAAGGCACTACTTGTGGAGATTTGGAAGCACTACTGGTCCCTTGGATAGAGGAAGCACGCTCCCCATTGGATTCTTCTTTATAATTGGATGGAGGGCTCTAATACAGAGAAATTGGATGCTCTGCTAATCTAGGGGTCGGGGCCCTTGTTTGTTCCAGGCCTGGGAAAGCAGGCCATGCCTATTCTATTGATTATATCGGGGAAGTGGGTCACACTGATCCCATAGCTGCCTTTCAACCTGGAGGCGGAGGCTACCCCACAGACCCCATTCCTCAAAGTGAGGATATAGCCCCCTTGGTCCCTATAGACACCTCCCCTTGCCCAAAGCTAGGCTGTGTGCCCAGGAAGCCAGAAGATCAGGAAACAGCACTTGCTTTGAAGGGTCAACCCTCTCTTTGCCCCAGGGCTGCAGGGAAAACTGCCAGGCTCTTAGCATTAAATCAATATTAGAACGGTTTCTTTAGAGATGCCCCTCTGCACCCTGGGACAGTCATTTATGGAATAATTCTGTTGTGATGCAGGCCCCCTCCTCCCAGCAGCCCAGACTCAGCCTAGTCTGTGAATAACAAACAGCTCCATTAACCTATTTTCCCAGCAGAAGAGCAGTCTTTCCAGAAGATTAATTCTGATTCTCCCAAGAACACAGGGATGACGTCAGTTTTTAAAATGTCATCCTTGATTATTGACTCCTGCTTTCAAGAGGTTGTTTTTTTTCTTTTTTTGTTTTGTTTTGTTTTTGTTTTTTGAGACAGAGTCTTGTGCTTCTCACCCAGGCTGGAGTGCAATGACACAATCTCGGCTTACTGCAACCTCTGTCTCCCGGGTTCAAGTGATTCTCCAGCCTCAGCCTCCCGAGTAGCTGGGATTACAGGTGCCTGCCACCATGGTTGGCTAATTTTTGTATTTTTAGTAGCGATGGGGTCTCACCATTTTGGCCAGGCTGGTCTCAAACTCCTGACCTCAAGTGATCCACCTGCCTTGGCCTCCCAAAGTGCTAGGACTACAGGCGTGAGACACGGTGCCCCGCCAAGAGTTTTAAGCAATAGAGTAAAGGATTGGATTTGGATTTGAGCAAGTTCATGCACTGCTGGGGTAGCGGGATCTGGGGCAGGGAGCCCTGGGGATGGTGGGGAGGTGGTGCGCAGTAGTGCACCTGTTCTTGTGGGAAGAAAGGAGTGGAGGGGTCCGGGGTAACAGGAGCAGGACCTGGCAGGGCATGGTGCCTTGGTGTGTTGAAGGGCGGGAAAGGGGAGAAGAGGAGAGAAGGAAGTGATCTTGGACCTGCAGGGCTGGTTCCTGGAAAGTAGGGGGTGGGGATGGGGTGTGCTTGTCAGGGCCCAGAGGAAGACTGGTTCGGCTCTGGCCCTTGGAGTGGAGTGACTGGGGTAGGAGGATTCAGTAGACTGAGGCCCCTGGGCCTGGAGCTTGGAGAAGATCTGAGCACCTGTGCCTGGAGAGTGAGTGGTCCTAGGACCCTGTGGAAGCACCTAGGGGCATGGAGAGTTCTCCACGCCCCAACTGCCTCTGACCCTACCCCATCTCTCCCATAGCTTCCCAGCATGCAGGTGAGGTGAGGGCTCTGAGTGTTGTCTGAATGCTCTGCGCCAGGTGTCAGCCAGGCCCCTTCCTATGTCCCCTTCCTTTATCCCCTCCGTCCTCACTGCTGGGTCCAGGCTGAAGTGTTCTGAAGCACTGCCCTGCCCCTGCTGAGCAATACTGGGCTCTACACAGAAGTGGGGAAAAGGGAGCCTCCTGCCCCTAAACTCTTGGGGTTGGGGCACAGCTGTCTGGGTGGCCTGAGACTCCTGCTAGCAGCCCCCACCCAATCCCTGTTCAAATGGGAGCCCAAGGGCCAGATGTGGTGGGGCAGGGGCTCCTTCCCACACTTTGGGGCCCCTCTAGGTGCCAGAGTACTTGAAACCTTCAGGTGAAACCAAAGCTTCCTAGCAAATGGGTTCCTGTCCCCACATCCAAGGGGACACCAGATCTACCCCTCTTCTGGGCCTAAATATCTTAAGGCTCAGCCAGGACCCCTTGCACACCCAATTCAGCCATATGCCCCCCACCCCCACCCTGCCTCCTCGGTGCTAATTTGTAACCTCCCAACAAGATCATTTTGCCCACTGCCCAGATAGAGCCAATTTATCAAGACAAGGGCATTGCAATAGAGAAAGAGGTTAATTCACACAGAGCCAGCTGAACAGAAGACCGGTGTCTTATTATTACTCAAGTCAGTCTCTCTGAAAACTTGGAGAATGGGGTTTTTTAAGAATAATTTGGTGGGTAGGGGGCAAGAGAGTAGGGAGTGATTATTGATTGGGTTAGAGATGAAATCACAGTGAGTCAAAGCCATCCTTTAGCACTGAGTCAGTCTCTGGGTGGGGGCCACAAGACATGATGAGCCAGTTTATCCATTTGGGTGATGCCTGATCCATCGAGTGCAGGGGCTGAAAAATATTTTCAGCACCAGTCTTAGGTTTTACAATAGTGATGTTATCCCTAGGAGTAACTGGGGAGGTGTAGAATCTTGTAGCCTCTGGCTACATGTCTCCTAAACCATAAATTTCTTTTTCTTTTTTTTTTTGAGACAGGGTCTTGCTCTGTTGCCCAGGCTGGAATGCAGTGGCATGATCTTGGCTCACTGCAACCTCCACCTCCTGGGTTCAAGTGATTCTCCTGCCTCAGCCTCCTGAGTAGCTGGGACTACAGGCGTGTGGCAACACGCTTGGGTGCTTTTTGTATTTTTAGCAGAGACAGGGTTACACCATGTTGGCCAGGGTGGTTTCAAACTCATGCCCTCAAGCAGTCCACCTACTTCAGCCATCCAAAGTGCTGGCATTACTGGCAGGAGCCACCGCTCCCAGCTGACTTCTAAACCATAATTTCTAATCTTGTGGCTAATTTATTAGTCCTACAAAGGCAGTCTGGTCCCCAGGCAAAAGGAAGTTTCTTTTGGGAAAGGGCTATTGTTACCTTTGTTTCAAAGTTAAACTATAACTATCTCCCAAAATTAGTTCTTACACCCCAAAATGAACAAGGGTAGCTGGGAGGTTAGAAGCAAGGTGGAGTCAGTTAGGTCAGATCTCTTTTACTGGCATAATTTTCTCACTGTTATAATTTTTGCGAAGGCAGTTTTAGAACTGGGAACCCAGAGCAGAATCAGTCAGAGCTCCATCAGCTGGGGAGTGGGGGCAGATGTACACATATCAGCCTAGGGGCAGGGTGGGGGCAGGTGCCGCTGCCTCTGGGCCCCAGATTGCACAGGGAGGACGCAGGCACCCCTCCTGCCCACCCTTACTCTTGAACCCTGCCAGCTGCTGCTGGCCTGTAGGACGCTGGAGAATCCAGGGACCCTGGGGACCCACAGGCCCCTCTTTGGCAATATGCAGGCAGCAGCCCCAGGTGCCGGCTTGGCTCCAGTTCTCTCCACTGGCTGGGGTCTTGGGCGGGATTTTCTCACTCCCAGGGTCGCGGGGCTACATCAGGAGCTTGCAGGGCCTGGCAGGAGGATTTAGGTGGACACTCCTAGCACTTGGGAAAACAGTCTGGCAGTTCCTCAAAAAGTTAAACATGGAGTTACCCTATGACCCAGGAAGTCCACTCCCAGACATATACCCGAGAGAGCTGAAGACAGATGTCCACTCCAAATCTTGCACATGCAGCCTGGGTTACACAGTGAGACTCCATCTCCACAAAAAAATAAAAATAAAAATTAGCCGGGCATGGGGATGCATGCCTGTAGTCCCAGCTATTAGGGAGGCTGAGGTGTGAGAATCAGTTGAGCCTGAGAAGTCGAGGCTGCAATGAGCCGTGATCACACCACTGCACTCCAGCCTGGGCCACAGAGTGAAAGCTTGTCTCAAAAAAAACCTTGCACATGAATATTCAAAGCATTATTCACAGTAGCCAAAGAGTGGAAAAATCCCAAATGTCTGTCAACAGATGAATGAATAAACAAAATGTGGTATATTCATACAATGGAATATTATCCAGCCCTAAAAAAGAATGAAGTACAGATCCATGCTACAACATAGATGGACCTTGCAAACATTATGCTAAGTGAAAGAAGCTAGACTTTGGAAGGCCAAGGCAGGAGGATCACTTGAGACCAGGAGCTGGAGATGAGCCTAGGCAACAGAGTATGACTCTGTCTCTACAAAAATTAAAAAGTTAGCTGGGCACATTGGCACACACCTGTAGTCCCACCTATTCAGGAGGCTGAGGCAGGAGGATTGCTTGAGCCCAGGAGTTTGAGGCTGCAGTGAGCTGTCATCACGTGACTGCACTCCAACCTGAGCAACAGAGTGAGACCCTGTCCCCCCGCAAAAAAAAAGAAAAGAAAAGAAAGAAAGAAGCCAGACTCAAAAGGCCACATATTGTATGATTTCAGTATATGAAATACCTGCAATAGCCAAATCCATTGAGATAGGATTTGAGGTTGCCAGGGGATAAGGGGATAAGGGGAGGGGGAAATGGAGAATGCTTGGGTATGAGGTTTCTATTGGGGTGGTGAAAATCCCGACCTCTAGATTAGCAGAGCATCCAGTTTCTCTGTATTAGAGCCCTCCATCCAATTATAAAGAAGAATCCAATGGGGAGCGTGCTTCCTCTATCCAATGGACCAGTAGTGTTTCCAAATCTCCACAAGCAGTGCCTTGTGGAGATGTTACTGGAAAGGACTCCCAATCTGAAATTAGATAGTGGTGATGGTTGCACAGTTTTGTAAATATACTAAAAACTACTGCATTTTATACTTTAAAGGATGAATTTTATGGCATGTAAATGATATCTCAATAAGAAAAATTAAAAAGATATAGTCAGAGAAGTGTCACTCCCTGCTCTTCCCTGCCATCCTATCCCATTCAACAGTTCTTTCCACTCCTTTCCACCTGTCCCTGTAGGTAGCCAATCGCACCAGTTTCTGATCTTTCCTTCTTGTACTTCTCTGCATAGATGAGCAGACACCTGTGTATGTTCTTATATTGTCTTCTCTCTCCATGTGTGTTCTGGGATTCACACTATCAATTCAATGTGCTCCTCCTCATTTTCTTTTACAGCTGCTTAATGCTCCATTGCTTGGATATACTACAATTTATTCAACCACTCTCCCACTTGTGGGTATGTAGATTGTTTCCAATATTTGCAATTAAAAAGAACGCGTCACTGAAAAAGGCTTTGCATGTGTATTTCCATACTGCCAGAGGTATGGGTTCTGAGTAGATTCCGAGAAGTGGAGTTGCCTCGGGTTAAAGGGTACATGCGTATGTAATTTTCTTAGGTATTACCAATTCCCCTAGAATTGTACCAAATTGTACCAAATTGTATTCCCACCAGCAACAGCTGTGAGTGACTGTTTCCCTACAACTTGGTGAACAGAATGTGTTGTGATCTTTTTTATTGTCAGTCTGAAAAGTGAAAAATGGCATCTCACTGTAGAGCGATTTGCCTCGCTCTAATTACCAGTGTCCTTGAATATTTTTTTCATAAGTTTGAGGGCCATTTTAATATCTTTTTTGGTTAGTTACCTGTTGGTGCCTTTCCCCTCACTTTACCATTGGATTTGGTGGTTTGTGGTATTTTGTTATAGCAGCCCGAGCTGACTAAGACAGGTGGCTTTGTTTTTTACACTTAGATCCCTAATCCATTCAGTTTATTCTTTTGTTGGATGTGTGCTATGGTTTAGATGTTTGTCCCCTCCGAGGCTCATGTTCAAATGTGATTTCTAGGGTTGGAGTGGGGCCTGATGGGAGGTGTTTGGCTCATGGAGGTGGTCCCTCATGAATAGATTAATGCCTTCCCTGGGGGTGAGTGACTTCTCACTCTCTTAGTTCCTGGGAGAGCTGCTTGTTGAAAGATTCTGGCACCCTCTCCCCTCTCTCTTGCTTCTCCTCTTGCCATGTGATATCTGCTCACATCAGCTCTCCTTCACCTTCCACCATGAGTGGAAGCAGCCTGAGGCCCTCACCAGATGCCCAGTCTTGAACTTTCCAACCATCAGAATTATGGGCCAAATAAACCTTTTTTCTTTATAAATCACCCAGTCTCAGGTATTCCTTTGCAGCAACACAACACAAAATATGACAGTGTAACATATGGATTTAATTTTATCTTTTTCCAAATGGCTCCCAGTTGTCCCGGCATTATCTATTGCAAAGTCTATGTTTAGTGTGTAGCAAAGGCAACATCTCAAATTAGTGGGGTAAAGATGTTTTGGGTCTAATCCTAGATTTTCTAGTCTATTCCAATTTATCTATTCATGTACCAGAACCATCCCAGTTTTAATTACAGAAGCTTTTTTTTAATTTTTTTTTTAATGTCTGGCAAGTCTAGTTTTCTCTCATGGTTTTTCTTTTCCAATGTCTTCTTATCTGTTCTTGCAAGTTTATTTTTCTATGTGAACTTTTGTATCAACATGTCTATCTTCATAAAATACCTTGCTGTTTCTTTTATTGGGATTACATGGAGTTTAACATTAACTTAGGGAGGACTAACACCATTACAATGTTGACTTTTCCTGTGCAAACAAAGGGATATTTTTCTGTTTGTTTTCCTTTCGTGTCTTTCAAAAATGTTCTAAAAATTTCATCATGGCCAGGCGTGATGGCTTACGCCTATAATCCCAGCACTTTGGGAGGCCAAGGTGGGCAGATCACCTGAGTTCAGGGGTTTGAGACCAGCCTGGCCAACATGGTGAAACCCCATCTCTACTAAAAATAAGAAAATTAGCCAGGTGTGGTGATGCACACCTGTAATTCCATCTACTAAGGAGGCTGAGACACAAGAATCACTTGAACCCAGGAGGCGGAAGTGAGCTGAGATTGCGCTACTGCACTCCAGCCTGGCGACAGAGTGAAACTCTGTTTAAAAAAAAAAAAAAAAAAAATCCTCATATAGGTTTATACATAAAGGCCATTATATTTTACATGTTAATTTTGTATCCTGCTACTTCACTGAACTCCTTTACTATTTGAATTAGTTTTATCATTGATTCTCTGGGGTTCTTCAGGTATATTATGCCGTATGTAAATAGAAATAGTTCTCCTTCTTCTTTACCATTCTTAGACCTCCAATTGATTTATCTTGTCTAATTGCATTGGCTAATACATCTAGTACAATGTGGAATAGTAGTGGAGATAATGGCATCCTTGCCATGTTTCTCTTCTTTCTTTCTTTCTCTTTTTTTTTTTTTTTTTTTAGAGTCAAGGTCTGACTCTGTCACCCAGGCTGGAGGTCATGGCATAATCAGGGCTCACTGCAGCCTCAACCTCCTGTGCCCAAGGGATCCTCCCACCTCAGCCTTTTGAGTAGCTGGAGCTACAGGCAAATGCCACCAAACCTGGCTTTTTTTTTTTTTTTTTTTTTGTATTTTGTTTTGTAGAGATGGGGTCTCGTTTTGTCACCTAGGCTGGCCTCAAACTCCTGGCCTCATGCAATCCTCTCATAGCAGTCTCCCAAAGTGTTGGGATTGCAGGCATGAACCACTGTGCCTGGCCCTTGTGATGTTCTTGATCTTAGTGGAAATGCTTCCAGTGTCTCTTGATTAAATAAGATGCTGGTTTATAGGACTATATCTTATCATATTGAGAAAGTATCCCTCAATTCCTATTTCACTGAGTGTTCTGATCATGAATGGGTATTGATCAAATACCCATTTCTTAGCATTTATAGGGAAATAAATGAGCATATTATTCTATCCTTAGGTTCATTCATATGGTACATGCTTGTTGTACATTGAATTGGATCCCATAGAAGGAATTGACCCTGATGATACCTTTATCAGAATTAGGGATACCTTTATCTTGAACTTCTAGCCTCCAGGACTGAGACAATACATTTCTGTGGTTTAAGCCGCCCAGCTTGTCATTATGGCAGCCCTAGGAAACTAAAGCAATGTTATTAATGGATGGATTTTTCTAATATTAAAGCTACTCTGGAGGTTGAGGCAGGAGAATCGCTTGAACCCGGGAGGTGAAGGTTGCATGCAGTGAGCTGAGATCACGCCACTGCACTCCAGCCTTGGTGACAAGAGCAAAACTCTGTCTCAAAAAAAAAAATCAACCTTGCATTCTTGGAATAAATCCCCTTGGTCTGACTGGTTTTTAATAATATCCAGGATAGTAACAAAATATAAGCAGTGTTTCAGAGAAGGATGCACTTGAAAACAACTCAGAGGTCATCTTGTCTCAATATCCCAATTTCCATCATACCTGTTCTGCCCTGGAGTCCCTTGTGAGCTCCCATTTTTGACCACACAGGGGAGCACCATTAGCAACTATTCCCCATTGAAAGTTCTGTGTCTGATGGGCCTTCTCACCCTGCAATCTTGACCTGCCCCCCACTCACCTGAGCTGGCCAGATGAGAATGGAATGAACTGGTTAACAGGGTGATTTTTAATATTCCTCCTAGAGACACCAAGCCTTAGGAGCCTCCACTTTGAGCCACTCCCCATGCCATGGCTTCCTTTAGGGTTCCCACACAATAGCTAGACAATTAGGTCTGTTGGGGTTAAAAAAAACATGATTATCATAAGTTTCACCTGGGAAATCCTATTACACACAGGAGCAGTGAAGATAGGGGTTTTCTAACCTGGGCAGAGAAGATTCTGTCTCTAGGCTCTGGTAAGATAGAGGGTATAGAGTCTGGCAGAACCAGGAAGAGAGGGGTGGATCAGCTCTGGGTGACAAAAGCTCTCCCAGGTAGAGGAGAAAGGGTTGTGCTATGAGGAAATGAGTTCCCAGTTACAGTGGCATGCAAGCAGAGGTGGGACAGCCAGTCAAGGAGCCTGCAGAGGTGACCTTTTCCTGGAGGAGATAGGAAGAGGGGAGGGAAAGGCCACAAGAGTGGAGTCAGACAGGGTAGGTTTGGATTCCAGTTACTAATTGTGTGACCTGGGGCATCTCCCTGAGGCTTGGTTCTGTCATCTGGAAAATGGACTAATCAGAGCTGCTGCAGAGGGCGGTTGTGAGAAATGGGAAGTGCACCTCCACATCAGGCCCTGCGATGGTACCATTAGATGACTCAGTTTACAAAAACTGACCAGCAGGATCCCGGGCCAGAGCATCATCAAAGTCCCACCTTTTCCCCAACCTTGTTGGGCAGATCTGGCTCTTCCTGGCCTATCTTGGGGACCTCTCTCTCCCCCAAGAGCAGGGCCAATGCTCTCTCCACCCGGCCACCAGGGTGGGTGTCCTGGGCAGGTCACTCTCGCTAGGCCTCTTTCCTCACCTGTCGGAGAAGGTGGAGCTGCTGGAGATGATTAAAGGACTGGGCCCTTCCAGTGCTAACCTGCTAGGGTGGCTGGGCTTCTCACTGGCCATGAGTGCATGTCTCTGCTTCTGGGACTCAATGTCTTCACAAAATGAGGGGCTGGGCCAGATGACAATAACACCAGCTAGCACATGCTGAGCTCTTACTCCAAGCAAAGGGCAACCATGAGGGCTCCGTATGTCCCGGCCCATTTAATCCCACAACAACTCCATGGTGCGACTGTTGCTATGCTGGCTTTATAGGAGAGGATACTGGCACAGTGAGGTTGGGTCACTTGTCTGAGGTCACTCAGCTAATATGAGCCCAGGCAGAGCCCATGCTTGCAACTACTGCACAATACCCTCTTGTGGCTCCAATGCTTTGAGATACAGAAGGGGGTCTGAGCATCCTCTGAACCCCACTGTTTTGTGGGCTGAGGCAAACATGCCTTCTCAGACACAACCCCAGCCCCACCTTGGAACACATGGGAGTTGCCCAGCCCAGAGACAATGCTGCCCAGTATCCTACACAACCGGGCCTTTATCGATCCCCGTGACTTGCCTGTACCTGGTCATCACACACTCCAGCTAGAAGCCCATTTTACAGACAGGGAAAAGGATAGAGGACCTGCCCAGATCACACAGCCAGTAACTGGCAGAGTGAGGACTGGAGCCCAGATCTACTTGGCTCTACCAAGTGCTGCTGTCTTCCTGACAATGACCCTTGGCCTCTGCCCTCCAGGAACTTTGGCCTTGCAGGGGAAACCTTGGCCCCACCAGCAACTCTGAGAGACGCAGCCTGAGAAGGGCCATAGGTGAGGGGTGGATGCTGAGCAAGGGAGCTTTGGGATGCTGCAGCACAGGGAGGAAGGAAGAGTCCTTCAGACGGCCACAGATCAGCACGGGCATGGTTTCAGGTGGGGAGAGTAGAGCCCCTGAAGTGACTTTTGAAGGGCTGGTGAAGCTGCTGCTCCCAGTACAGGGCATGGAATAAGGTTAGGGGAGATGGGGGAGTCAGATGGGGTGCAGTCTTAGAACACTCTTCTATGGGTGGCGGGTCTCAGCTGCATATGTGAAAGTCTTCTTTGGTTGGATAGGAGGCTCCTGAGGGGGCTGGGGCTACTCTTAAGGGAGAAGCATCTGGGTGGCCTGGGACAGAGGCAGGGAGGTTGGGGAGAAGCTAGAGAAGTCCAGGTGACTGAGAGTGAGGTGAGGCAGAGACTCCTCTTAGTGGAAATAAAGGAAAATCATGAGTCTTTTCAGGGGGAATTTCAGGCAGCTAGCTAGCTTTGAGAAGTAAATGAGCACCTTGACAAGCAAGAAGGTAATTGAAGCTTCAAACAAGGGCCACCCAAATAAGTTAGAGCCACAAGATGTCTGGTTCCCTATAGAAACTAAAGATAACATCTTGACCTATGTCCCTGAATTGTTTTTCACAGCTGTCACTTAGGCCTCAGATAAGGGGAAACTGAGGGCTGTTCTTTAAATTTCTTCCCAAGGGTTCTGTAAAGAGTCACACCCATAAGCCAATGCTTAACTCTCCTATCTGTGGACCCCAGGTTTTTAGACAGTCTTGCTTCCTAAGCCAATTGCAAATCACAGAATCTCTGAATCCACCTATGACCCTGCCTCAAAATGTCTCACCTTTTTGGGCCAAGCCAATGTATAGCTCCAGAGTATTTATTTATGACTTTGCCTATAACCTCTGTCTCCCCACCTTTAAAAAGCCTTACATGTAAACCATTGGGGAGTACGGGTCTTAAGCATTAGCCGACCTATTCTCCTTGCTTGGCACCCTGCAATAAATGCCTCCCTTTCTGCCGCTGCAAATCCTGGTGTCAGTGTTTGGCTTTGCTGCACTGGGTGGGCGGACCCAAGTTTGTTTCGGTAACACAAGAGGTTGACGAAATCATTAACTGAGACTTCGAAACAAATTGGAGGCGGAGAATGAACGGGCCTGAGACGCTCCACCAGCGAGTGGGCCGATGGGCTCATCAGATCAGATGGGCGTCTGTCCTGCTGCCTCAGGGCGGGGGGTGGTGGCACCCCTGAGCTCCTACTGTAGGCAAGAACTAGTCACTCCTAAACCTTCTCTATCGGATTCCCCAAGCGGCCTGGGGTGGGTAGAGATTATAGTCCCCGTTTTACAGATCAGGAAATGCAGGCTCCGTGCCATCCCAGGGCATTCCGGTAGCCAGTCACGGACAGAGAGTCAAACATGAGCCCGAGCCCGGGAGCCCATGGCAGCACGGGATTAAGTCCTCAACACGGGCCGGGGTCAGTTTTCCCATCTGACAGAGGCCCTCTGCTGCTCACAGGGGCCTGGGCTCCCACTTCTCCATCCGAACACTTGGGATGGATGTGAAGGTGGAGCCCGGAAAGGGAGGGGCGCCGCCCACCAAGTCCTGGTTCTGGCAGGCACCCTGGCCCTTGCGGGTCCTCGGTACTACACGCCGGCCCCAAGTCAGCCGCGGCCCCGGCCCGCCCTGTGGGGGCTGAACCCCAGCCCCGGCCCGATCCCTCACGGTGCAGCCAGCCCTTGGGAGGCTGCCCATGGGGATGCGCACCAACCGCAGACAGATAGGCTGGGAAGGAGAGAGAACGAGGGCCCGACCGAGCCGGTAGAGGCGGTGGGTGCCGCTAGGGGCCCCAAGTCCGCGTTCAACACAGGGGCTGGAATGAGACCGCTCCTCTGAGCGGCCGCCCACCGCACCAGTGCGCATGGGCGCACCCGGCCACCGGGCCGCCCACCCCGCCCCACGGGAGACCACGCCTCCGGCTCGCAACGGGCAAATGGGCGGAGGCCGCGGGCGGGGCGGGGCGGAGCCGGGCCCAGCTGGCCGAACCCGGGGAATGCGAGCGCCAGCCCCCGCCGCAGGCCAGTCCCAGCTGGATCTCCGGCCAGAGCCCGAGGCTGCTGCGCCGGGCGGCTGCAGCCTCCGCTCCAGCGCCCGCGCCGTGCCCTG
Source organism: Homo sapiens (assembly GCF_000001405.40). Lineage (NCBI taxonomy): Eukaryota > Metazoa > Chordata > Mammalia > Primates > Hominidae > Homo > Homo sapiens. The sequence continues at coordinate 77,067,056 of NC_000011.10, forward strand.
CATCCCGGGAGCCCGGCTGGACCCGCGGCGGCTCGGCCGGTAGGAGGCGGGCGGAGGGAGGCGTGTGCTTCTGTGTGTGTGTGTGTGTGTGTTTCGGGGGGGTGTGTGCGGGTGCAGCGCGGGCCAGTGATTGCTCCGGGACCACGAATCAGTGGAGGGGGCTGCACCTCCCGCGGGCCCGGGGGGAAAGGAAGTGAGCGCTGGCTGGGGGGCGGGGTCCTGGAGCATCCGCCTGGGCCCCCTCGGCTCGTCCCCACCCCCACCCCCGGCGAGGAGTCTTTTTTTCACCTCCCTCTGGGTGTCTCCGAGTCGTTTTCCTAGTGCGGACGCGCTGGAAGCGCCTAACACCCGGGGCTAGACTGTCACTTCCTCTCATCTTCCTTACAGTTCCCCCCTTCTCTTCCCTGCTTAACCCCCCTTTCATCCCTGCAATCCACCAACCCCTTCTGGGTGCTCCACCACCCAGGCCTGGGGAAGGGGCAGGGCCGAGGCTCCTACTGCCCCAGCCTATCCGCTTCTTGGCACTACTCCCCAGGTTGAAAGGGGGCTTTTCTCCTTGACTGCAGGGCGGGCGCACGTGTGTGTGTGTGTGTGTGTGTGTGTGTGTGTGTGTGTTGCGGGAGTGTGGGGGAGTGGTCTGGGAGGGAATGGATCTTTGTTTCTCAGACCTCAGAGTTCCCACCTCTGTTCCTTTGCGTTGGGGGTCTCGGAAGACTGGCCTAGGGGACCAGAGGCGAAATAGGACAAAAGATCATTAACAGGTGCGACGTTCTCTCTCCCAGTCATTTCATGTGGTGGGATTCACCCCCAAGTTCCATACAGATCAGAAGAGTGGGGCACAGAGAAGCGAAGTCAGCTGCCCTCTCAGGATTGCTGAGCCAGAATTTGAACCCGGGTCCGCCTGGCTCTCATCCCAGAATCTTCTCCCTACACCTGTGGTTTAGAGAGAAAAGTACTGAGGGCGACTATCCCAGGACTCAGGGGAAAGAGAGATCTGGGCAGACTTCTTGGAAGAGAGGGGCTTACGGGTGAGGCTCAGCCAACTCAATGAGTCTGAGGCCTGCTGGGGGAACCACTGTGTTTTGCAAGGATTGACACCTCCCAGGGTCCTCGGGCTGGTCCTTGCTCCTGTCCCCAGGGTCTGGGGGTGGGGTGGTGTGGCTGCCTTTGCCTCCTGGGCAGGGTATGGTGGGCCCAGCTGCTGCTGCAGGCCAGGTCAGGCTAGTTGCCAGCACACAGAGGTGCTCAGGCGGGGTCTTTGCCCTGAGGAGCCTCTCTTCTGACAAGACAGGCAGTGGGTCCACAGATAAGGCCCTGTCCAGAGTTGTACCCAGTGCTGGGAGCACAAGACAGGGACTGATGGGTGCCCGGGAGCTGGGGATGAGTTCACTTGCAGATTCGTTGGGGCTGGGTCTTGAAATCCACCAAGCAGAAAAGAAAAGGCAGGTCATTGCAGCCCCAAGGAACAGCATGAGTAAAGGCCTGGCAGTGTGAAAATGAATGCTGGTGGGGTGGATTGCGGATTAGATAGGTCAGATGTGTGTCCAAGAAGGGCCACCTTTGGCTGCAGTAGTGGGTGGGCTTCCACTGAGGGCTATAAGGAGGAGGCCAAAGCAGGGAGAGGGCCCTCCCTTCTGCTCTCCTCTGCTCCCCACCCAGGGCTAGGCTTGGCAGGGGAGGAGGGACCCTGATAAAGTTTCCCAGAGCAGGGGTGCTGGGGGCAGGAGGTGCCCAGGGGCTAAGGGGCTACACAGGGTCCCAGTGCTGGGGGAAGGTAGGTGGGGCTGCCTCTGTGAGATGGGGACCACCATTGGGGGTGGAGCAGGTTGGGAGTAAGTTGACTGTTGGACAGGGTGGTTGTGAGATGCCTGTGGGTTTTTGTGGGTGACATCTGGGACACTGCTCCCAGGCCAGCACTGTCTCTGTCTGCTTCTGCGCCTGCTTTCCTGGCAGGCTGTCAGATCAGCCCTGGAGTCCTGGTCCCCAAACAGGAGGCCTCCTGCGCCCTCAGTGGGCACCCTCTCCTACCTGCAGGGCCTAAATCATGTGTCTGTTCTTTCTCTTGGCTGAGACCATCTCTGTACCTTCCTACTTGCCTATGACCTTGAGGCGGAGAACTTCCCTTTTCTGTCTCAGTTTTCTCATGTGCGGAATGGGGATAAATGCTGCCTATTCACAGGGACTCGGGGGATGATGAAGATGAACTTAGATCATGTCACTGAACGCATCTTTCTAAGTACATGGTGTCTGGTAGCCATTGTTACTAATAGCAGCTGGCAATCAGCATCACTTAGTTCCCTCCCTGGGGATGAGGGGCTGACTTTGGGAGAAGAAGGGTGGAAGGAAACAGTCCTCTCCTATTGAAACGGAAGCCTCTCTTGGCTTTAGTGGGTGAAGGGGACTTACGGGAGTGATCTGTATCTGCCTGACCAAGTCCCCTGGCTTCCCCCAAAAGCTTCTAGCCCTTGAGGAGAGGCAAGGGCTGAGCAGCCGGGAGCACCCTAGAGTACAGCATGTAAAGGTTGAACAGAAAGCCCAGCAGTGGGCCCTGGGCTCCCCCAGCTGCAAAGAGCAGGGTCTGCAACACCCCCCACCCCTCCCCAGCAGCCTCCTGGGCAGCTGGCAGCAGTCTCTCTGCAGCTGGGCTTTTCACCCGTTCTGTCTCTGTCCCCATCTATTCAAGTGTTTTGAGTGCCTTCAGAGCCCCTCCCAGGCACCTCTCAAGTGCCCTCAGAGAACTCTTCTGCCTCTCCATCCCTGGTCCCCGCTCAAAACTTTCCTGGGCTCACCGTGGTCCTGAGGCTTGGCCTTCCTGCTGCCCACCTCTGAGCCCTCCTCCAGGCTGGTGGAGACACCCTGGGATTGCCTTGCTTTAGTGCAGGCAGAGCTGCTCACTTGCCTATGAACTCAGGCTTTGCCTTTCCCTGCTCACCCAAGGCAAAGGGGCCAGGTCCCTTTGCGGTTGGAATCTGGATGTCTTAGGAAGCCAGCCTCAGGCTTGGATGGGGAAGCTGTGGATGATGTGTGCTTACCCGCAAGGGCCTGGGTTACTGCTCCCCATTCTGGTTGTTTGCACGTGTGCTTCCAGGGACCCAAGTTTTCCCAGGGATAGGGGTCTGGGTGGGCAACAGCTGAGGCTGCGGTGGCCTGTGGGTGTGTGCTGTGGTTTTCTCCCACAGTGGGCATGCAAGAGAAGGGGCTGGTGACCAGAGCACATCAAAGCCCATCCACTGGTCCCCAGCTGCCCTTCACTGTCAGGATGTGCCCCCGGGGATGGTGGGCAGAAGGCTGGGAGCCCATTGGCTTGACCCACCTGCCCTGCCCAGCCAGCCCCTGCTCAGCCAGTGCCCCCTGCTGCTGTGTAACTTCTGCCAGTTGGAGTGAGGTGGGACCCAAGTGATTTGTTACTCATAGCAGGAACTAAGAAACTGATGTGGGGTGACTGTTGTACAGCGGAGCAACTCAAGGTGTAAGAACTTCATTTCCCTCATGGGCTTCTCCGGGCAGGAGAGGCGGGTGGGACCCCATGACACCCCGGCTCCCATTAGCTATTCTTCAGGAACAGCATCGTTCAAGAGCATATTCCTTTCCTATCACTGTTGCGACAAATTGCCACACTTGGTGGCTGAAAACAACACAGATTTATGCTCTTACAGTTCCGGAGATGAGAAGTCCCCCATGAGTCTAATGGAGCTAAAATCCAGGCTGGCTTCTTCTGTGGGATCTAGGGGAGAGTCCATTCCCTGTCTCTTCCAGCCTCCGGTGGCTGCTGGCATTCCTTATGGCAACATTGCCCCAGTCTCTGCTTCTGTCTCATTGCTCTTTCCTCCTCTGCAGGCAGATCCTCTCCACCTCCCTCTTATAGGGACACTTGTGATTACATTCAGGGCCCACCCAGATAAGCCAAGATCGTCTCCCTGTCTCAAAATCCTTAATCGCATCTTCAGAGTCCCTTGTGCCATACAAGGTGTCATTCACAGGTTCTAGGGATTCGGTTGGGAGTATCTTTGGGGCCGTCATTCAGCCCACCCCAGGAGCTGACAGCAGCGTCACTGCAGGCACCATTCCCAGCTCCCGCCCCCACCCCAGTGCCCACCGAGGCTGGCTTCCCCAGTCACAGTCCTGTTTCCCCCAGGAGGTCACTCACAATGTCTGTCTCCCCTCCAGCCTGGGAGCCTTGGAGGCTGGGCGCTGCTGTAGCCCTGGCCCCAGTGTGCAGCCTGAGCCCCTGGTAGCCAGAGTTCAGGGATGTTTGGAAGAAGGGCATCCCTGGCACAGCCGCATGGGTGGTCCCCAATGTCTGGACCCTGCCTGCCTTTGACAGCGTGCTGGGCCTTTCAGGGTGGAGTGCAGCTCATTTCAGACATTCACGCAATAAGCCCAGTGCTTTGCAGGGTCATTTGATGCTCACCATCACCCTACAAGGGGGTGGGGCTGGGGAGTCCCGCTTTACAGGTGAGAATACCAAGGCCTATTACGGCCAAGTCCTGTCTGGTATGTGGGGTCAGGTGAACAGGCTGGGCCAGTAGAGCAGAAAATACCTTTATTTTACAGATGAGAATTCTGAAGCACAAAGAGGTTAACTGCTTTGCACCTCGCTGGCCTCAGTCTCCCCATCTGAGGACGGGTATGTGGACAGGATGTTGCCCAGCCTGACATCTTGGGGCTCTGGTTCACCCTCTGCCTGGGTATGGGGAGCAGGCGCTGGCATTCTGGGTTGCCATGGCCAGGAATAGGAAGTGGCTTGGAGCAGTGCAGTGGGCCTGGAAGTGCTGCTTGCCCAGAGACATGGTCTGCCATTGCAGGAGGGGGTAAGCCCTCTGGCGCCTCAGGAAGAACCCTAGCCAAATCCCAGAGCCCCGGCCTGCCTGCTGCGGACCTGCCCCTGTGTGAGTCTCCTTTCCCTCCTCATGGCCAAGGCCACGCCATACTGGGCCCCGCTTCTCTCAGGGGCCTGCCTATAGCCTGGCCTCCCTGCCTGCATCCTGGGCCTCCTTTCCCGTTGACCTTCTCATACATCATCACACCCCATCTCATGCCTGAGTTCTTAGCCTGGCTTTCAGGGCCAGCCACAACCTGGCTGTGGCAATATTTCTCTACTTCCTCTTCCCTCTCCCCTGCACCCTGTCCTCCAGACTTGCCTGAATGATTTCTTCCTCCAGAATAATCTTTCCTCCCCCAAACCTTCCACCTCCTCCATCTCTTGAAATCACAATCTACCCTTTGAGATCCCGTTTTGTTGCTACTTCCTCCATGCAGCCGTCCCTGCCTGGTGTGAACGAATCACTTCCTTTGAGAGCAGATCTCGCTGCCTTGTACTGAGGCCTCTGCCTCTCGCCTTCACCAGGCTGACCTCTAGGGCAGATTCCCATCTGACTCCTCACTGCCCCTTGGTCAGGCACAGGGAAGGTGTGCAAGTGAAGTTGGAATGGGGGACACACCTGAGCAGGACACCCAGGGCTGGAGAGTGGGTCACTGCCCGAGGGAGGGGTGGTGGGCCAGGCTGAGCAGGACTTTGACATGGGACAGGTTCGTGCCTCTGCCCTGAATGTCCTCTTTCCCCTCAGAGCCTCTGTCTCCCATTTGTGTAATGAGAACAGCACAACTCATTTCTGAGGTTGTGCAGGAGCTTGTGCTGAGGAATGGCGCACTTCAGTTTCCCAAAGTGAGAGATGGGCACTGTCTCACCAGTCTTTAAACCTTGAGTCTTGGAGATAGTCTAGGGACTTGAGTCTAGGACTGCCTGTACAGGAAGTGGAGAAAAGGGCTGTCCTGGTGATAAACCCGCCAGATTGAAAAATAGTGTGTAGTGTTCCCCTCCCTGCCACTCAATCACGAGAGCCTGTGGCCAGAGAGGGCAGGAGCTTTCCTGGGCTCACACAGCACAGTGAGGCAGAGGTGGCTTCAGTGACCTGATCAAGTCCCATTTTGTTAGGTTGTCTCTCCGGTGGGGAGTGAGCGAGCACACAGCCCCCACCCCACCCCGGGTGAGAGAGAATGTCCTGCACAGGGACGCCCAGCTGTATCTACCTGCTGTCAGCACTTTCTCTGCAGGACCTGGTGCTGGACTGGGAGCCCCGAGGTAGGGTGGCCACCGCACTGGGTTGCCTGGGACTGTGGGTTTCCTGGATGTGGTTCTTTCAGTGTTAAAACTGTGGTGAGCTGCTCACCCGAGGCTTGGCCTGGGGCTGCCCCCTGCCCAACAGTCTCCACCTCCACAAGTGTGGCCAGGTCCTTGACTTCTTCCTGTCCTGCCCAAGGCCTGCAGGAACCCCTGACCTGGAACACCCTTTCAGAAGCTCCTCTCCCTTGGCCGCTTGCTTACAGATGCTGCTTACAACAGCGGCTCCTGCTGTCCCTACACTCCCTCCTGCTCACAGCACCCTGGGCGGGACCCAATTGCCAGATGAAGAACAGCTGCAGGGTCAGGCCTCTGACTCAGTCAGAGACACACAGAGCCAGGCCTGCAGGCCAGCACAGCCCTCACATGCTGTGCTGTGAGGCACCAGGGGACATCACGGCTGCAGGACCACCATTCCCCCAGGACCAGCCAGAGACCCTGTTCCCCATACACACATGGCCCTGCCCGCAAGGCCCTCTGTGTCTCCTAGCAGGAGAGCGGCCTGGTGGGATTTATGTTAGAAAGATCACTCAGCAGCCTGGTGGAGAATGGATTGGACACAGAAACGATAAGGGAAGGAGAGGGGAGGGGAGGAAATAGACAGGATTTCCCAGCCCTGGTGCCAGCTCGCCTGGTGGTGGCTGGAGTGACTCACTGGGCCTGGTTGCCTTGGCTCTGGCGCCAGAACCCAGGAGCCCAGAGCTCTGGGTGGCCTAGGGGCTGGGAGCCTGAGGTGGCTCTGAGCCTGGCTCTCCCTCCACCGCACATTCTCCCTCCCCACCCTGCCATCCATTCCTCAGCACACAGTGCGTCAGAGAGACAGGGGCCTGGGAGGTCACAGTACACCCACGAAAGGACAAAGAGACATGCTTTAAGCATCTTATTAGATGGTGACTTAGGGAGCAGATGGAGGATGGGGTATGGGATAGAAGGGGATAAATACATTAACAAAATCAAAAACACAAATAACCGGGCAGCCACCAAATGGAGTTTCTGCCCTTTCTAGTCCCCTCTGGCTTCTGGCCTTCCCTGCAATGGCTCAAGCCAGGGCTCTTCCAGTCCTGGGTCACTGCATCAGCATCTGACCTTTAGTCTTGCCCCTGGCTCCCCTGTGCCCCAGTAAATGCTGATGCCCCTCTGCCTGGCATCCCCAGCCCTGCAGAGCTGGTTCTGCCAGCTTCCCCCCAGGCTCCGCCCACCCAGTGCCCTCCCACCTTTTCCCTCTCCCTGTGCCACATTGTACCCTGCTGTGCCCTTGCTGCTTCTGGCCTATCCTTCTGGCCCTGCTCGGGCTCCATCTCGGAAGGCCACCACCATTCACCCCCAGCCCCCTCCTCATCAGCCAGCTCAGCGCCAGCCCAAATCGGGCACCAGCAAAGATGTGCAAGTTGGAGTTGACTGTGTCCCCTAAATGATGAAGCCCCAGCTGTTCAGCCCTCCCCTGTTCATATGGCAAAAGGTGGTGGTGGGGGGTGTCTTCCCTTAAGAGGGGAGAAGAGGTTGAGGAAGGGAGGTAGGGGAAAGGGGGCTTTGATTGGCAGGGAATGGGTGAGGGTGTCACTGGCTCCTTCGGCCGGCACTGGGTGATACTCACTCTGCCAGGCCTGTGCTTTGCGCTGGGCACCACTGTGGGGTACGGGGCAGTGGAGCACAGGAGAAGGACCCTCAGCAGGCATTCCTGCATTCTCCCTTCACCCCCACCAGTGGCTGGCCACCAGGAAGAGCTGAGGCTCTCTCCCACTCGGCCCTGGAACCCAGCCCCTCCGCATCCACACGTGAGACTGCCAGTCCAAGTCCTGTGGCCGTTCTTCTGGTCTTTCTGGTTTAGTCTTGTCCTTTTCTAGTCCGTTTCCCATGTGGCAGCCACATGGGGCTCCGCAAGACAGCCGTGACCAAGTCCCTCCGCTGCTCAGCACCCTTCCACACTCCCCATCACCTTAGGATGAAGCCACACGCTGCACATGGCATCCCGGGGCCTCTGGCGGGATCCTCTGCAGCCTCATCCATGATCCCTGCCCCACACCCCTCCCCTCCCCTTTTTTTCTGAGCACCATGCCACCCTCCTCAGGGCTGAAAACATCCTCCTAGGGATGGTCTCTGGCTGGCATCTCCCCTTCTCAGGTGCAGAGGAAACCTTGCAGGTGTGTGCTTGGTTGGGGTGTCAGGGTGCCACACACCTGTAGGACCTTCTTGTGGACTGCTCCAAGTGTTGAGACACTCTTGAGTGTCAAGTCCGCAAGCGTCCTGAGAGCTAGAGGAGGAGGCTGGGACCAGAGAATTGGAGGCTTGCAGAAGGTCACACAGCCTGCGTGTGACAAAGGCTAGTGCTCGGACCCAGCCTGGGGCACTTTCCCACTCCGCCTCCCTTCCCTTTAGGTCAGCCCACCTAGGTATGTGGTGTCCAGCTGGACAGGGCTACAGCTGTGAAGGGCCCGGATCTGCTGGGACCTGGGTTACCACATTCAGCCAGCCCTTCCTCCCAGGGCCACTGTGCTGGCTTTTTTTGTTTACCTTTTTATTGAAGCATATGTAACTGATCTACAGACAGGTGCATAGGTCTTAAGTGTAGAGCTCAGTGGATTTGCACAGGGACCACACCCATGGAACCACCACCCAGGTCAAGAAGTAGTTTTACCGGAACCCCACAAGCTCTCTCACACCCCTTCCAGTCACTACCCCCAAGATAGCCAAGTCCTGCTTTCTGTTCACTGTAGATGAGTTATGCAGGCTTTGCTTGTCTTAAAAAAATGGATTTTTTAAATAGATAAAAATTGTATATGTTTATCATGTACAATGTAATATTTTGAAATGTGTATACATTGTGGAATGGCTAAATCGAGTTAATTATCACACGCATTACCTCACATACTTTTTTGTCCTGAGAACACTCAAAATCTACTCTCGGCCGGGCGCAGTAGCTCATGCCTGGAATCCCAGCACTTTGGGAGGCCAAGGCAGGCAGATCACTGGAGATCAGGAGCTTGAGACCAGCCTGGCCAACATGGTGAAACCCCATCTCTACTAAAAATACAAAAATTATCTGAGACTAGTGGCGGTCACCTGTAATCCCAGGGAGGCTGAGGCAGGAGAATCGCTTGAATCCATTAGACGGAGGTTGCTGTGAGCCGAGATCACGCTACTGCGCTCCAGCCTGGGCAACAGAGTGAGACTCCAAAAAAAGAAAAGTCTACTTCTAGCAATCTTCAAGAGTATAATCTATTGTTATTAACTATTGTCACCATGTTACAATCAATCTCTTGAACTTATAGATCTCTTGAACTTATTCCTCTTATCTAACTGAAATTTTGTGTCCTTTGACTGACATCTCTGCAACCTCCCTCCCCACCCTCACCCCTCAGTTCCTGTTAACCACCATTTTACCTTCTGCTTCTATGAGTTCAACTTTTAAAAAATTCCACATATGAGTAAGATCATGTGTTATTTGTCTTTCTGTGTCTGGCTTATTTCACTTAGTATATTGCCTTCCTCGTTTATCCATGTTGTCACAAGTGATGAGATTTCCTTCTTTTCATGGCTGAATTGTATTACATTGTATGTATATACCATATTTTCTTTACCCATTCATCCATTGATGGACTCTTAAGTTAATTCCATATCTTGGCTACTGTGAATAGTGCTGCAGTGAACATGGGAGTGCAGATATGTTTTCAACATACTGACTTCATTTCCTTTGGATTTATACCCAGTAGTGGGATTGCTGGATCATATGGTAGTTTTATTTTTAATTTTTTGAGAAACCTCTATACTGTTTTCCATAATGGCTGTACTAATTTACATTCCCACCAACAGCGTACAAGGGTTTCCTTTTCTCCATATCCTCGCCCACACTTATCTTTTGTCTTTTTTATAAAAGACGTATCTTTTGTAAAAAGATTTAAGTCAGGCACAGTGGCTCATGCCTGTAATCCCAGCACTTTGGGAGGCCAAGGCAGGCGGATCACCTGAGGTCAGGAGTTTGAGACCAGCCTGGCCAACATGGCGAAACCCCGTCTCTACTAAAAATATGAAAATTAGCCAGGCATGGTGGCGCATGCCTGTAGTCCCAGCTACTTGGGATGCTGAGGCAGGAGAATGGCTTGAACCTGGGAAAGGGAGGTTGCAGTGAGCCGAGATCATGCCATTGCACTTGAGCCTGGGCGACAGAGCGAGACTCTGTATCAAAAAAAAAGATTTTAAAAAAGTCTTTTTTTATAAAAGACATATCTTTTGTCTTTTTTTAATAAGATATCACACTTTTGTCTTTTTTATAAAAGCCCAAAGGTGGGAGGTGGTATCTCATTGTGGTTTTGATTTTCATTTCCCTAATGATTAGTGATGTTGAGCTTTTTAATTTTTTTTTTTTGTTTTTTGAGATGGAGTTTCGCTCTTGTCTCCCAGGCTGGAGTGCGGTGGCGCGATCTCGGCTCACTGCAACCTCCACCTCCTGGGTTCAAGCGATTCTTCTGCCTCAGCCTCCTGAGTAGCTGGGTGCCCGCCTGGCTAATTTTTTGTATTTTTAGTAGAGATGGGGTTTCGCCATGTTGAGCAGGCTGGTCTTGAACTCCTGACCTTAGGTGATCCACCTGCCTCGGCCTCCCAAAGTGCTGGGATTACATGCATAAGCCACTGCGCCCAGCCAATGTTGAGCATTTTTTTCATATGCCTATTGACCATTTGTATGTCTTCTGTAGAGAAATGTCTATTCAGATCATTTGCCCATTTTAAAATCAGATCATTAGGGTTTTTTTGCTATTGAGTTGCTTGAATTTCTTATATATTCTGGATATTGACTCTTGTCAGATGGCTAGTTTGCAAACATTTTTCCCATTCTGCAGGTTGTCTCTTCGTTCTGTTGATTGTTTTCTTTGTTGTGCAGAAACTTTTTTAGCTTTATGTAATCCCTTTTGTCTATTTTTGCTTTTGTTGTCTGTGCTTTTGGGGTCATATCTAAAATATCATTGCCCAGACCAATGTCATAACAGCTTTTCCCATGTTTTCTTCTAGTAGTTTCATAATTTCAGGTCTTATATTTAAGTCTTTAGTCCGTTTGAGTCAATGTTTGCATACGATGAGAGATAGGGAAACTTTTATTCTTCTGCGTGTGGATATCTGGTTTTCCCAACACCAATTATTGGAGAGACTGTCTTTTCCCCTTTGTGTGTCCTTGGTACTTTTGTTGAAAATTAATTGACAAATTAAATGTGTGGATTCATTTCTGGGCTTTCTATTCTGTTCCATTGGTCTTTGTGTCTGTTTTTGTGCCAGTACCATGTGGTTTTGGTTACTATAGCTTTGTAGTATATTTTGAAGTCAGGTAGTGTGATCCCTCCAGCTTTGTTCTTTTTGTTTAAGATTGCTTTGGCTATTCAGGGTCTTTTGTGATTCTGTATGAATTTTAAGGACTGTTTTTTATTTCTGTGAAAAATGTCATTGGAATTTTGATAGGGGATTGGATTGAATCTGTAGATTGTTTTGGGTAGAATGGACATTTTAACAATACTAATTCTTATCTACATATACAGATATGTATATGTACATATCTGTATCTTTCCATTTATTTGTGTCTTCAATTTCTTTCATCAGTGTTTCATAGTTTTCAGTGTACAAGTCTTTTACCTTCTTGGTAATATTTATTCCTAAGCATTTCTTTTTTCCATGGTAACTATTGTAAATGGGATTGTTTTCTTGACTCTTTTGAGTAGTGTGTTGTTAGTATATAAAAATGCTACTGATTTCTGTGTATTCCTTCTATACCTATTTTGTTCAGAATTTTTATCATGAAAGGATGCTGAATCTTGTCAAATGTGTTTTTTTAAATCAGTGAGATGATCATATGTTTTTTGCCCTTTATTCTGTTAGTATCGTGTATCACATTTATTGATTTGCATATGTTGAACCATCCTTGCATCCTTCATATAAATCTTACTTGATCATGGTGAATGATCCTTTTAATGTGCTTTTGAATTATTTGCCTTATTATTATTATTATTATTATTTTTCCCTAGAGATTGGGTCTTGCTATCTTCCTGAGGCTCTTGAGTAGCTGGGACTACAGGCATGCACCATCACACCCACCTTGTTTGCTAGTATTTTGTTGAAGGTTTTGCATCTGTGTTCATAAGGCATATTGGCCTATAATTTTCTTTTCTTGTAGTGTCTTTATCTGGCTTTGGTAATGGGGTAATGCTGGCTCTGCTTTTCTATTTTATTTAAATAGAATCATGTAATATTGCTTCTTTTGCTTAATATGCTTGTAAGATCCATCCATAGGGTTGTGTGCAACAACAATTTGTTCATTTTCGTTATTGTTTACTATTCTATTATATGAATATACAAGAACTTATTGATCTGTTCTTTCATTGATGAACATTTAGCTTGTTTCTCATTTTCAGCTCTAACAAATACTATTGCAATAGACATTCTTGTACATGGTTTTTGGTGAATATGTCCATGCATTTCTATTGGACATATTCTTAGAATTACTAGATTATATGAACACATGATTATATTATTTCCTCAGGTTTTCTAGATATAGTCAAATGGTTTCGCAAAGTGATTATACCAATTTGTCCTCCTACCACTAATGCATAAGAGCTCTACTTGAGATTGTGTGTGTGTGTGTGTGTGTGTGTGTGTGTCTGTGTGTGTGTTTCACTTTAGTCATTCTAGTGGGGGTATAGCAGTATCTCATTGTGGTTTTAATTTGCATTTCCTTAATGGTTAGTGAAGTTGGGCACTTTTTCTTCCATTTTTAGACCATTTGAGTTTACTTTTTTTCTCATGTTCTTTTCTAAAAGCATTATTGTTTTACCTTTCAGTTAGATTTGAAATCTATCTGGAATAAGTTTTGTATACGGTTTGAGGTAGGGGTAAGACAACTGTTTTTCCTTATGGATAGCCAGTTGACCCAGCACCATTTATTGAAAAGATAAATCCTTTCCCCAGTGCATTGTGGCATCTCTTTTGTCATATATCAGGTGTCCTTATACTTGTGGCTTATTTCTGAACTTTCTATTCTGTTCCACTGTTCTATAAGACAGTGCCCAGTGAGCTTTGTGATCAGCCTTGTTACTTAGTAGTGTAAGTCCTCCAGCTTGTTCTCTTCAAATGGCTCTGCTTATTCTGGGTCCTTTGTGGCTTTGAGGCCCGTGGTGGCTTTGAGGCCCTCTTGCTGCTGGGCTTGGGCTCAGCTGTGTCCTTCGTTCTTATTATTCCCCTGGGGCTGATGCTGGCTCCATGACCCCATCTCTCAGAGGCTCAGAGAGGTAGGTGACTTGCCCCTCCACACAGCTCTGGAGCCTGGCCTTGGCTTCTGCCTCAAGGACAAATTCCTTGGTGTTCCCATCTACAAAATGGCTTAGGTGGTCCAGGGAAGGCTCACAGGTATCAGCCCGCTGGAAGATGAGGCCTTATTCCATCCTGTACACAGCCAGGCTGTCCCCGCTACCTCCAGCAGGTCCAGGGAACAGCAGACTAGGCCACACAGCCTCCTGGAAGAGGAGTACCAACCATGTCCCAGGTGAGGATAGACTGAGCTTCCCTAAGGCAGGCCTAGGAACAGATGCCACTTTCTTTCTGTCATCTGTCACCTTAGAGGCTGGAACCCAGTAGGGCTCAGAGGAGGCTTGCTGATTGACAGCAGCTCAGAGGGGTTCCCACCTTGCCCAAGGACACACAGCAGCTAAATGATGCAGTTGGGATGCAAACTCAGATCTGACTGACCTGCCAGAAGACTGGGTTCCTGAAGCTCCCTGGTGAGCACCCCAGCCCCCTCATTCTGACCCAACTCAGAACTTCCACTCTTGGTCCACAGAGGCCTCACTGTGCAGGCTGGGTCTGACTCACCGCTGCCCTGGCCACAGGAGGAGGAGGGCTGATACCAGTGAGCCTTCCCTGGAGATGATGGCCAGCTAAGCCATTTTGTAGATGGGAACATCAATGAGCTTGTCCAGAGTCTGCAGCCTCTTATGCAGATCTCAAGCCTCCAGACTCCGTATCCTAGGCTTCTCAAAGCAGGGCCCAGGTTAGCACTGTGCTCATTTTAGGGGGTGCCCTGAGGTGGTAATAAAGATGTCTTTCATACCTCTGAGCCTTTGCGTGAACTGTTCCCTTTGCCTGGAATGGCCTTTCTCTCCTGCCTCTGTGGCCAGGCCTGTGTGGAGGCTTCCCTGCTTTCCTCTTGCTGGAACCTCTGAATGACACATACTTCATTTGGCCTTATGTCTGTTGGCTACACTAGACCAACTCCGACAGGAACCCCAAGTTGTGGTAGCCCCCCCATACCTGGCGGGGGTCTGGACACATCGTGGGTGAAGCCCAGATGTCGACTGCCTGAGACTGTCAGTCCTCAGGGCACAGAGCATGAAAGGATACAGAGTGCTGCTCTGCATGGTGGGGTCTTGTTTGTTCCTCACAGTGGCCCAGAGGCCCTGGCACATTGTCTCTTCCAGACAAGGACCATGCAGACCAGTGAGGTAATGCGGCCTGCTCAGGACAGCGGGGGCCTGGGTCGAGGCTCAGGAGCTGGAGGAGGGCTGGGCCGCAGCAGAATGTGCTAGGGCTACAGTCTGGATAGTGGGGATGTGGGCACCGGCTGGCACCCAGCTGTCAGGGAGGGGAGGAGAGGAGAGCCAGGCCTTCCCCAGGGTGAAGGGGTGGGCCCTGCTGCAGCAGACCTGAGTGCTGGCGTCTGTGATGTGGAAAGCTGATTCCCCTTGGGAGCCTCCGCCACTCTCTGAGCCTTTTTCTCTTCTTGAAGGAATTCCTCCTGCACTCACCTTTGTTGGTTCATGCAACATAACTCCTCAATCCCTGGAGCCCCACATTGGACCCTGGGATAGAGAGAGGAGCTGGACACAGCCCCTCCCCTGGAGGGGCACAGGGTAGGCTGGGGAGGCAGACAAGTCATGTGCAGATGGGATACAGTGTTAACAGGTGCTGTCCCAGGGGCACCAGGATGGCAGAGGAACAGTGTGTGCAGAGGCCCTGAGGGAACAGTCTTGTGGGAGCTGCGAGGAGCTCCGAGCCCCAGAGCTTCAGCCCAGGGTGGAGAATGGTGGGGATGAGACTGGCAGGAGGAGGGAAGAGGGCAGGCACACAGGGCAGCTGGGAAGCTCAGGTGGTCCTGAACCCCACCCAGGGGTCCTGCTCGGCCCAAACAGCTAAAAACACCAGGGAGACAGGAAGTGCTACGGGCCTAAGCTCAGGCTCAGAAAGAAAAGGCCTGGGTGGAGCAGCTTGCCTGCCTCCTGGTCTATCCGTGGCCTTCAGTGCTCTGCCTGGGGCTAGCAGAGGAGACCTGACCCTGTCGGGGTGTTGGCCCCATAGATACAGTGGGAGGTGACCTTGGGGCAGATGGAGGGTGCAGAGGGGCAGTCTGTGCAAGGGCCGGGGCCAGAAGAACCTCACATAAGTAGGCCAAGGTTAGCCTGGCAGGCAGGTGAGGCTGGAGGGATGGGGCAACGGTATCAGGCCCTCAGCCAGCCAGGCCTGGCCCTGTGCAGCCCCTGGCCCAGCCGAGCTCTCCCTTTATGGCCTCCACCTCCCTTCCATCCTCCCCAGGAGTGGACCCTCCCAGCAGCGTTGGCCCCTTCCTAGCCTGGAGAGCAGCCAGACCCTCTTTCTCCACCAGCCTGGCTGTGTGCCCTGGGCGAGCTTCCTCTCCCTCTCTGGACCCTCTAGGCTCAGAAACACTGGAATTGCAAGAGCTGATTTCTGGGCTCCTGCTTTCAGCTTCTCTGATCTAATTCTTGTAGCCTAAATTGCTTCCTGAACTGACCCTGCCGGAAACCCGTGGTGCTAATGCTGCTCCTCGGTGACTCTGCCAGAAGCCTGAAGCCCGGAAGCTGGCTCTGTGAGCTCCTCCCCTCTCTCCCTCAGACCTCCAAGGCAGGGAGAATGGGTGGGAGGGGGCAGGGCTGCTGGCCTCCGTGGGCAGAGGGGCAGCCAGAGAAGTTAAGTGGTTGGCCTGAGGTCACACAGCAGCACTCCAGCAGGCCCAGTATGGATATGGGGGCAGAAGGTGAAGTGGCTTGGGTGCAGAGCAGGGGACAACTGCTCTCAGCTCCCTTGGCAGGTGGGGGGACAATGGCCCCCTTGCCCTCCCTGCTGTCCATCTGTGCCCATGCTCACTGCCCGCGCTCGCCTCTTTCCTTTCCTGTCTCTCCCTTCCCTCTTTCCCTCCACATGAGGCCCCAGTGAGGCTCCAGCTCAGCCACGGTGTGTGGGGAGACCCTAAGTGAGAGCGGCAGGGTCATACAGCCAAGGCGGTGGCACTAAAGTCAGAGGATCTGGGTTCCCGTCCGGACACCAGGTTTCCAGGGGAGCTTGGGCAGGTCACCTCACCTCACTGAGCCGCAGTTGTATTTTGTGAAAGCTGGCAGCCGTGTGCCCACCGGCACTGTTGGCAGGCAGTACACATGCACCTCTGGCCAGGGAAATGGGGCGTCTCTTGGGACCACTGGGTGTCTTGGCCCCTTCCCCCTCACTCCTCTTCCCACTGGCATGCTTGGCGGGCTCCTCAGCCTTCAGTTAATGGGTTGACTCCTTCCAGGAGGTGCAGCAGCACTGTGTAATTCCCATCACTGAGATGAGAAAACGGGCTCAGAGAGTTCACATGACCAGTTCAACGTCACCCAGCAGGAGGGTGGTACCACTGGGGCTGGCACTCACACCAGTCTTGATCTCAGATATCACTCCCACAGCCAGCCTGCCTTGCCTTGGTTTCCCTCAGGGCTGGGCTGGAAATTGTGGCCTTTACCCCAAAAGGATTGCACTGTTACCCTGGGCAGGCCCCAGGAAGAGTAGATCGGGGACTGTGGAGCTGCACCGCAGCCCAGATGGAGTTTGAGGGATGGGGGCGTGGATCATAAATGGGGTGGTCACTCAGGTGCTTGGCCGTCCGAGCATCTCTCAGCGCACCTGATATGCAGGCCCTGCCAGCCGCTGTTCCTTGCCCTGCCCTGCCCTCCACTCCCAGAGGCCTTCCCTGACCATGTTGGTCCAGTCTGTGTCCCTTGCACTTGGTCAGCACATTGGTGCAAAGTTCAGGGTGCTTGGCTGGGCCCACCTGGGCCCCTGGGGAATGGAGGGAGGGTTAAGGAGCCATGGGCCTGCTCTCTACAGAATTAGAGACGCCTATTCCCAAGATGCTGTGAGGAAGGCAGCATGGTGCGGGGAGGACCGGAGAGAATGAATGAATGATGCTGAGAGGGGTACCTGGGGCAAGGTTTTCCCACACCAGGCAGAAATGTGCCACTCTCTAGAGGTGGGGAGGGAAACCCAGAGGCACACGCTGCTTTCCTGTGGGAGACACACCAGCCAGGGAGCTGGCAGGGCTGGCCACTGGTCTGATTCCGTCTGAGGAGGTGTAGGGAAGGCTGGTCAAACAAAGGAAGGCAGGGAGGTAGGTGCGGTGTGGGCCAGGCCTGAGCTCTGTGTGGCCTGTGGGCCTGGTATCGCCTCTGAGCTTCAGAAACGAGAGAATCCAGTCTATGGAGTCAGGCCGGTCGGTGTCTGTCCCACTCTGCTGTATACCAGCTGTGTGACCTTGGGTAGGCTCCACGCCTCGCTGAGCCTTCCGTGCCTGTGCCATGGGGCTGATGATGTCCGCTTCACAGGGCACATCAGGGACCCAGGGACTCTGTGAGTGACCGTCTTCTTGCCTTCCTGTCCAGGTGTTCCCCCTCCCCTCCCTGGGGCAGCAGCCACCATGTTCTCGTGTGTGAAGCCCTATGAGGACCAGAACTACTCAGCCCTGAGGCGGGACTGCCGGCGCAGGAAGGTGCTCTTCGAGGACCCCCTCTTCCCCGCCACTGACGACTCACTCTACTATAAGGGCACGCCGGGGCCCGCCGTCAGGTGGAAGCGACCCAAGGTCAGTGTCTGGTCCCAGCTGGAGCTGGGTGAGCGGGCCCAGGCCCACCCACAAGGCTGGGCCTGCAGGGACATCGGGGTGGTGGGAGGAGGCATCCCTGGCCCCAGGCTGCTGAGAAAGTGAGGGTGCTGAAACGGTGGGATTTGATCCGGATGGGGAGCTTGGAGAATGGGCTGTAATCCTGTGGCCACCACTGGATTGGTTGAGGCCCAGCCAGGCCTTCACCCTCTCAGGGCCTCCACTTCCTCACAGGAAAAATGGGGCAGTAACCTCAGCCCCGCTGAGGGTCATTTTTGGAATAAAAATGGGGTGATGTGGATATGACCATTTTTGATAAAATGTAGATTGACATCCAAATGTAAGGAATTTACTTTCCTGATTGTTATCATCATGATTTTGAAATAGTCATTTGTGGTAGAAATGAAAAGTATTTATTATGATGATTAATCAATAATAATAATAATTGTAAAAAGATAGTAGTACCTACCTCATAGAGTGGTTGTGAGAATTAAAAGAGGTAATGCATGCAAAATTCCACTCACAGCCTGGCAGCCAGTACGGGACCATGGATACTGATAATGATGAACAGGTGGCGTCTCTCCGACCACTCCTTTTGGTCCCTGAGGCTAGAGTGTGTTACACAGAAATGTTTGGCCTCCTGGTGTGATTTCATCCCCTTGAACCCCGATTCCTGGGTGTGAGGGTGGGCTGGGGAGGGGTTCGCTGCTTGTCTGTGGGTCCTGCAGAATGGGGTCCCTGGTGGCCTGGGTGGAGGGGAGGCTGCAGGAGGTTACTCTCCCTGGCCTCCAGGGCTGTGCTAGTGACACTGAGGGTCGTCCCCTCACAATGCGGGAGACCATGCTGCTGTCTCAAGGATGCTCCAGGCTGGGAGGAGGCTGTGACTCCCGCAGCCCAGTAATCAGAGGAGGTGTCTTGGAGGTGAAGGGTGATGAGGTTTTTGCCCAAAGGGCCAGGTGGGAAAAGGCAGAGGGAATAGAAACTCACAGGTGGGAGCCCCTCAGGCTCATGTGGGCCTGTGGAGAGCCATGCCTGGGGTGGCAGATCTGGGGCCAAGATGCTCGACCTTGCTCTGTGAGTAGTGAGGTCCCGCGAAGGCAAAGGCTTTCAGCAGCCTGTAACAGGGTCAGATTTGCATTTTCCAAAGTTCCTCCTGATCCCCTGGGCTTTTTGGGAAAATGAAATGTAGTTTTCTAGTTTCCCTCCCAGGCTATGATCTCGAGTCCCTTCTGACTGAAAATACCCCGTAGATGTCCTTGGACTGGGACTCTTGAGTGGCAGAGAAACTGAGGCCAAGAGAGGAAGGTGCGTGTCCTAGATCACCCATGAGCTGCTAGCAGGGGTAGTTGAAGAGTCCTGCCTCCCTGCACCCCACCTTCCTGGCACCAGATAAAGGGCCCCTGGTGCCCTTGACCTCAGTCCCAAGAGCTGTAACAGAATCTCTGGCCCTGTACTGACTCTCTGGAAGGCCCAGGAGCCTCCTGGCCTGGCCACAAGAGTTCTGCCTCTTGGGCCCCCTCTCCCACGCCTTCCTCTCTTCCTTTGTCAAGTAGGTGGGGAGGGAGGCCTTGGCCTCAAAGGGCCTTTGTGAGGCCTTGGCTGTGGGGAGGAGGGCTGGGCACTCGAGCTCTTCGCCCTCCTCCCACTCCATCCCCTGGCTACCCCCGTCCTGACTCCCTCCTGCCCTCTGGCCATTGCCCAGACATTTTAGGTCCGTGGCTCCGAAAAGAGGCTGGTGAGGCCTGGCGGGAGCAGGCTGGGCTTGCTGCGGTGAGAGGAGGAGACGCCAGGTTGGCCCGCTTGGTACTCTCCTGCTGCGTGACCCAGGGGAGTCAGCTGCCCTTTCTGAGCCCCTTTCCTTGTGGGTTCAGGAGCCATGCCACACCTCCTCCTCTCGTTGCCTTCCTCGCTGGCTCACTTGGTGCCCTGCCCTTTCTAGACACGCAGAGCTGCCCTGCCCTGGATGTGGGGGCAGGTGACAGAGAGCGTATGGTGGCTGGTGTTCAGAGAGCTGTGTGAGTGGGGCCCAAGGGGCAGCAGTGATGGGGACTCAGACCAGGCTGGGGTGGATGGTCCACGGCACTGCCTGGATTTCCTAAACCATGTGTGTAGGCACTGCCTACTGGCTAGCCACAAGCCTGCAGGACAGGCAGCCCCTGCCCCACTAACGGGATGGGAGGTTTGTGGAGCAGGAAGTCAAGCAGGCTTGGCTCAGCTTGCTTGGCGGGCCCAGCCCAGTGGGTTATCATTAACGCCCAGCTGCTTGCCAGTGAGAGGGAACTTTGGCCTCAGGCAGCCTTGTTTCGATGGAGTCTTACCTGTGACCGCCTGTTTACAAATGAGAAGTCGTGCTGCATGCCCGTCCATCCCCTCCAGCTCCTTCTCTGAGTTGGTCCTTATAGTGGCTGCTCTGTTCTTAGAGGGTCTCCTCAGCCAGCCTCCCAGCCTCGCTGCCTCTCAAATGGAATGCAGAGGCTAGTTTTTGAGCCACAGTGAACTTGGCTGCAGCCTTGGCCCTACCTTACTAGAAGTGTGACCTTGAACAAGTCACTCCTGCTTGGGCCTCAGTTTCCTCATCTGTAATTGGGGAAGGATAATTCTTGCTGGTCACAGTTTCTGGAAACCGAAATGACTTGAGGTATCTGTGGTGTCATACACATGGGAGGCAGGTGACAAACTGGTTCCCCTCTCTTGCTCGTCTTCTCCTTGGCAACTTTTTGTTGGGGACCTAGAGCCACCTTGGTTGGGACATCCCATCTCCTATTGACTCTGCAGGTGGGACCAGGCCTTGTCCTCTTGGGTGCCGACCTGGGCACCTGCCTTCAGCCCACACCCTTCACCCACAGGCTCGCTATGTTTTTGTTCTTTCCAGTACAGTGGCCATTCGCTGGCCCCTCACAGGCCTGGCTGGGGAGATGCACGGAGAATGGAGAATGTCCCCAGGCCTGGGAGCTCAGGGTGTCCGTCCTCCTCGCTCAGGGCCCGGGACCTGGTAGGCGGCCTCCTGTCACCCTGTGGGGGCAACATCCCCTCATCCAGCATGCTGTCTCTCCCACATCTGGGTATGAGCCTGGAGGTCCTTTGGTGGAATGCACAGGGGACAAGGTGGGGTGGGGGAGGGGGACTAATGAACAGACACTGGTTTTGGAACCTGCAGAATTCCCCTAGTGCAGTCTCGGGGGCCCCAGCCTCAGCCCAGTCCCGGGGACTCTTGCCCATCAAGCCATTTCCTGGAGATGGCCCTACTCCTCGGCTCCCTGAACATAAGGCCTTTTCGTGCCACAGAACAGTCAGTTTGCAGCAAGGCCTGGCAGCGGGGGCACACCCAGCCGAACTGCCCAGGAATGACCCCCTTCTGGGCATGTGCTCAGAGATGGGGTTCAGTGGGGTCAGGGAGAGCTTTCAGAGGCCTTGAAGGGTGCGGACTGCCATGGAGGAGAAGGAGGTAGGGCTGGGGGAGGGCAAGTCTTCTGCAGAGGGGATGGGCTGTAGGCTACAACTCCCTTTCCAGTCCCAGATGGAAGTCCCGTGTCCTTCCCAGACCTGTTTCCCACTGTCTAGTTCATTCATTCTGTGATCCTAGATTCCAGGAGGGTGGTGACTAGGGTGAAGCTGGATGGACAAAGAGTGGGGGAGGAGGACGGATGTGGAGGGAGCCTCTGCAGATATAGCCCAGGTGCCATGGATCCAGTCTGCTGCCTTGCCTTGCCTTGTACACCAGGAATAGAAACCTGAATTTCTTGTTGTGCCACGAAGGGAGAAGGGAGGTGGGCTGGGCTGTGGCCTGTCAGGTAGAGTTGGTCTAACAGGCTGGGATGGGCTGAGCAGGGGAGCGGTGACTGCAGGTGCAGAATGCTGTCCTAGAGCTGTGTTGCCTGGAGAAATGGTCAACCCCCAGCCCTCAGGGGTAGCCCCTGTACAGCCCAATCCTGTGCACCACTTTGTCCCCCCTCCCTCCCAGGGACCTGTCTGTAGCCCCAGTGGAACCTGCCAAGCTTTGCTAAGCCTAGAAGTGGGCAAAGTCAGGCCTGGGCCCTGCTTAGGAGCTCACAGGCTGGTGGTGGGGACCCTAAGGAAACCTAGAGAGTGTGGACAGGGATGGAAGGGAGCACAGGTGGCTGGCACCAGATAAAGGGCCCCTGGCACCCGAGGACCATTTCGGAGGCAGTGTCTGCCTCAGGACACTTCGGGTCCCCATTTCCCTCCTGAACCTCCCTGCTTACCAGCACTCTCCATGCCTGCTCTGCCAGCATCACTGCCTCCAGGCAGCCTCCTCTGTTTTCTCTCTGGCTCCTGCTGTCACAGCTCTGCTCACATGGGGGGTCAGGGCCTGGCTCCTTCTCAAGATCCCTGCCTGTGGGCAGAGACCTTCCCTGACTCACTCTATGACCTATGTCCAGCCAGTGGCCCAGGAAAAGTGGAAGGACAAACACTAGGCTTGAGAAGCCTGGCCCCATGGTGGCAGAGGTGAGGGCCTGGGCTTCCCCAAACCCTTGGTCTCATTGCTATCTAGTGAGACACCCCCTAAGCTGGGTTAGGACAGGTGCAGGGAGACAGGTGAAGGAAGGATGGCTTTGTCACCCATAAAACCTAGCCCACCTGAGACCAGCCTGGCCAACATAGTGAAACCCTGTCTCTACTAAAAATAGAAAAATTAGCTGGGTGTTGGTGGCAGGTGCCTGTAGTCCCAGCTACTCTAGAGGCTAAGGCAGGAGAATCGTTTGAACCCAGGAGGCGAAGGTTGCAGTGAGCCAAGATCGCACCATTGCATTCCAGCCTGGGCGACAGGGCAAGACTCCCATCTAAAAAAAACAAACAAAAACAAACAAACAAACAAAAAACCTAGTCTACCTGGAGACTGCAGCCAGACTGCCTGAATTTGAATCTCATTTCACCTCTTCTTGTGTGGCCCTGGGCAAGTGACTTAACCTTTCTGTGCCTTGGTTTCCTCATCCGTAAAAAGGGGATGCCAACAGTGCCCATCTCACAGGGTTGTTTTGCACAGTGCCTGCCACATAGCAGGTGCCCAGTCATTGTGAGATATTTCTATTATTGTTCCTTTACAGGTGCCCCAAGGTGGCCCCTGGATTCCAGAGCAGACTCCAGGTGCCACCAACCTCAGGTGGTTTCTGTTGGTTAGAGCTGGTGACCCTGAGCCTCTCCTGGCAGTGGGAACATGCCTGGCTGCCTTCCGCTCTGTCTGCTCCTTCCCAGGCTGCACGATTGCCCCCAGGTTCCTGCTCTGCCACAGCAAGTCAGGGTGATGGAATCTGGGAATCGTGACTCCCAAGCTCGGTCTGTCTCTCAAGGACTGGAGAAGTGTCTGGGGCCAGAGCCCTGATCTGGGGCCCAGATCTGGTTGGATCTGCACCTCGGGTCTGCCCCAGCTGTGGTGCTTAGTGTTGGGAGACCCTGGTTGGGAGCCCAGCAGACCTAGGGCATCCCATCGGATCCGTCCACTTACTTGCCTTGTCACCTTGGACATCACTGCGCTGTCCTGGGCTCAGCCTCCTCCTCTCTGGGATGGGGCAGTTGTGTGTCTGTCTTAGGACACTGGCTGGGAGGATCTGAAGTGGAGGGACACCTGAGTCACTTCCTGCTGTAAACCCTGGTGATGCCAGGTGGTAGCTGTTTCTCTTTCCATGGCATGATGTGGCTGGGGTCCTCCGTATATGGAAGCCCCTCTCCCTTCCCGGTCTTGCCTGCCCTCCTGGCCTCAGGGAACAGATGCTAAGTCATAGCTCCCTCTGGGTCAGAGGATGGGCTGGATGTGGGGTGTGGTCCAGGGCTGGGAGGGAAGACAGGAGGGCAGCGGGGAGGAGAGGGAAAGTCCCTTCTTCCTGCCTGTGCTTCCTGACGGGGTGCCGTTGGGGATGGATGAGACCAGGCGGCCTCACTGGGTTTCCTAGACCTGTGCTCTGCAGAAGCCGCCGTGCAGGTTGGCCGTGGTGCACCCTGTAGTGCCAACTGGAAGGAGGGGCCAGGTCTCAGGAGCTGCTCATGCCCTTGGGGGAATTCTAGCCCTTTCTCTGACCCTCTAAAACTCTGGTTCTTCCGGGCAGAGGGGACAGCAGGGTCCCCATCTTGGTGGGAACTAGGAGCCCTCTTCCCCATTCTCCCTTGCAACTGCTCTGCTCCACGATCTGTAGAGTCCCTACACAGCCCTGCTGGGATGACCATTTATCTCCTCTGCACAGGTGAGGCCCAAAGTTGCACAGCAGGGAGCAGACATTCAAATTCGGTCTTCCTGCCTCTGCCACCCTCTGCTGGCCGCCTGTGGTAGGACCGCAGAAGCTCTTGGGATGGAACTAGCTCAGGAGCGCCTGCTGGAGTGGAGGCAGGCAGAGGGCTGCTGCCATCTGCCCATGCTGTGTGGCGGGGACATGGTATTACACCTCCCTGGGCCTCAGTTTCCTTATCTGTAAAAGGGGATATTGCCCACTTCTCAGTGCCTTGGTGAGGATGGATTGTGGTGTCAGCAGGATGCCTGGTACATGAAAGGCATGTCTCAGTGTTTGCCTGTCCCCACCCTCCACCATACCCACAGCCACTGGGGAGCAGTGGCTTCCTCAGCTCAGTGAGGCGATGGGAGAGGAAGAGGGGCCTGCTCTGTTCCCTGGGCCAGGGCTAGGGATCAGGCCAGGCCCCACCCCCAGCTCAGGCCTTGGGGAGGGATGATTACAGCTGAGGGAACACAGGGTGAGCTGACCCTTCCTGGTTGCATCTCTTGGTGCTGGAGCCACCCATAGAGGTCTGGGCATAGCTTCCTAGCACCTGAAAATTGAAGGAGACTTTCATTCGCTTTGGGTCAGGCCCTGGGCTTGATACTTTACATACACTGATTCCTCCTCGCAAAGTAGAAATTATTGGCCATGCACATTGGCTCAAGCCTGTCATCCCAGCACTTTGGGAGGCTGAGGCGGGAAGATTGCTTGAGCTCAGGAGTTTGAGACCAGCCTGGGCAACATAGTGAGACCTCATCTCTACAAAAAATTTAAGAGTTAGCTGAGTGTGGTGTGTGGGCCTACGGTCCCAGCTATTCGTGAGGCTTAGGCCAGAGGATCGCTTGAGCCTAGGAGGTTGAGGCTGCAGTGAGCTGTGATTGTGACTGCACTCCAGTTTGGGTGACAGACGAGACCATGCCTCAAAAAGACAAAAACAAAAACAAAAAACCCCAAAATCCAACAACATAAAGAAATTGTTGTTTCTATTATATAAATCAGAAAGCCGAGGCTCAGAGAGCTCGCCAGATTGCCGATTGAGGAGCTGGAATTCAGTCTCCAGTCTGAAGCCAAAGCCCATGCTTTTCCCTTTCACAGCACTGCCTCAGGGGGCTTTTAAGGAAAATACCCCCACAGCAAGAAGAGGTGGAAAGCCCAGGCCAGAGCTCCTTGGGCAGGGTCAGGTGCAGAGGGCACCTGGTACTGGAGCCCCCCTGGGCTGCCTCTCTCTTGGCAGGCAGAGCAAGGGGCTTCCAGAAATTAGGAAGGGCTGAGCCTGAGAGCAGCCAGTTGCTCATGGATCATTCCCGGGTCAGCGGCTGCCCTGGCCGGATTCCCTGGCTGCGTCTCATGGAGCAGCCTCTTGGGCCGTGCCCACCAGTCTCTGTAGAAAATAAAAATGGAGGCTGGGCGCAGTGGCTTATGCCTGTAATTCCAGCACTTTGGGAGGCCGAGGCCAGCAGATCAGGAGTTTGAGACCAGCCTGGCCAACATGGAGAAACCCTGTCTCTACTAAAAATATAAAAATTAGCTGGGCGTGGTGGTGGGTGCCTGTAATCCCAGCTACTCAGGAAGGTGAGGCAGGAGAATTGCTTGAACCCAGGAGCTGGAGGTTGCAGTGAGCTGAGGTTGCACTACTGCATTCCATGCACTCCAGCCTGGGCAAAAGAGCGAGACTGTCTCTAAAGAAAAAAAGAAAGAAAAAAGGAAAAAAAGGAGTTTTTGCTCCACTTGAGCATTTGCTTGCTGTGTGCCTTTGACAAGTCACAGTCCATCTCTGAACCTCCATTCCTCGCCCATACAATGGAATGACAACTCCTCGCTCCTTGGGTGGCGTGAAGACCTGATGAGATTATGCGAGGCAAGTGCCATGCGGGGCCTGGCCCACCGCTCCCCACTGGCCCCTCGCTTTGTGCTCCCCAGCTGGGATATGGGTGTTTGTCCCATGCCCGCACCCCCACCCCACTTGAACCTGCTGTACCCCTGTGGGCTGGCGGGGGTGGGCACTCAGGCTGCTGGTGCTAGAGAAGGAAGGGAATGGAGCTCTTGCTGGTTAGGGAGGGGCGCAGCGGGTAGGAGGAAGGCAGTGCCCCGGGTCCAGCGCTCTGACGTCTTCCCACAGGTTCTTCATCAGCAAACCTTTAGCGGAAGAGCACTCTCTGGCCAGGAAGGGGAGAGGGCATCCCAGGCAGGACCGCGGGGTGGGGGGCAAGCGGGGAGCAGATGGGCCCTATGGGGCCCCAAGTCTGTGGTGGGAGGCAGGTGAATCACCATGCTGATGATCACACAGCAAGTCTGTGTCTGTCACGTCTGTGTCTGTCATGTCTCCTGCCATGGGGGGCATCCGCATGCTCCTCCGCCCCTCACGCTCTCTCCTCGCCTTCTCCGCAGGGCATCTGCGAGGACCCCCGCCTCTTTGTGGATGGCATCAGCTCCCACGACCTGCACCAGGGCCAGGTGGGCAACTGCTGGTTTGTGGCAGCCTGCTCGTCACTTGCCTCCCGGGAGTCGCTGTGGCAAAAGGTGAGGCCTCGGGCAGAGTGGGCAGGGTGCTGGGGAGTGTGAACGCAGCCTGTGGCCCTCACTGCCAGACAGGCGGAACCTGATTGTGGCAGATGAGACTTTCAAAAGCCTGTGCCAGGGATGGGGTGGGGGCCCCCAGTACTGGCCGAGCGTCGGAATTGCCATCCCTCACCCTTCAGCTGGGCACCCCCAGGGGCAGGTGCTGGGAATCCGTCAGGCTCCCAAGGTCATTCTGATGTGTCCCCCCCAACACTGTTGGGGACACTTGGCAGATTAATACACACCTGTGAAATGTGGAAGCTGTGTGCATCACATTTAGTGTGCAGACACCACTGATGGGGCTCAGGAGACCCCTGACAGACACAGACCTGCTGTGTGACTCAGCTGGTTGCTGTCCTCCTCTGGGCCTGACTTTTCCCAGTTGTTCAGCAAGGGTGGTTTGGTGATCCCCAGCTTCATGACTCCCAGTTCCAAGCTGCTGGTGTTCTGGACCAGGGCCAAAGGGTTTGGGTGGGAAAGAATGGGCTCTGGTCCTGCAACCCAACCTCCTATCCCAGCACAGTTCCAAGCTGCTGGTGTTCTGGACCAGGGCCAAAGGGTTTGGGTTGGAAAGAATAGGCTCTGGTCCTGCAACCCAACCTCCTATCCCAGCACTTGGCAGCAGGGCCTTAGATTCCGTGCACAGGAGGCAGGGAGGCTGGAGTGGAGGCAGACCCTGGCTCCCTGAAGAATTATTGGCAGGGACTGCAGGGGGACTCTGGTCATTGCCCCTTGCTCATCCCTGCCCTTCTGCCATCCCTTGGGAGGGGCTGGCAGTGGGGCTGAGGAGCACTGGACATCTGCATCTCCCAGGCTTGGCAGTGAGCCTCAGCACTTGGTAGCTTTGGAGCTGGCCTCAGGTTACTCATCAGCAAAATAAGGACAATCGGAGTAGCTGTCTCTCGGGGAGTGGTGAGGATAGGACCAGATGCTGCACTCAACATGCCTTGTGCGGCATCGTGCTTGGCCAAAGGTGGCTGTGCCTACCAGCATTATGATAATTAATATCATAGAACATACAGGTACTCCTGTGCAAGACAGAGTTTTTCCTCATCCTCTGAGGTATCCCTTGGCCATCAGAGGGAGCAGTGCCCTTGGGCAAGGCTGAGACTCTGGTAGGTGTCTTGCTCTTGAGTCTGCAGAACGGGGATGTGACCTCTCAAAGCCACTCCAGGGTGGGCATCCCTGGGGCCTAGCCCCAGTAGTCCTGCAGGGTAGGAGCAGCTGCCTGCTGTAGGGCCCCTGGGGCCTTGGCAGAGGCCATGGTTGCGGCGTGTGGATGTGGGTATTCGAGGGGCACCTGAGCCAGGAGGGCTTTCGAGAGCCACCCGTTGGCTCATTTCAATTCTACGCCTCAAGGCCCAGAGAGGGCTGGGGCCTGGTTCTGTGCTCTGGGTGTAGGGCCAGTCCTCACTCTCCAGCTTCCAGGCTCCCACCCCCTTCTCTGAGCTCAGAACAAGGTCCCCCTGCCTTAGAGCCCACCCCCCCACTAGATGAGGGCTCAGTCAGGGGCTGAAGGGGCACATGGGCATTCTGTAGGGCTGCCCCCCACCTCCCACTTTGCCCTGCAATTGCCTGTTTATCTTTCACCTCCCCCGTGAGGTGAGCTCCCCACAGGCAGAACTGGCCCAACGTATATGTCCCTGCTGAGCCCACTAGGGACCTGGAGTAGAGAAGGCTCAGGAGAGTTTTGGGAACAGAGCTCCTTTCCAAATTGTTGGACTCAGCTACCACCCAGCAGCCCCACGGTCGGCCTTGCTCCCCCAGACCTCCCAGGGCCTTGTGGTGCTGGGCCTGACTCCAGTCTCCCCAGGAGAGGCCATCTGTCTGGCCGTTTGTAGGTGGGAGCCTATGTGTCCTGCCCTGGGCTTGGGCCCAAGTGGTTCCTGGTGCAGCTCCACCTCTCAACAGTGAAGAACAGGCCCAGGACTGCAGGCAGGAGGCCTGTCATTGAGGCCTGTGTTTATCTGTGGGCCAAAGGTTCCTATTGCAGGGAGTTGGGGCACCTGGCCTGGCTGGTCTGGGAGGCTGCCAGGGCCAGGAGGCTGATCTCCTACAGCAGCTTGGGTCCCAGGGAGGCCAGGGCGGGTCTGGGCGCTCCTGGCTAATTGCACTTTGCCTCCTGTGCTGCTGTGGTGCTATGGGTCCCGGAAGGAGGCTCGGGGCCCTGCGGAGCTCATTACTGCGCCTTCCGTCCCTCGTCCCTGTTGACTGGGCTCTGTTTGTTGTCACCCCTCACTTTCTGGGCCTGTTGCCCTGCAGGGCCTCCTTGTTTTCTCCATGGAAGGGCAGTGGGGGGGCTGCCGAGCCTGAGCTGCACCCCTGCCCTCCCCACCTCACACTTGGGGATTCTGAGCCTCAGACACACTGAGCATCACATCCTCGACACACACGCCCCCAACACACACGCCCCCACAGCAAGCCACCCTTACCCCTCACAGGATTCGAAGCCAGCCTGACCTGGATTTGATTCTGGCCGGGTCTCCTGCTAGCTGTTTTCGTCCTCAGTGTAAATTGACCTTTCCAGTGCCCAGGGTCGTGGAGGATTAAAGGGGCCGGAGGAAGGCAAACCCTTGCCTTTTGCGCTCTCTGCACTTGTTACTTTCCCTCCCCAGCCCCCTCTTAGATGGCCCACCTGTTTCTCTGTTCTGTCAGACATCTCTTGGCCTCCTGCCCTGCTCCTACGGGATCCCTGATGGGGGCATTTTAGCTTCCCCGACTTGATGGTACATTCCCTGAGGGCAGGGCAGTGGACTTCAGGTGACCAGGTTTTAGGAACTTGAAATCAGGTTGCGACAGTTTGGCTGAACATTTGCCATTGGTCCTGGCCTGGCCTAAGCCAAGATCTGCTGTGAGCTCACCTCTCTGGAGCCTGGAGCAGCCACAGGGGCAGACCTGATGCCTGCTCTGAGCCACAGAGCCGGGCCTGGGCCCAGGAGGAGTCAGGCAGCTCCTGGCCAAAAAAAAGCATGGAAGTGACCAGAGTCCCAGTCGAATGCCTGGGTGTCTCTAGGAGGGAGTGTTGGGGTGAGCAACCCTGGGTGGGGCCTGGGAGGGGCCAGTGGAGGCATTTAAAAATGCCTCCCACAGCCAGGCGCGGTGGCTCACGCCTGTAATCTGAGCACTTTGGGAGGCTGAGGTGGGCGGATCACGAGGTCAGGAGATCAAGACCACCCTGGCTAACATGGTGAAACCCCGTCTCTACTAAAAATACAAAAAATTAGCCAGGCGTGGTGGTGGGCGCCTGTAGTCCCAGCTACTTGGGAGGCTGAGGCAGGAGAATGGCGTGAACCTGGGAGGTGGAGCTTGCAGTGAGCCAAGATCATGCCACTGCACTCCAGCCTGGGCTACAGAGCGAGACTCCATCTCAAAAAAAAAAATTAAAAAGTGCCTCCCACTATGTCCCTGACCGGGTTATATTAGCAGTTCCTGCTCTTTAGTTATCAAGCAGTTCCCTTAGTGCACATGGATGGAGCACCAGCTATGCCCTGAGAACCATAGTAGGTACTGGGGACGAAAGGCTTGAAAAAGTACAAGGATGTACAAAGTCACTTAAGGCTTTCATTCATCAGACACGATCAGTGTTAAGGGGTTTCCTGTGTTTCCTTCTAGTTTTTTTTTTTTTTTTTTTTTTTTTATTGATAATTCTTGGGTGTTTCTCACAGAGGGGGATTTGGCAGGGTCATGGGACAATAGTGGAGGGAAGGTCAGCAGATAAACAAGTGAACAAAGGTCTCTGGTTTTCCTAGGCAGAGGACCCTGCGGCCTTCCGCAGTGTTTGTGTCCCTGATTACTTGAGATTAGGGATTGGTGATGACTCTTAACGAGCATGCTGCCTTCAAGCATCTGTTTAACAAAGCACATCTTGTACCGCCCTTAATCCATTTAACCCTGAGTGGACACAGCACATGTTTCAGAGAGCACAGGGTTGGGGGTAAGGTCACAGATCAACAGGATCCCAAGGCAGAAGAATCTTTCTTAGTGCAGAACAAAATGAAAAGTCTCCCATGTCTACTTCTTTCTACACAGACACGGCAACCATCCGATTTCTCAATCTTTTCCCCACCTTTCCCGCCTTTCTATTCCACAAAGCCGCCATTGTCATCCTGGCCCGTTCTCAATGAGCTGCTGGGCACACCTCCCAGACGGGGTGGTGGCCGGGCAGAGGGGCTCCTCACTTCCCAGTAGGGGCGGCCGGGCAGAGGCGCCCCTCACCTCCCGGACGGGGCGGCTGGCCGGGCGGGGGGCTGACCCCCCCACCTCCCTCCCGGACGGGGCGGCTGGCTGGGCAGAGGGGCTCCTCACTTCCCAGTAGGGGCGGCCGGGCAGAGGCGTCCCTCACCTCCCGGACGGGGCGGCTGGCCGGGCAGGGGGGCTGACCCCCCCCACCTCCCTCCCGGACGGGGCGTCTGGCCGGGCGGGGGGCTGACCCCCCCACCTCCCTCCCGGACGGGGCAGCTGGCCGGGCGGGGGGCTGACCCCCCCACCTCCCTCCGGGACGGGGCAGCTGGCCGGGCGGGGGGCTGACCCCCCCACCTCCCTCCCGGACCGGGCGGCTGGCCGGGCAGAGGGGCTCCTCACTTCCCAGTAGGGGCGGCCGGGCAGAGGCGCCCCTCACCTCCCAGACGGGGCGGCTGGCCAGGCGGAGGGCTGACCCCCCCACCTCCCTCCCGGACAGGGCGGCTGGCCGGGCGGGGGGCTGACCCCCCCACCTCCCTCCCGGACGGGGCGGCTGGCCGGGCAGAGGGGCTCCTCACTTCCCAGTAGGGGCGGCCGGGCAGAGGCGCCCCTCACCTCCCAGACGGGGCGGCTGGCCGGGCGGAGGGCTGACCCCCCCACCTCCCTCCCGGACGGGGCGGCTGGCCAGGCGGAGGGGTGACCCCCCCCACCTCCCTCCCGGATGGCACGGCTGGCCGGGCGGGGGGGCTGACCCCCCACCTCCCTCCCGGATGGGGCGGCTGGCCGGGCGGGGGGCTGACCCCCCCCACCTCCCTCCCGGACGGGGTGGCTGCTGGGCGGAGACGCTCCTCACTTCCCAGATGGGGTGGCTGCCGGGCGGAGAGGCTCCTCACTTCTCAGACGGGGCGGCTGCCGGGCGGAGGGGCTCCTCACTTCTCAGACGGGGTGGTTGCCAGGCAGAGGGTCTCCTCACTTCTCAGACGGGGCGGCCGGGCAGAGACGCTCCTCACCTCCCAGACGGGGTCTCGGCCGGGCAGAGGCGCTCCTCACATCCCAGATGGGGCGGCGGGGCAGAGGCGCTCCCCACATCTCAGACGATGGGCGGCCGGGCAGAGACGCTCCTCACTTCCTAGATGTGATGGCGGCTGGGAAGAGGCGCTCCTCACTTCCTAGATGGGATGGCGGCCGGGCGGAGACGCTCCTCACTTTCCAGACTGGGCAGCCAGGCAGAGGGGCTCCTCACATCCCAGACGATGGGCGGCCAGGCAGAGACACTCCTCACTTCCCAGACGGGGTGGCGGCCGGGCAGAGGCTGCAATCTCGGCACTTTGGGAGGCCAAGGCAGGCGGCTGGGAGGTGTAGGTTGTAGTGAGCCGAGATCACGCCACTGCACTCCAGCCTGGGCACCATTGAGCACTGAGTGAACGAGACTCCGTCTGCAATCCCGGCACCTCGGGAGGCCAAGGCTGGCGGATCACTCGCGGTTAGGGGCTGGAGACCGGCCCGGCCAACACAGCGAAACCCCGTCTCCACCAAAACCAGTCAGGCGTGGTGGCGCGTGCCTGCAATCGCAGGCACTTGGCAGGCTGAGGCAGGAGAATCAGGCAGGGAGGTTGCAGTGAGCCGAGATGGCAGCAGTACAGTCCAGCTTCGGCTCCACATGAGAGGGAGACCGTGGGGAGAGGGAGAGGGAGACGGAGAGGGAGAGGGAGAGGGAGACGGAGAGGGAGACGGAGAGGGAGAGGGAGAGGGAGAGGGAGTTCCTTCTAGTTTTTTTTCCACTTGGTGTTAAAGAGGATTTTGCTTGTTTTGGTTTTTTTTTGAGTTGGAGTTTCGCTCTTGTCACCCAGGCTAGAGTGCAATGGTGCGATCACGGCTCACCGTAACCTCCACCTCCCGGGTTCAAGTGATTTTCCTGCCTCAGCCTCCTGAGTAGCTGGGATTACAGGCGCCTGCCACCATACCCGGCTAATTTTTGTATTTTTAGTAGAGATGGGGTTTCACCACGTTGGCCAGGCTGGTCTCAAACTCTTGACCTCAGGTGATCCACCCGCCTCGGCCTCCCAAGGTGCTGGGATTACAGGCGTGAGCCACTGTGCCCAGCCTTGTTTTGTTTTTTTATATGCATTTTTGCAATTACATCTGCAAGTTTAGAGCTTGCTTTTCTCCTCTGTATTCATTGCTACATCCAGCCTTGGGTGGGTCCTCCCAAGGTGTCCGATGGCTGAGCAGAGGTCTGTGGACATCAGTGGGCCCTGTCCCCAGCTGCAGCCTCCTGCATCCTGCCTGCTCCCTTGCCCACAAGCCTCAGTCCACCCCCTCTGCCTCCTCCCCTCCCTCTTCCATTCCTTTTCCCCCCAGGCCTTCCCTTGGCTCCCACCGCTCGTCCCTCCCGCCCAGTCTGTGAGACTCAAGCTCCCGTCACAACTGCCCCCCACCTTCGGCCTCCAGAAGGTCGGTGCCCCTCTGCTCAGACCCTCCCCAGGGGTCTTGTGCCCCTAAATCCTCATCAGTAGAAGTTGATCACACCCACCTCATCCCATCCCTCAGGATCCAGAAATAGGGGATCCTCCTTCCCAGTGCTGCCCGGACCACAGCGTCCCCATACAAGCACTTGGCTCCTTCACTGGACTCCCACCCTCAGCCCACTGTGTTGCTGTCTCCACCAGCCAGCTGCCCTGGCCAGTCACCTGGGCACAAAGGGCTTGG
The DNA here is from genome assembly GCF_000001405.40 of Homo sapiens. NCBI lineage: Eukaryota > Metazoa > Chordata > Mammalia > Primates > Hominidae > Homo > Homo sapiens. The sequence continues at coordinate 77,100,741 of NC_000011.10, forward strand.
TTCCTGCCATTTTCCAGCCCATTCTACCCCAAGAACTGCTGTGTCCCAGGCTTTACTGTGTCCATGTGGCTAACGTCCTGCCCTCTCGCTTTGCCCTTTTACCCTTGTCTTAGTTCTCCATCTCCTTTCTATCAGCCTTCACCTTCAGCCGCCTCAGTCACCTGCTGCCATGCCACAGCCCGGGCCCGGAACTGCTCTCCCTGGAGGTCTTCAGCCAAAGGCCCAGTCTCTCTGACCTCACCTTCCAGCCATCTTGCTCACTTCATTTTGGCCCTGGCCAGTACCTGTGTACTGTCTCCCCACCTGCCCACCTTCCTCTTGGCCTTGGGCTTGTGTCCCGTGGTCCATCACATCACCTGTCCCTTGTCAGTGTCATTCACTCATTCATCCGTTCATTCATTCATTCATTCGATCATTCGTTCATTCATTCAACAAGCATTTCTGAGGCCTCTGTGTGGCAGGCCCCGTTCTGGTTGCTGGCCTAGAGTAATGACAAGACACACTTCCTACCCTCTCAGGACTGTGTGTCACAGGCAAAAACTGAGCAACTCAACAAATAAAAAGCAGAATGTGGTGCTGGGAAGGTTAGAAACAGCTCCCCCATGTGGAGGAAAGGGAAGCCTCCCATGGTAGTTCCTTAGCCAAGTTGTTCCCCTCTCCCCTGCCCCTCCAGCTACAAAGCAAAAGGTTCTGTGAGGATCAGGCAGTTTGACATCTAGCTGTATGGTTCTCTCAAATACCCTTGGGGGAATTTCTGCCAATGACCCCCAGAACTGACCCCAGGGCTTGCAGTGTGGTTTTAACAGGACCGGGTATTCTGTCTCCCTTGGTGCCCCTCTGCTGTTCAGGTAGCCCAGGATCCCACTGATTGATTAGCCACCATCTCACAATTGACCGTGCTTGTGGTCCACTAGACCCTTCAGATTGTTTTCCGTTGTGATACCTTGGCCTTGACTCTGTCCTCTTTTCTGTGTGTGGCGTGTTGTGGCGACGGCCGCTCCCCAACTCCCATCCCCACTCTCTCCCCAACTCCGGCTCCACTCACACTCCAGTTCTTTCATTTCCCCAGTATAAAGGCTGAGCTTCTGGTTCCGCCCCGGGCCCTGGGGATATAAACATTTGCCAGATTCTTCCTCGGCCCCTGGGGGAAACTGAGGATTAATTCAGGTGGAGTAAGTGGTGGGATTTGGGTAGAAGTGAAGCCTTGTCCTGTTGTGGCCATGGTGCAGGGCTGCGGCACAGCCAGCCATCAGTGTCATCCGGGTCAGTAATGCTCAAGGCACAGTCCCTGGCCCAGCAGCATGTCACCTGGGAGGTGGTTAGGAATGCAGATTCTCAGGCCCACAGAGCCCTGATAAACCAGGAGTTCTGGGAGGGGGTCCAGCAATCTGTGTGTTAAGTCCTGAGAGTGAGTCTGATGCTCACTCAAGTCTTGAGAACCACGGGTCTGGGTGAGAGATACGGTAGCTGGGCTGAGATCCTGTCAATGGGACTGGAGGGGAAGGGTCCCGGGGTGTTTGGGAAGCAGAATCGACAGGCTTTGGTGATTGGGTGTGGAGGAGTGAGAGGGAGGCGGGCGTCAGGGGTAGCTCCAAGGTTTAACTTAGGTGACTTCAGATCTCCAATCACCAAGCCCTCTCTGGTCCTGCCTTCTCCACCTGCTCCTGCGGGTCTTGCATCTTCTCCTGTGTACCTCCAGTGAGGAGTGGTCCCCACCACCCTCCCCATCAGTGCACTTACGAAGTGCTCTCATCTTCACAAACAAGCCAGCACCCAGCCCAGCCCTGGTAGTCAGGGCGGTTGCCACAGCAATTGACATCAGCGACCTGGTCCCCAAGGAACCTGCCACCTTCCGCCTGCCTGCAGGGCCTGCATTATCGCTTCTGCGGGGACTGGAGTGGAGGCAGATGGGGACTCCCACCCCTGACACACACCCCATTTTGAGAACTGAGTGGGGCTGGGAAGAGCCAGTGGCAAAGGGAGGGGAAGAGGGAAGGGCAGAAAGTAGGTGGGGCCCCCCTTTGGTGGCCTCTTCTCTCCACGGCCCCAGGCTCCAGCCCACTTGGGTCCTTGGCGTTGGTGGCAGCAGCACTTGGGCCATGGCGGAGGACAGGCCGCAGCAGCCGCAGCTGGACATGCCGCTGGTCCTGGACCAGGGCCTGACCAGGCAGATGCGGCTACGCGTGGAGAGCCTGAAGCAGCGCGGGGAGAAGCGCCAGGATGGGGAGAAGCTGCTGCAGCCAGCGGAGTCTGTGTACCGCCTCAACTTCACCCAGCAGCAGCGGCTACAGTTCGAGCGCTGGAATGTCGTGCTGGACAAGCCGGGCAAGGTCACCATCACAGGCACCTCGCAGAACTGGACGCCTGACCTCACCAACCTCATGACACGCCAGCTGCTGGACCCCACTGCCATCTTCTGGCGCAAGGAGGACTCGGATGCCATAGATTGGAATGAGGCCGACGCCCTGGAGTTTGGGGAGCGCCTGTCGGACCTGGCCAAGATCCGCAAGGTCATGTACTTCCTCGTCACCTTTGGCGAGGGTGTGGAGCCCGCCAACCTCAAGGCCTCCGTGGTTTTTAACCAGCTCTGACAGCAGCTGCCAGCTGCTGCTCTCCTCTAGCCCACCTGTGCTCTCCCCTGCCCCTGCCACTTTCCCCCCTGTATTTTTGGGGCCATTATTCTCGCTGCTCAGCCTGTCCTCTGCTTGCCCAGAGGCCCCCTGAGTCCCACACCTTTCCTCCTCTGCTTCTCCCTGGGGCCAGCACTCCAGCTCACAGGAAGAAGATTCTGAGGCTCCATAGCCTAGAAGCTGGACTGGCTGCTGCATTGCTATAGACGATAGAGGCCTACTAGGGGCCAGTGTGCATGGACAGTGAGGCCAGGGCCATCTGCCTTCTCTCTGCTTCATTGTGGGAGAGAGAGACTGAGAAAGACCAAGAGAGACACAGAGACAGAGATTGAAAAACCCAGCATCCACTTCCTCCAGAGTCAGGGAGACAGAGATGATGGGGCGTCTCCACGGGGAGTCCAGCAAGCCGGCATTCACTGCTCCCTGGCCTTGGTGCCCTTTGCCGGAGCCTGTGTCTGGGCTGCTGGTCCCATAACACGTCGACAACCCTCAGGATATGGGGCAGGGTTGCTGCAGGGGTGGATTTGGGCAGTGGAGAGTGGCTGGCACCCTGGAGGCTGTGTAGGCCCAGCTGTGGCTCTTCTGGGCCTGACTTCAGGGTGGAGAAGTGAAGGGGGAGGTTACACAGAGATCTGTCTCTACGCACACATATCCATGAGACAGAGTGTGCTGTATTCATATGGATGTATTCTAGAGGTCTATTCCTACCCTAGGAACAAGTGCAGTTTTAGATTATCTGTTCATCATTGCTGCTGGTTCAAGGATGGCTCTTAACAGGGGCCTGGTCCGGATGACCTTGGCCTGGGGGCTTGCTGAGCTAGGAGACTGCAGTTCAGATAGTGAAACAGGGAGTGGATTAGTAAAGGGGGTTCCCTTTGCCTTGAGGGAAGTTGGAGCTGGAGAGAGTGGATTCTCCAGGGCCTCAGGTATCCCCTGCTGGGGAGTCAGGCTCTTTAGAGCTTGCAGGTCAGGGAAGGCAAGTGCTTCGTCCTGACATAGCATCTGTTGGCATTTCTTGGGCTTCTTCAATGCAGCTGAGGGGGGCAGGGCGAAGGCGTGGTGGGCAGTTACGACGGCTGATAGTCCCAAGTGGGCTGCAGGCGGCAGTGGTGTGACGGCAGAATGGTAACCTCTGGGGTCATTGGATGCAACTCACTCACCAAACAGATGGGGAAACTGAGGCACAATTTTCATCAGATTCAGTTCTGACTCTTAGCCTCATTCCCCTTCGCATTGCGCAGTCCCAGAGAGCCCCCCCTTTTGGGGGAGTGCCTGACCTGCACCTAACATCAGCCAAGTACAGCTAAGCCACTGTCCCCAGCACCCTGACTTAAGGCCAGCCCTGTGTTTTGTCCTCAGCCAGTCAGGGATGTGTCCAAGACATTTCCCCTCATGAAGCAAAGCTGTCAAGGAACTTGCGGCTCTGGAACAGATGCACTGAGGGCCAGAGGGTCAGGGCCATCCCCTGTGGCTGGGGCTGCCGGGAGGGTGAGCCCCACCTCGGAGGTGTGCAGGCTGGAGCAGCATGCTGGAGCTGAGATTCTGTGGGTGAGAGAGTGGGAGAGTGTCTGTGGGCTGAGCACTGGTCCTTTCTGACTCACAGCTCTGGGGCCCATTCCGGGACAGGCTTGAAGAAGTCTCGGCCATTGCCTGCCCTGCTGAGCACGAGGGGAGGCCAGAACCGTGTGCAGTGGCCCTGCCCTTCTGCTTGAGCTCTTCCTGCAGCTCTGGGGACCCTCTTAGTCCCGACTGCCTGTCTCCCCAGCCTATCTGTCCCGGGGCCTGAGTCCCTCTGCTGTGCCCGCTGCAGGTCCCCAATAAAGCCTGTGCCCTGGCCTCGGTGGTGTGCAGTGTCTCGCCATCAGCCCCCATCCCTTTCACAATCCCTCACGGCCCCGAGCACTTGCTCCCTGGCCACTTCCCACACTCCCCCAGCCCTTGCCACCTTCCAAGGAGGAGGCCTGGAATAATCAGGGGCTTCACCGAATCTCCTGAGGCTGGCCAGGAGCCTCCGGCCCTGACTGTTTCTCTGGTAGCCCCAGAGCTGCCTCCGTGTTGGGTGTGCAGAGAGCTGTGCTGAGGGAGGTGCCATCTGGGCGCCGCCGAGGGCTTGGGGTAGGAAGGCACCAAACCAGGTGCAATCTCGAGTCTCCCTGCCTTGCAGGGCCACTGGGCAGGGGGTGGATGGAAGGGCAGAGTTTGAGAGGTGGGGTGAGGTCCGGCCTGTGCCTGGGTTTAGTCTGGCTTCTGTCACTGATGTGCTGTGTGTCCTCAGGCAGCTCCCAACCCCCTCCCAGACTCAGGCCTTCCAGAGTGAACAGCTTGGTTCTGTGAAGGTCCTTCCAGCCCCACCCTCCAGGAATTGTCAAACCTGTGCTGGGCTAGACTGACATGGGCAAGATGTAGCCCCAAGGCCACGTGACTTCAGTGCCTCACTTGATCCTTCCTCACAGCTCTGTTCCCTCATCACCACTCTGAAGCGCACTCATTTTTGGACAGGGACAACTGAGGCCCAGAGGAGGCGGCCTCCTGCCCAGGTCACAGAGGGCGTGGAGGGGCTGGAAGCAGGTGTGGGTGGGCCAGGCTCTTGGCCTGTGGACCTTTGGCCCCATGACACTGGTCCCTGGGATGGACCGGGGAGATGGGCCCCACCCACCTGAGAACCCAGGCTCGGGTTGGGCTGGCTTCTTTCCTGGAGACCAAGTCAAGCCCTGCCTTGGGGGTCTCACCAGTGGTTTTGTTTTGGAATGAGCCCTGCTTCAAAATCCAACCCCACCACTCTCCTGGGTCACACAGCCCCTTTCATGCCCGCCTCAGAGTAGCTGCTGCCCCCTGGTTTCCCTTTCACACACCCCTCACAGCATGCGCAGAACCCTTCCCCAGCCCCGCACCCAACCCCCACCCCCGGTCTCTCAGGGGTCTCTGCCTCCCTGACACCCCCTCCCCAAGCTTGCCTTCCAGCCACTCCTGGAGTTGCCCGAGACAGAGGAATCCAGCCTCCCACCCTCAGGACAGCAGTAGAAGCCTGGCTCTATCCCCAGAGTGCAGGAATGGCAAATGACCCATTTTCCCTGGAAACCACAGGGAAAGAAACCTGCCTTTCCCTGAGCTCTGTGCCCAGAGAGGCAGCTAGTGTGGTGAGCGACCTAGCCAGCCCCGCCCTGCCAGCTGGATGGCCTTGGGCAACCTCTGAGCTTGTTCCTCATCTGTGAGTTGGGGCCAGCAATGGCACCTCTCTCGAGGCTGTTGTGAGGGTGAAATGGGCGAGTGTCCACCAAGTGCTCGAGCTTCCCGGAGCCTGCACACAGTCACCCTCCCTCCCTGAGTTTGCCCATGGTTACTGCCCCATCACCATAGACACACGGTCTCCTCTCTCAGTTATCCGTGGGTGGGGGTACAGGAGAACCTGTGGAGAGCTGAAGTGAGTTGCCTGAGGCATCCTAGGCCAGTGCCGATGGCAGCAGGCGCAGGGCGGAGGGGTGGGCAGGAACCTGGCCTGGCTCTGTGGTCCGAGAGAGCGGCCATGGGGGAGTGTGTCCTCCTCCGTCACCATCGCCACCTCAGAGCGGCCCAGCAGAGACCATTAGCCTTCACATGATTGCTGGGGAGCTGGAGGCCCGGGGGAAGGGGGACTCCCCCAAGGCTGGGGGTCCCTGCCCGGTCTCAGCCACCCCATGAACAGGACCTGCCGTGGCCACTCTGTGGTGCATCGACACCCTGGTCTCCGGTGGAGAGCAGCAGGGCTCTGCTCTCCCAAGAAGGCAGGGGGTGCCCACCACTTTCCTGCCCTCCTGCAGTCATGGCATCTGAAACGGGGAGTTTGAGAGTCTTGGAATCAGAAGCTGAGAGCTGAGGAATCTCAGATACTCAGGACCAGGGACCCACTAGTTTTGAGGACTCACAAAGGCCCGTGGCTTACCTTACCCAGCTTGGGTTATACAGGAAACCTCCCTGTAGCCCCCATTCCACAGCCCTGGCGGCGTGGCTCAGAAACGCTCCGCACTGGCCCTCTGGGGTCCCAGGCAGAAATGTGAAAAGCTCCCTGCCTGTGCCCCACATCTGCACACACCACCTCCACACACGCACACACTTGCAGGCAGATCCTGAGCAGCTTCCCTCCCTGGGCTGCCGACCCCCTCCTTCTCCACTCTGTCGCACAGCTGGGCAGAGAGTCCTGTCTGCCACTACCCGGGGAAGATTTAAGAGCAGCCACTTGGGTCTAGGTGGGAGTCTCCAGGGACAATCCAGGAGCCAGGGATGCTGTGGTGCACCCATGGGTGGGACCCGGAGGTTTCTGGGCCCATTCTGCCGTGGGTGGCCGTTGGTGGATCACATCCCAGGGGGTTATCAGGGAGGCGGCAGATCCTGCCAGTCCTTGCCTTGCTGCCAGGTCAGCCCAAGTCAGTAAAGCCTCGTAAGCATGCAGTAGGTGATGGGGAGCTTCTCCTTTCTCCTCTTGGGAAGGAGGTTGACCAGGTCATCTCAGTTCCCTCCCAGCCCTGAGGTTTTCAGACTGTTGTGTGAAGGCACACATGTGTACACCAACACAGATGACCCCTCATGTGTGCACAGCTCTCTACAGTTTATGAAAGAGCTCCAAGGCTGTCTCCTTTAGTTCTCATAACAGCCCTGGAGGTAGTGTAGGTAGATGAGGAGACTGAGACTCAGAGGTGGCCCCGTTGAAAGTGAAGTCACTGCCATGCACCGCAGTGGGTAATGTGGTATTAAGTAGTGTGTACAGGTCACCAGCCGGTCAAGGCTGCCCTGTGACCAGTGTGGGGGATTTTCCTCCCAGGAAGACTCCAGCCAGCTTTGGAGCTGGGCCAGGCCCTGTGCTGGGTGCTGGAGATCTGAGAATTAGTCAGACTTGGCCCCTGTCCCCAAGGAGCTCCTCCCAGTGGGCAGGGAAAAGAGAGCCATGCTGGGGTGCCAGGAAAGGGGCTGCCTGACTGTTGGGGGGGTGCTCAGCAGAAGGTGCCTCAAAGCTGCTGCTCAGCTGGCCCCTAAGAGACAAGGGAAGGAGGCAGAGGGAGCCACATGTGCGTGGGGGAGGTGGCTTGAAGTGGCATGGGTGTTTGGTGGTTGTGGTAGATGGGACCCGAAGGAGGGAGCGTTGGAGGGATGAGGCTGAGAGCGTGGACTGCCGGGCCAGGTGGCTGGTGTCCGTGGTGATGGGGAATTTCTACTGTAGACAGCGAGAGGGTAGCGAGCACAGCCTGATGGACTCCTCGCACCCATCCCTTCACTTTGACACTTGCCAGCCTATGGCTAGTCTTATTTCCTCTACACACCCCTGCACTTTGCCCAGACAGCATCTCATTTCATCTGTAAATATTTCCGGATGCATCTCTGAAAGATAAGGGCTCAAAAAAAAAAAACCATAATACCAACTTATAAAATAATCTCTTAATATCATCAAATATCCAGTAATTGTTCTAATTTCTAATTTGTGCTATAAATATGCATAGGTTTTACGGTTTGTTTGAATGAGATCCAAACAGAAGTCCATAATTGCAATTGGTTGATTGCTCTTTCATCTTTTATTTTTTCCTAGTAAATTATCTATCAAAGAAATGGGGCCGTTTGTCCTGTAGGGTTTCCCATGGTGTGGGTTTTGTTGACTGTGTCTTTTTGGTGGTGTTTGACATGTTCTCTGTCCCCTGCGTTTCTGTAACCTGGGACTTAGCTCCAGAAGCTCATACGGTTTAGGAACAATTTTTTTCTTTCTTTGTCACAGCTGCATCATGGAAGATGTTGTGTACTTCATTCGGGGGCACATCATGGCTAGTTATCTTTCTTTTTTGTGATGTTAGAAACCATCAGTGACCACTGCCTAAATTCATTCATTCTTCAGTGATTGTAAAATGCTGGTGGTCTAATATCATCAGTCCTTTCTCATTTATGAGCAGGAAGTCTCTTCCAGTTCAAGACTTCCCTCCATCTACTATTTGGTTACCATCTGGTACAGTTTGTCTACAGAGACAGGATAAATTTCCTGTAATTTTCCAGTTTAAAAAAAAAATGAGTTGATTCCCTACCCACCTCCGATAGTGACTAATTGTTTTTGTAAGTATCATTCTGATCTCATGAATTGGAACATATTTGATGTGTTTTAATCCATTGCTGTTTTTGCCCTTATTGATGCTCAAATTAGCCCATCTTTGGCCATCAGGAACCTCTTCAGGTTGGTTCCTGAATCCTTTGACATGGCCCCGGGAGTCTGTGCTGGCTTCCTTGGTTTCCGGCGTGGCGTGGGAGGGTTTTTGGTGTGCGAGCGCATCTATTTAGACAGTCTCCCTCCTGCTCAGCATCCTGGCTGACAGCAGAGCAGCTGAGGGGTGAGAAGGCTGGCTTGGGGCCCACCCCGTGCCAGGTGCAGGGGCGGTGAAGCAGGAGGGGAAATGGAGGCCCTTGGGGATCCCAGACTCTGGGTCTCCAGGCCCTGGAGCCTCATTAGCAGCTTCTTGAGCCACAGAGGGCTCAGAGCCAAGCCTCGAGTTTGACTAATGATCCTCCCGAGGTCCTAGCAGCCTGTGAGGGCTGCCCTTCCTCCCAGCCATGGAGTCCAGAGCATTCAGAACAGGGCAGGAGCAGAAGGAGGGGGTGAAGGTGATGGGCCAGGCCTGTGTTCTCAGCTTAGGACTCCCTGTCACTCTGTGCGCTTGGGCAGATCTTGTTTCTTTCTGGACCTCAGTCTTCCCATTTGTGCAGTGGGAATGGTAACCCTCACCTTGTATGGAACCGCTCTTTTTTTTTTTTTTGAGACAGAGTCTTGCTCTGTTGCCCAGCTCACTGCAACCTCCGCCTCCCAGGTTCAAGCGATTCTCATGAGTCAGCCTCCTGAATGGCTAGGATTACAGGCACGCACCACCACGCCCAGCTAATTTTTGTATTCTTTTTTAGTAGAGACAGAGTTTTACCATGTTGGCCAGGCTGGTATCGAACTGGCCTCAAGTGATCCACCTGCCTTGGCCTCCCATGAGACGTGTTTTTGATACAGCTGTCTGTCCTGAAAGCAAAGTGGGGAGAGAGTGCCAGGAGTCAGGGCATTTTTACTTAGAAAGGGCACAGAGTTGACAGAAAAGTGGGGGTGAGGAGGTGGGGGAAAGGAACAGCCAGTGTTGAGCCCTTGCTGGGTTCCAGACAGTGAGGTTGGGAAGTCCTGGGTTTGAACCCTGCCTCCCTCGCTTGAGCCTGTGGGCAGCCTTCTGCCAGCACCTTCCGGTAGTATTGCCTCAAAAGCCTGTCCTGAGGCTCAGGGGTGCTAGTGTGAGCAGCCTGGCCCTGTGCCTGGCACCCAACAGGGCTCCATTAGGGCAGTAGTACCTCTCGCTGCAGTTAGCATTTTCATTTTCTTGGTCTCACATGTCCCATTAGGGAGCATTTCCCTTTGCCAACATCCCTTTTGATGGTAAGAGTTTTGTTTGTTGATGCAAACAAAAGTGTCCTTAATGAGCATGCAGTGGGGAGCAGCTTTTGGCTGAAGTCTGTACACTCAGGTGAGTGCCGGCCTCCTGGTGTGCCTCTGGTTCCTCCGCCTGGGTGCCCCCCATACCTGGAGTGGTTTTCTTCTAGAAAGAGCTGCTTATGGTCCTGATGGGGCTCAGCTCCACTTGGTCCCGTGCCCAGCAGGGCCAGGGGTCATTCACCCTGACTTGACAGGGTGAGGGGTTTTCCCTTCTCTGCCCAGATTGTGGCTATTGTCCTCATCTGCTTGGGGGACGCCTGTAGCAGCACTGCGGATGCTGCTGAGTAGGGTCTGGCACTCCCTTCTGGTATAGCCCCGCCTGCACCCTGTGTAGCCTCAGCACTTTGCCTGGGTGCCTCCTCCTCTCCCCAGACTGGGAGCCTTTTGAGGGAAGGGACCATGTGATTCACCTGGTTGTCAGTGTCCAGCTTGGGGCTGGTTGCAGAGTGGTCCACAGTGCCAAGGAGCTCATTTTTCAGAGGCAGACAGATCTGGGTTTGAATCCTGGCTTCAAACCAAGGTTGGTCTGCCTCCAAAGCATGTGTGTATTTTCTAGCTGGGTGACCCTGGACGAGTTACGTGCCCTCTCTGGGCCACAGTATTGTCATCTGTGAAGTAGGGCTGGATAATAGTCATCTACTCAGAGGTTATTGTGATAATTAAATGGAGATAAGTCATGGTAGTCACAGGCATTTCCCAGATGCGTCATAAGTAATAAAATCAATGTCTCAGTGTCCCCAGTCAATGTCTTTGAATTCATTCATTCAGTCAATGCATGTTTACTAAACATACTCTCTGGGTCAGGCCCTGGGCTAGGTGCTGGGTGCATAGCAGTGACTGAGACCTATATGGCCCTGCCCCCAGAGAACTGACATTCCCAGTGTAACATCAGAGCTCAAAGTCACAGAGTTACTTAATTATAACTTGGTAAAGGTAAGTATCTCAGATGAGAGCTGCCAAGGGCCATGAGACTGAGATAGGGGTCCTGGCCTAATCTGAATAGTCAGGGAGGCTTCCTGGAGAAAGAGGATGGACACTAAAGGACAAATGGAAGTCTACTGAGTAATGAGGAGAAGGAAGAACCTGGAGCAGGGAGCAGGGGTGGGGGCTGCTGTGGGGGAGGCAGAGAAATGAGGCTGGGGGAGTGCATTGAGAGTTTGTGTCTTATTTTCTAGGGAAGTGACAGGACTGGGTTGGTCTATGTGGGGCGAGAGTAGATGTAGCTGCAGACACTGCTACAGTTGTCCCTGGGCGAGGAGATGGGGGATTGGGCCAGGGTGGTGCCAGTAGGATGGAGAGGAGGAGATGGATTTCAGGAGAATGGAGGCGCTCAGATTGGGCTGACTGGATGGAGGGAGGGAAAGCAAAGCAGCCAGTGGGGCTGCCAGCCTTGGGGTGGGCTGGATGGGTGGATGGTGGCGCTGGTCACTAGGCAGGAGCTGGTGGTAGATGTGGACGGAAGTCTCGGGGAAGGTTGCAGGGAGGCATGAGAAAGAGGAAAGCTCACACACTCTGAGAACAACAGCTGGAAGGAGGCCGAGGGAGCCTCCAAGCCTCGCGGAGATGGGAACCTGAGCCTGGAGATGGGGAGGATTCATCCGGGTCTCACGAAGGCTTGTGGCAGAGTTGGAATCCGAACCCAGTATTCCTTTACATTCCGATTCGCTGGAAGCACACGCCCCCATTTCCTCAGGAAGCCGGACATCCCCTCACTGTGTTCCCCCATCCTATCCCCCCTCCCCCTACCCAGGTCATCCCAGACTGGAAGGAGCAGGAATGGGACCCCGAAAAGCCCAACGCCTACGCGGGCATCTTCCACTTCCACTTCTGGCGCTTCGGGGAATGGGTGGACGTGGTCATCGATGACCGGCTGCCCACAGTCAACAACCAGCTCATCTACTGCCACTCCAACTCCCGCAATGAGTTTTGGTGCGCCCTAGTGGAGAAGGCCTATGCCAAGTAGGTGCCAGCAGCAGGCAGGTGGGTGGGAGGCCCAGACGGGGGTGGCACCGGATGGGCTCCTCGTGGTATTCCGTTAGCCAGGGCTTTAGGCACAGAGAAGTGAGGGGCTGGTGCAGGCACGCAGCAGGCTCAACCGCCAGGCCTGAGGGCATAGTCAGCTGAGCCTGTGCTGGGTGGGGTGGAGGCCTGGGCCCTGTAAGGAGAGGAATGTTGGTTACTCCCATTTTAGGGGGAGAAGACTGAGGCCCAGGCAACATCCTGTAGGTAGCTGGGGGCAGAGGCAGCACTCACATTTAGGACCATTCTCGAAGGTTCATGCTGCCATGCCCTGCCTGGGGCCTTGGTTGGGGAAGTGGTAACTGAGCTGGGGCCTGGTTGTGCAGGGTGGGCCACGTGCCTGCCTTCCCCGCCTGCTGGGCCTCCCTCTTGTCCACCATCCGCCTCTGCCTGGCTGACTGTCCATTCTGTCTTTGCTGACCCCTCCTTCTGCTCCGTGCCTTCTGCTTCTGTGTCCCCAGTGCCCAACACAGAGCCCAGCATAGAATGGGCACAAGCAAAGTTTTGCTGAGCTGTGGGGAACCCTGGGGAAGAGTGACTCGCGCAGGCCGTTGCAGGGCAGGGATACGCCTAGGCCAGGAGGGAGGAGGGAGGAGGGGCAGTGGGGTCAGAGGCCAGCCTCGCCAGCTCTAGGTGAGCCACTCTCTGGTTCCTCCTGCTAGGCCCATTTGTCAATCTTGCTGAAAAAATGTGTGTGTAGGGGCAGGAGCAAGGAGAGAGAGAGATAGAAAACAAGAGAAAGGGGGAGAGAGGAAAAGGAAAGACAAAAACTCCCAACATCAAAAACCCAAGAAAACACATTGGCAGGTTCCACTTTCAATCCTAAGAAAGGAAAGCCAGCCCCCTGGTGGCCACTGAGTCTCCACCACCTGGATGCAGGTCGACCCAGTGGCCTTGGTTGTTTTTTGTTTTTTGAAAAAACACAGTTTCATTGTGGTAAAATAGACAAAACATAATGCTTCTCATTTTAACCATATGGAAACATACAATTCAGTGGCATTCATTATGATCACAGTGCTATGGGCCATCACCACTATCTATCCCCAGAACCTTCTCATCATTCCCAGCAGGAGGTCTATACCCATCCGACAGTAACTCCTTCCCCTCCCCCTGACCATTGTTGGCACTTTGGAAAAGAGTTGCTTTTTTTTTTTTGGACAGCTGATTTTTTAAGATTGAGCCACTAAGGCTTAGGGGAATTTAAGCCTTATATGTTGGCCCGAGTGTTAAGAACTGGGTTCCAGTGTTGGCTCCGCCGTGGCCTGCTGCGTGACTGTAACAGGTTGTTTGACCCCTCTGAGTTTCAAAAACCTCCCCTATGAGGTAAAGGATGCAGCCTGGCTGGGGAGCATGAGCTGGGAAGTCTTTCCACATTGCTTCCCAGACTGGCAGGCTGTTACCAGGCCCTGGATGGAGGCAACACAGCAGACGCACTGGTGGACTTCACGGGTGGTGTTTCTGAGCCCATCGACCTGACCGAGGGTGACTTTGCCAACGATGAGACTAAGAGGAACCAGCTCTTTGAGCGCATGTTAAAGGTGCACAGCCGGGGCGGCCTCATCAGTGCCTCCATCAAGGTGAGAACACGGCAGTCCCCAGAGGCGACCCCTCCCCTTCACCCTCGCTGACTGAGATGGGAGACAACTGTGACATCCCACGCTCAGGTCAGCTCCTACGTATTCAGACCCTCAGCCTCGTGGGGGAGGGGAGAAGTTGGAAGGTGCAACCCCCTGCCCAGACCCTCTAGGCTGTGAAAAGCCTTTCCCGCACTGTTCAACCAAAACTTCTTTTCTGATCCTCTTGGGTTATGAACGTCTGTGCATCTGAGGGTGGTCCTGATTTCATTACTTGCTCGTGTTTTGGATGAGAAAGCTGAGGCCCAGTGAAAGCCAAGTTCAAACCCAACTTTAGCAGACCCTGTGCTGTGCTGGTAAACTGCCTCCAGCAAAGTAAAAAGCCCCGGTTTGTAGCATTTGCTAATTACTGTGGTGTAAATACTCCCACCATGGCTGATTTCCAACTACCCACATTTAACAACCAGCTATTAACAATATTCCTGGCCGGGCATGGTGGCACATGCCTGTAATCCCAGCTACTCGGGAGGCTGAGGCAGGAGAATTGCTTGAACCCGGGAGGCAGAAATTGTGGTGAGCCAAGATCGCGCCATTGCACTCCAGCCTGGGCAACAAGAGCAAAACTCCATCCAAAAAAAAAACAAAAAACAAAACAATGTTCCTGAATATTTAACAATTCCTGGAATATTTAACAATTTAAATATTCCCGAATATTTAACAACAGCTGAGCCAGTGCACGTGGGCCCCAGCATTCCCCTGGGCTGACCCACTATGGGCACCTTCCTTTACTGAGACTGCTGCCCATGGGGGTTTTAAAGCTCTGTGAACACAGCACTGCCCCATGACTGCAATTCCCATCCCATCCTGTAGGTCCCGTGCAGCCTCCTAGCCCTCCAGCACCTGAGTCCCTGGTCTGGGTTCCAGTGTGGCCCTGCCTCTCTGAGCAACTGTGTCCCTCCACAGGCAGTGACAGCAGCTGACATGGAGGCCCGCCTGGCGTGCGGCCTGGTAAAGGGCCACGCATACGCCGTCACTGATGTGCGCAAGGTGCGCCTGGGCCACGGCCTACTGGCCTTCTTCAAGTCAGAGAAGTTGGACATGATCCGCCTGCGCAACCCCTGGGGCGAGCGGGAGTGGAACGGGCCCTGGAGTGACACGTGAGGCCTGGGGATGGGGGTGCAGGCACAGGGCATGAGGGCTTGGACAAGGACGGGTGGGCTTCTTGGAGGAGTTGGCACTGGGGCTGGGCCTTGAAGGATCTGGGGGAGGATGACACTAGGAACGAAGAAGGGAGAATTACTTTGCAGTGGTTGTATGGGGTGATGGATTGAGCACAAGAAAGGCCTGGGGCTGGAGGCCATCAGGGGTGTAGAGACCAGCTTGGTGAGTGGGTGCGGGAGGGGAGCAGGGAGGGAGGCCACAGCCCTGAGCAAATGGGGGACTCCTCTGTGCTTGGCTTATGGCCCTGGTAAGGCCAAGATGGGAGTGGAGCCCAGGTGCTAAGTGAAGGAGCCCTCTTCACTGGGGGTCGCACCCCCCTTCCCCCCAGTCTGCAGCTTTACTTTCAGACCTCCCAGCCCCTGTCATGGTGGCAGCTCACGGTCCCTTGTGGGAGGAGACAGGCAGGGCTTCCTGGAGAGGGGCTGGGCATGGCCTCAGTGCCCCTGGCCACACCGTGCCGCTGGAGGCCTGGTGCAAGACTGCCCCTCGTGCCTCCTCGCCTTTGCCAGACAGATTCTGGTGGGGCTGCCTCTTAGACAGCTCCCTTTCTCCTCCCCGGCCCTGACACCCCAGCTCGGAGGAGTGGCAGAAAGTGAGCAAGAGTGAGCGGGAGAAGATGGGTGTGACCGTGCAGGACGACGGTGAGTTCT